>NC_000010.11:30618564-30922847 GCF_000001405.40 Homo sapiens | reverse complement strand
TTTTTTTTTTTTGAGACAAAGTTTCTCTCTTGTTGCCCAGGCTGGAGTGCAGTGGCACAATCTTGGCACACTGCAACTTCCACCTCTCTGGTTCAAGTGATCCTCCTGCCTCAGACTCCCAAGTAGCTAGGATTATAGGCATCCTCCACCATTCCCAGCTAATTTTTTGTATTTTTACTAGAGAAGGGGTTTCACCATGTTGTCCAGGCTGGTCCCAAACTCCTGACCTCAGGTGATCTGCCCGCCTCAGCCTCCCAAAGTGCTGGGATTACAGGCGTGAGCCACCGCTTCTGGCTGACAATGGTTTTTCTTAATTTATACCTCAAATATATTTTTATCAAAACCTTGAAGCTATAAATGTAGATCACTCAATTTAGGGAAAATGGTTGCCATTTAATCTAATTGACAAAGCTGGTATTTATTTTCAAACTTATCTTTTAAATCAGACATCCTTCTGTCAGTAAAAGTCCCACTTGATTTTTCATCTCAAATAAATATGTTAATATATGCCTCCATGACAACCATCACATGGCTGAATTCTAATTCTAATATAGATTAAGTAGATAAGGCACAGAGCCTTACCATGTGTTGCCTGGATACAATAAGGTACTGCTGCCTTCAGTGTTTCTTTGCTTTGCGCTCACTGAAATCTCCAGAGAGATACGTCTTTAACACTAATAAGAGTATAGAAGAGGTAATCCCTGTAAGTAAAATGTCCTCACTGTGTATTGTGGAACTGCTTCATTCTACAATACACTCAATTTATCATATAATAATATGGGCCAAGTACTCCATTTCTTAATAAAATCTGTATGAGACATGGAAAGAACAAGGCCTTACTATAGTGCTTTGATTAAAGGAGGTTTCATAGATAGCATTGTTATAATTTTTCCCCGTTTTTGGAACCCTGGAGGTTTTTACATCCCAGGAGGTATGCATTTCTTTTGTGAAGTGAGAAGAGAGGCCGCATGATGCCTTAGCTGCCAGTACACTCTCAGAAAGATCGGTATTGGGAAGAATGAGAGTTGAGGACCTGGAAATAGATTGCCTTAAAACTATCTAGGCCTACATATCTCTTAAGAAGCATTAGAGCAGCCTCGGATGTTCCTCAGTTTTAAGACCATGGGTGTAGATGACAGGCCAAGTAGATCCATCATACGCATAATCATAGACCCAACAAAAAGTCCAAACTTAATGAAAGAAAACCAGTGTTTAGAGCATAAACTTTTCTGAAATAAGTGACAACTTGAATCTAAACATTGAAAGGACACTGTGTGCCTGGGTCTGGTAAAGTTGCTGGACCTCAGAGATAAAATTTTGGGAGGGAGCCAGAAAAATAGGTCAAGATATTTATAAAGGAGAAAATTATGTTGGCCTCAGATTTCATTCAGTGCAAGAAAATAGGCCATACTTAAAAGACTTTTAAGAAAAGGATAGGTAACTTACAGATTTTTATATCTGTCCAAATAGTCCTTCAACTATAAGTCAATAGGCAAATAGCTTTAAATTTAAAATAATATAAAAATGATTTATTTGAGACTTTATTGAGGCAACACTGGAGGACAGATCTTTTTTACTTGACGTTGAAAGGTAAAGATGTACTTGAACCTGCTAATCAACCACATAAATACACTTGTTTGCATACAGGTTCAACTTCTTTAGCACAAAGATAAAGCAATAAGTTATCATGATACCCATCTCCAAAGGTTAGTTCATTGATGAAGTAAATAGAATCTTGGGCATGGTGTTTGCTTGATACCGTGAATGCTGTTACCAAAAATCTTCCCAAGAAACATTAACTTTGCCTCTTTCTAGGTAAAACAAATTAAATCTGTAAAAGATCTTATATGCTTGAGTTAGAAAAACCCTGAATATATTTGGGTTGGTGACAAAAGTGAAATATAACACCCCTGCCACTTTGAACAAAACTACATTGATTGTGAACTGTAGTAAAATATGTCATATAATCCTTTTTGAGAAGCCATCTGAGAAAGAGTATTATGTTTTTCTTCAGTGGTAAAGAGTTGCAGTATCTAAACCAAGTTTTCTACTGGCTACACTCGGCTATTTCTATTCTTGACCTCTATGGTTGACAGCAGCAGATGAGAAAAATGAAGTCTGTAATAAGTTTGTCTGTAAGAGAGCTGCAGTGCTCTTTATAACTGATCCTGCAGCCAGGGTGCAGGATACCCAGGTCATGATTTGGGTTCTTTAGTTCGATTGCCCAGAGGATACCAACTCATATTCCCAGGGAGATCAAACTGCCAAGTAAAATGAGGATGGCGAAGCTGTATCAATTTTACTTCTCTCAGGAGAAGAAAAGGATGGTGTAGCTACCTCTCAAGAAGAGGATACCTATGAAAGAAGGAAAAATTAATCCAGAAAAACTTAGGGACATCCAGAAAATACCAGAGCCCTTTTTAGCCCAAGATCAACCATTAAAAGGAAGACCTCAAAGGTATTTCATTTCCTATGTACGTTAGTGTATCTGATAAGTATTTGAACAAGTTACCTCTACCTGAATATGCTGTGTCTCTTTGTCTTGCTGTGACACTTTGGATAAGGTCTCTGCAGAAAATATAGAAACAACTGACCAAAGAGTTGTTAATGAGAATACAGCTCTTATCTCTCACCAATGACTACATGGAAGAATTTAGAGCCTATTTCAATAACAATATGTTGTTCATCCTTCAGTCAGATGGAAAGAGACCAGAAGCAGGAGAGAGAGAGTACATGCGGGCCAATGATGTTAGTAATGAAGAAGGAGAGGAAGAGAAAGAAAGAGACAGATGAGATGGAAAATGGAAAAGAAAGTGTTGAAAACAGAGGAGCCTCAAACTCAGTCTGCCCCTAATACTGATGAGGCACAGAAAACCAAGGACATTTCTATAAAGTTCATGAACACAGATGAGGAGGCTGAAGATGGCCCAGATGCTGATTTCTTTAAGGAGAAATAGTACTGTATGCTTGGGTTGGTTGGATCTCGAAGAGAATTCATTGTAAAATAAAAATTTGTCAGCCGGGCGCGGTGGCTCACGCCTTTAAAAACAATACAAAAATTAGCCGGGCATGGTGGCGTGCGTCTATAGTACTAGGTACTCCAGAGGCTGAGGCAGGAGAATCGCTTGAACCTGGGAGGCAGAGGTTGTGGTGACCCAAGATCTTGCCACTGCACTCCAGCCTGAGCAACAAAGCGAGACTCTGTCTCTAAATAAATAAATAAATATAAAATAAAAAATTGTCTGAATCCAGTGACAAGAAAAAAGTGACCAAAATCACACGCAAAAGAAATGAGAAATTTTAAGTGAATAAGAACATAATTCTTACTGACGAAGGGAAGTAGGTTCAGCGCTGGCCACCGATGCAGAAGTGCATCTTAAAGGATGCTAAGGAAGAGGATTGTAGTGGTATAAACCTTGAAAAATCAAAAGAAAGGCTTCAGGAAGTGGAAAAATTTGACAAAGAAGAGTAGAGGAAAAAAGTTAAGACAAAGCATATGGAGAAAATACTTCAAAGGGGAAGCAAAAAGAGAGGCCAGCAAGGCCAAAGATGAAGGGAATGTCTTTTAGGATCTCAGTGGTAATAATGGGAAATTCGATTAATTCACTCTTAGATCCTCGTACATACAGATGTCTGAAGAATCAGATAGTGAAGATACGGAAAATAAAATTAGTAGTTCAGGAAAACCCATAGAAGGAAGAAAAGGAGCCACAGTAAAGTGGACAATGTGAAACTACTATTATAACAAGTTGCAAATGAAAGAAGGCCAAGTAGGAATCCTCAGAGTCTCTGGATACAGTTCTGTCTCTAGCAGAAGACAAAGAGCTTAAATTTTATCTAAGAGCTTAAACTATATCTGCTCAAAATGAAAGCTAAATACTTGCTGCTCTTCTCCTCTCCTTGAAACCTGTGCTCATGACTGCGTGGGTCAGATGTCAAAAAAGCTTTGGAGTAGTTAGGTAGCAAAAGTCCCATACCTAAAAGATCGATGCAACTGCAGACTGAGGTAATGGTATGTCTGACACCTTTCTTCCCCATCAGATAATCTACTTAAAATGTGTGTGGATTATAAAAATTCCCCAGCCTGATTTCCAGCATGTATATTGTTAGACTTTAGTCCATTCCTTTATTTTACTGCCAACTTGTAGAATCTCCATTCATTTTTAGAAATTCTTGTCTTGTTTACCATACAGAATATAGTATGTACTATTTAATATTAAACTTTCTCACGATTTTCATGTTTTTAATGTTTCCAAGGAGTGAAAATGCGATGGAGGCACCCTGAGAAATGAGTATTTTTGAATTGAGATGATCATTAATAGAACCTATTTCCTATTTCTAATAAAAGTAGAACATTTAGGAATAAATTCAACAAAAGACATGCAAAATCTGTAAGAACAACAAAACTATACTGAGAAAAATTAAAGATAGAAATAAATGAAGAGAGATGCCATATGGTTGGAAAACTCAATTAAATGACATTTCCCTCAAAATTGATCTGTAGATTCAACATAATCCCTAGCATAAATCCACGGGCCTTTTTGTAAAATTAGCAAGCTAATTCTAAAAGTTACATAGAAATGTAAAAGACTGAGAAAATCTGACGAATCTTAAAAACATAGGTGGAAGACTTGAATTTGTACCATAACTATAAAGCTGCAGTAATCCAGATAGCATGGTGCTGCCATAAGGATAAACTAATAAATTAATGCAATTGAACAGAGGCCATAGACCCATTTATATAGTCCTTTGATTTCAAACAAATCCAAAGCAACCAAGTAGGGAAAGGAAAGTGTTGCAGTAAATGGTGCTGGGTCAACTAGATATCCACAAGCAAAAATATAAATCTCAATTTCTGTCTTGCATCATGCATATAAATCTATTTGAGATGAATCATACTACTAAATATAAAAAGCTAAAGCCATACGAATTTAAGAAAACATCAGAGAATATCCTTATGACTTGGGGGTAGGCAAAGATTTCTTAGGATGTAGAAAGCAATCACTGTAAGAGAAAAGCTTTAAAGAATAGACTTCATTGAAAAAACCAAACTTGTGTTTATCAAAAGATACCACTAAGAAAACAAAAAACAAGCCACAGACTGAGAAAAATATTTGCTAAATGTATATTTGTCAAAGGAATATATAGCTAATTTATACAGCTCCATAACAAAAAGCGGAACAACCAGAAACTAAAAAGGAATAGGGAACAAATGATTTGAAAAGACACTTTGTAACACAGACACTGCACAACGGAAGATATTCAAATGATTAGTAAGCATGTGATCAGCGTCATTTGTCATCTGGGAAATGCAGGTTAAAATGAGAATGAGAAACCCACCATACTGTCTAAAATCAGATAGGATCTAGAGCAACTGGCATTCTTATACATTAGGTATACCACTTGAGGAAAAAGATCTGGCAGTTTCTTATGAAGTTAAATACACTTACCCAATGATTCAGCAGTTCTCCTAGATATTTGCCTAAGAGAAATGAAAATAAAAATCGACCAAAAAGATTCTTATGAGAAGTACATACATAATATATGTGCATAATATAGCTTCAATCATACTAGCCAGAAACTGGAATAGCCCAGCTTCCCATCAGTAAGAGAATGGATAAACAGACTGTGGTTATTCATAAAATGAAACACTGGCAAATTATCTGTGAGGGGAAAGGATGAGAAAAGTCGTTGCTTCTAGGGGATGGGACGGGAACTGACTGGGAAGGATTTTGAAGGAACAAACTTTGGGTAGTGGTAATGATTTGGGTTACAAGGTATATGCATTTGTAAAAAAACTTATGGAATGGTACACTTAAGATTGGTGCATTTCATTTTATATAAATTTTGCCTCAAGAAATAAAAAAGAGCTTTAAAAATCACAAGGAAGTACTTTTTTATGTCCATTAGATTGGCAAAAATGTTGGAGCATCCTGAACTTATCTTGCCCTGCTAGTGGTTATACAAATTGAATCAACCATATAATACATTTGCATTAACTAATAAGTTGTGCATATATCAACCAAGCAACTCCACTCTGAGGCATAGAAACTCTTGGTAATCTACATAGAGAAATACATAATATGTTCCAGAAAGCTGGGAACAACTCAGATATCCATCAATAAGAGAAGACACAAATTGTGCCACATTCAAACATATCATCATGGATAAGTCTCATGAACAGAATAAAACCAAGAAACTTAAGAATACTTCCAATATGATTCCAACCAATATAACTCCATCCAAAATCTTGCAAAATTAAGCAAGATATTAGGGATACATATGGTAACACTATAAAGGAAAGCAAAAACAACAACAACAAAAAAGGATAGCTGGAGAGAAGGCATGGGAAAAAGGATTGGAATTGGAATGGGAAAGGCCATAAAGGGGACTTCAAAGTTATAAGTAATGTATTCTCTAAACTGGCTAGTGGGAAAACAGGTGTTCATTTTACTATTTATAACTTGCACATTTGTTGAAAATACTATTTGGTATGTATTCAGCATTTAATTTCTTGAGAAATTAGAGGTACACTTAAATAATCTTTAAGGATACTTCTTAGCAATAATACGATATGCAAAATATGAGAAGTAGGCTTTCTGCTGTCACTAATTCAGTCATTCAAGTGTTTATCAAATGCCTATACAGCTTGATATGGATGTGACATTAGTGGCCTTATTTGGAGGCCACAGTTTTGGTGGCTGTATCTTAAAAGCGAATTAGAAGAACTACTGAAATCTAAAATGATTGGGATTTATATTGGTACAGTATAAATCTTCTGAGACTGTTTCTCAGAAGTTCCGCCATTATTGCTTCAAGAAGGGAAAGAAAATTATGGATTTTCACTTATGTGATGGGTAAATGAAACCATCAGAAAAGACAGAAGTAATTTTTTTGGCCTTTGGAATGAATCTCCTCCAACAGAATTCTTTTAAAATAGGATGGGCCAGATAACTGAGAGGGCCCGGCTTTGACCTCTTTCCACTAATGCTGGTTCAGCTGACTTCTCAAAGCACACTTTTATGAGTTGAACTGATTATTGACCCATCAATGAATTTACCTTAAAACCAGGTCATGGAGAATGACTCCCATAATATATTTTCTTGCAACTTCACTGTGATAAAAATTCTCAGGATGCTGTGGCTAATATCTAGATCTTAATGTTATGTTGAATCCTAAACATTTTCAAGATATTTATAGATTTTTTCATCTCTGCACTTCCTGAAAAATCTGTGAATATTTTTCATTAAATTAACTTGCCGAGAAAATTAAGGTTGGACACTGTGGCTTCCTATATAGTCCTACATTTGTAGCTTTAAATGTTAAGGGCTTACCCCAACCCTTTACTCTTTATAAGTATTCAAACATTCCTTTGGATAACAAATAATAAATTCATAGTGCTAGATATCCAGCAAGATGACAGTCTGGTTGCTTATATGAAGTACCTAAATATACACAATTGCAATTCCAAAGCCTTATTGCTTCATTTATCACAGGAAGTGCCAGAGTTCTGCAATATCTTGTAAGAAAAGCTACTCGACTTGCATGAATTCTCATAGGAATGACCATGAATATTATGCCAATTTCATCCTAAGTATTGAAGTTAAGGTTCTAAATGACATTTAATAGTATGATTTATTTTCTATCTTAAACTTCATAGGGCACAAAGCAAGATCCTATCCTTTCATATTGCTTTTTTATTTTTAAAGAGTCTGACTGATGATAAAAATCTAAGCTTAAAAACTGTCAAATGATTTATGATATTTCATTTATTTTTCAAAGGATTGGGGTGTCACCAGTAAGCCTATTAGAATTGTAGGTTTAAAGTTCCTTGATTTTAAAAAAGACCAGCTGCCTAAACAAGTTTTGAGCTTTGTAATTTAATTCTATGTGATTTTTTTTAATACTTCAAAGTACCAAAGTAGGCATTTCTTCTTAGGTCATAAATAGTTGTTTATGTCATTATGATTTCAAACTTTCAAGTACATTTTAAGATCTACTTTTTAAAAATATTGATTTTTTTTTATTGTGTTCATTACAACCTCAAGACATTTCTTTCTGTCTACCTAAATCTCCCTTTCTTCATGGGCTGACAGCAACAAAGGTAGAACATGAAGAAACTGGAGGAAGCCTCCTTTTAAAAAATTGGAATTCTGTAGTCGAGTATATATAATCCAGTGTCTTTGAGAAATGCTGTGAAACCACTTTAAAGCTGTTTTTTAATGACACTTTTAAGTTTGGGATAATTGTAAATTTGCATGCAGTTACAAGAGATAATATATGTTCCATGCACCGCTTACACAATCCCCCCAGTGGTAACATCCAGGATATTAACACTGATGCATTCTAGATCTTATTCAGATTTTCCTAGTTTTTCTCGAACTCATTTGTGTGTGTATTTATTTAGTTCTATCTAATTTTTATCACATGTGTAGCTTCTTGTATCTACTACAGTCAAGATGAACATTTCCATCACAAAGATTCCATCATGTTGGCCTTTTATAATCACACTCATCTACCTTCCCACTTCCCACCCCTGTCCCTAACCCCTGGCAACCACTAATCTGCCCCCTGTTGCCATAATTTTTCCATTTTAAAAATGTTATTTAAATGGATCCTTAGATTTAACTTTTTTGATTTAACTTTTTTAATTTAACTTTTTCATTCTCTTGAGATTGTCTCGAAATTAATATTATTTCCTTGAGATTCATCCAACTTGTGTTTATTAATAACTTGTTCATTTCGATTACTAAGTGGTATTCCATTAAAATCAATTTTGATTTTTAGTTTATACGCACACATAAAATGTGAAGCAATAATGCAAAATATCAGTTTAAAACGTGTTTAGGACATTGTTGAAATTAACCTATTAAAATTACATATTTTTTGTCATTTTAGTCATTTGGATTGGATTTGTCTATGGCTTAATATGCTAAGACTGGATGAATCATCACCTGTATACCGAACATATAGTTCCAGTGGGAACATTCTATTCCCTAACTCATTTTAATAAAAACTGTGAGGTTGGAGATACAAGAGAAGTTCCTTGTTCTTATTCCAGAAGATTTGCTATTTAGTTTTTTCTTTCCTTTTACAGCCTGTGATTACCCACGTAATTCTCTTCATATAACCTATTGTTACCTAAGTAATTCTTCTTCCCCTTGTGCCTGTGCTTGCTTTTCCAACTAAATGATTAAGTGTCTTAATTTCTAGGCTGACTAAGATACTTCTTTCCTCCTTCCTCCCTAAATTCACTTACTCTTTCTCTAACCTGAAAGAAAGGGGTAAGATGATGAGTACCAAGAATAAAAGTATTTGGCTTCATCTGGGAGGCCAGAGAAGGCTTCCCTAAGGAGGATACATTTAAGCAAAAATCTGATGGATGAATAAGAGTCAACTAGGAGAAGAGGAGGAAGAAATAGCATTTTAAACAGAGAAAAGAAAGGGCATGGGCAAAGACCCTGTGGTGGGAAGGAGCAAAGCAAGCAGGAAGAATTGGAATCAAGCCAAGTGGAGAATGGGCTGAGAGAACCAAGGGAATATATGGTATGAAATTGGACTGGAGAGGGAGGCAGAGTTCAGACCTTATAGAGCTTTTTAGGTCATATTTAATAAAGATCAGTGCTTATTCTAAGACCAATGAGAAACAAATAAAGGGTTTTAAGCATGAAGTTGACTTGTCCAGATTTGCAATCTGTAAAGATCCTTTTGGCTGCAGCGTGGATGGTGCTTTGGGGTAAAGGGTGGAAGTGTCTCGACTGGTTACAGGCCATTTTAGTGGGGTACACTGGAGAGGATGGACCTTGGGGTAAAGTTATAGTGGTGCAGTTATAGAAAAGATAACAGATTTAATCCTTAAATCCCAACAGATATGTTGTATTAGAAATGGGAGAGGAAAGAGAACTGTATTAAAAATAACTACTAGATTTCTGATTACAGCATTTAGACAGCGAGGGAATTCCAGCAGCAGATCACATTTTGGGAACATCATGCATTTCAAAGGCAGAACATTTCAGATGGCTTTGAGACACACAAGAGGAAAGGTCAAATAGTAATAATGATAATAGCCAATATTTTTGAGCATTTACAGTTATTACAGCATTTTTTAAGCTGAGGACATGGAAACACAGAAATGTTAAGAGACTTGTCCAATGTCAGACAGTAAGTGGAAGAAACAGGATTTAAATCTACGTAGTTCACCTCCAGAGCCCATGCACCTTATCATTCTGTATGCTGCCTGTGTAGACAGATATGGACCTACAGATATGTAGGTGTGGAGCTCATAGAAGGGGTCTGGACTAGAGATTAAAAGTACAGAACAAAAAAGTTCATTTTTATTTACATCTCTGTGAAATGGATGAGATATCCTAGGGAGAGAATATAAAGTGAGACATGATGTTTACCTTGAGGCTCTTCAGCATTCAGTGGCCAAGGATGGCAAGATAGGCAGAAGGAAAGACGAGGGACTTCTGGTTGATATAAAAGAAGAGAAAGGGGATGTTAAGGAGATAATGAACAATGGTGGTTTTACTGCTAACATGTCCAGTAAGATGAAGACTGAATGGTGTCTGTGGACAACTTTGACAGAAGGGTCTTGGAGGAGTGGTGTAGTGGGGCTCAAGCACATATGAGGAGTGAATAGGAGATGAGGACATGAAGTCAGAACATTTAGGCAACTCTGTAGAGAAGTTTATTTGAAGCAGGAAGTGTCTAGATAGGCCTGTGAGCTATAGCTGGAGGGAGATGTGGGGCCAAATGGTTTTGTTTTGCTGTTATTTTAAAGGAAGAGACTAGGGTTTGTTTAAAAACCAGTGCAAAAAGATCTGCGTAAGAAGAAGAGGTTGAATATATAAACAAGAGAAGGAATAATATTTTCATGTTGTTGGGAAAATGGGAGAGAATGGGATTAGGCATAGGCAGAGGGTCTGGCATTTGGAAGGAGGAGGGGCACCACTTTGGTGTGTCAAGTCCAGAGTAGGAAGGACTGGAGCCACTTTGGTAGGTTGTATGTGATACCAGGAAGGAGAGTGACTTTCCATCAGATAACTTCTGTTTCCTTTGGAAAATGAAGGTGAAATGATCTAGAGAGAGCATGAAGAGGAGAATAGTACTGAAGGTTTGAGGAGTTAAGGAGAGCAGGTTTAGTGTCAGGCATCAAAGAGGCTGGCTCTTGTGTTTCCAAAAATAATCTGGGCAGTGAGTTTCCTAGTTGACCACAAACATCGTTTTCTGAGCAGTTGCAGAGTTTGAGGAGATGAGAATTTGTAGGACACAGAGACTTAGGCTGTTCTAAATGTGGTTTTTGTATTGTATGTGTCCATTTCTCCTGAGAAGTGAGGTCAGTATTAAAGCTGAGAAGGAGACGGGAGGCATGAGATGTTCTGTGGAAATTTTTAAACACATTTTTTTAAAGCAAACATCTGTAGTGATTTAAATTATTTTATTGAAAGCGTCTTCTGACACATCACATGTTATCTTACATTTTACTTATTTTAGAGAACAGTTTATTCACCAGCAAGGCTCTTCAACTGGCTTTTTAAAGACAGGGCCCCTATCTCACTAAGCAAGCTGCTGAGTGTGTCCCACAGGTATTCACTAAATAAATGGTGAGAGAAGTGCTAGATATTGCAACTCTGCTGGTACTGTGGCTACATTTTATTTGGCCAAGGGATTTTTTTGCTTTATATTTTTTTGTAAACCTTACTAAATAGATGTTCTCATTTGAAATTATAATGATCTCCATTTTTTTAATGTGCCAAGAGAGTGATTTTCCCTTACCCAATTAAAAGTTTGATTCATTTAATGTAACTGAGAAGTGTGAATCATAAACGAAACATTATATGTATTTATTTTTCATATGTTTTAAGTTATGAAAATGTATTTGCTTGAACTACCATATTCTAAGATTTTGATACATTTTGTAGTGACTCTTCTGGATGTTTTCTATTCCAGAAAATATGAAATTTTAGTTTCGATTTTTCATAAAAAGATATATTGAATATGATAGCTTTAATTTTAACTGTATTAATTTAGATTGGCCTAGGAACCACAGAATGCTTACACAAAAATTCTAAAGAACATACTAAGAAATAGTTTATTTTTACCATAGGTAAAAAGATGATGAGTTTCTCTAAATATAGGCGGCTTTTTTTTTTTTTTTTTTTGGCCAATATACAAATAAAGATTCGTCTAAAGCAGTGGTTCTTTAAAGGGGTGCTATATCAATACTAACATATAAAGTTGCTTTCTGCCCCTTTGCAAGATTGTGTCTCCGTTCTTCATGCTACCATGCCCCTGCTGAGACTCTCTTCATACTGACCAGATTGTTTTCTGCTTCAGTCAGGTTTTGAAGTGTTCGCATTTTTTTTCTACTGTATCTTTGCCTCCTTGTCCATCTATGGCTATAGGAAGCTCATCCTGGGAGTGGAGGAACAGATGTTCTGTCATTGCCACATTCTTCTGGACACAGACTGGAGAACTATAGGAATGTAAGCATTTGCTGAAACATAGTACTCTTTTCTGTTTCTAAGCACCTATTCATTATTGCTGTCATTGACCCTTATGTTCTCCATCTTTCCCAGGGTTCCTTGCTTCCTTCAATCTATGATCACTTTAAGTATGGTCTTTCCTCTTCCCTTCACCTATAGTCTCAGGTGAATCTTCTTCCCCCTTTACCAAGTACACAAGGTAATTGTACTCTAACACCCTAGGAAAACCTGAAGTCTTTGTGCAGCCAGCCTGTCCTGGACAAGGGCAGAGAGCTTCAGGAGCTTGCTTTTCAAGAAGTGCCCAGTTGAACCTAGGGAGCTTCAGTCCTCAAGAACAAATGTGAAAGAAGATCTAGCTAGACAAACTGTGAAAAGAATATATTTACCTGCCATGACCTTTACGTTGGTTATGAGGATAGCTCAGAAGTCTCTTTGCATCACTCTATGTACCCTACTTGTGTGGATATTTTGTGATATGGTCTTCAAAACTGGAACAAGGCATGGCATACCAGCTTGAAAGAATATTTTTAGATTCAGGCTCCATGGTGGTTACCATATGACTGCTTAAGGCACAGCTGCTTCTAAAACACCTTTGCCATACTTAACTTTTTCTGATTTAATTAGATCATATAGTTAGTGTCATTAATTTGGGATGGAAGCACCCTTCTGTCATGACTACTGTCCCTCACAAGTTTGAAAATGATTCACCATGCAGTATTAAAAAGTAAAATGCTTTTATTACTTTCATCAAGAGGCCATATGATACAAAGGTTCAGGATAAAGATGAAAAAGTGAGTAGGAAAAGAAAATTAAAGTTAAAAAGTTATTTCCTGAGATTTATTATTTCTGGCACTATTTTTGGATTTTGGGTTCTATATTTTAGAAGGTAAAATCTCAGTCGAGAATCAGGAGTTCTGTGTTTTATTCAGTTAGAAAGTTTTGATGTATTTGGAAAGTCATGTAATTTTCCTATTGTCCAAGTAAAAATGGCCATGATTCCATAGTAGAAGCTTATGGAGAATATGTGTGAAGGTGCTGAATGATGATTACATAATAATCAGAAACAAAAGTTAAGCATTTCTTTGGTTTTGTAACTTCATATAATTCAAGAGATAGTATTTAAGTCATATTCATGTATATATTTAAAAAAATCTTAGTACTTTACTAAAGTGGTAAACTTTCATATTACACAGTTTGATAAGGCAAATATCTTTATGACTTTTGTGTAAGATCCTAAATACTGTTATTTTTTCAAAAAATATAGATGTGGCCTTAATGATATGCTAATAATACTGTTTTGTAGTTTTCTCTTAAAAGTTTGTAAATCCAGTTTTCTTTTTTTAGGTATGTTGAAGAAAGTACGCACATCTTATCTTCTGAACATTTTGATGGAATTAACCACAAACTTCATGCAAGAACAGTAAAAGGTATTTTGTTAAATAATTTTTGCATATTGATGTAGTGCTCTTAATTTCTAGATTTGCTTCACAAAGGCCTACCTTAAATCAACTGCAAATGGATACTACTTCACAGAGTAGATTTTGTAAGAGAAGTTTCTTAATCATAAAATATATTTCTTCTTTACCAAGTCATATGATATTTCTTTCAGAAAGCGCTTGTACAGACTAAATTTCAGTATTAGTAGTTTGAAATAACATCATTTATTTTCACTGTGCACTTGTATATATTTTTATATGCAGCGTACATTGTAGTCATGTATTTAAAACATGCCCATGAGATAGATATGAAATTAATCAGGAAAGATAGGACAGCTGCATTCATTTCCTACCTTGCTCTCCTTGGAGTTCTTCAGAATAGATGTGTTTAAGAGCAAATCCAAAGCAAGCACCTTACTGTGCATACCTCCTACCATTAGGATGATATTAAATGGCATGGTGAGCCCTTAAAAAGGTAAGCACCCTCTTGAAAACACCAGAATAGCTTGAGCTCCATTCCCAGATCCAACATTATAAGCCACATACACCTAACAGACATCTGTAGAATACTCCACTTAAAGAACAGAACACACATTCAAGTGCATATGGAACACTCTTCAGGATAGATTATTAGGACATAAAATTAGCCTCAATACATGTAAAAAGGATTGAAATGATACTAAAGTATGTTCTCTGACCACTATAGAATACAATTAGGAATAAGTAACAAAAGGAAATTTGGGAAATGCACAAATATGTAGAAATTAAATGATATACTCCTAATTTGGGAAATGCACAGATATGTGGAAATTAAATAATATACTTCTAAATAATCAGAGTCAAAGAGGAAATCACAAGGGAAATTAGAAAATATCTTGAGATAAATTAACCTAAAGCACTACATACCAAAATTTATGGGCTGCAACTTTAAAAAGCAGTGTTTAGAGAGAAATTTATAGCTATAAATCCTTATTGTTTTCAAAAAAAGAAAGATCTCAAATTGATAACCCAACTTTTCACCTTAAGAACCTAGAAAAAGAAGAGCAAACTAAACCTAAACAAGCAGAAGGAAGAAAATAATAAAGATGAAAGTGCAAATGAATGAAATAAAGAATAAAAACAATAGAGAAAATCAATAAAAGCAAAAGTTGGTTCTTTGAAAGATCAGCAAAATTAATGAACCTTTGGCTAGACTAACCAGGATAAAAGAATAATCAACAAAGAAAGAGGGGATATCACTACTGACTCTACAGAAATTTAAAAAAGGTAATTATATGTCAAAATATTTGGTGACTTAGATGAAATGGATAAATTCCTAAAAAACAAAAACTACCAAAACGGAGTCAAGAAGACAGAGAAAATATGAACCTATAACAAGTTAAGTGATTGAATTATAATTTTAAAAATTTCCCCCTTCACACACACAAAACCCAGGCCCATATGTCCTCACTGTGAATTCTACCAAAAATTTAGAAAAGAATTAATACCAATCCTTTACAAACTTCTCCAAAAAATACAAGAGGAGAGAATACTTCCTGACTGATTCTGTGAGGCCAGTGTATTACCATGATAAAAATGGACAAGACAACAACAACACAAGAAAACTATAGACCAGTATCTTTGGTCTATAGTTCTGATGTAAAAATTCTTGCCAGGTGTGGTGGCTCACAGTTGTAATCCCAGCACTTTGGGAGGCTAAGGCAGGTGGGTCACCTGAGTTGAGGAGTTTGAGGCCAGCCTAGCCACCATGGTGAAACCGCGTCTCTACTAAAAATACAAAAATTAGCTGGGCGTGGTGGCGAATGCCTGTGATCCCAGCTACTCTGGAGGCTGAGGCAGGTGAATAGCTTGAACCCAGGAGACGGAGGTTGCAGTGAGCCAAAATTACACCATTGCACTCCAGCCTGGGCGACAAGAGCAAGACTATGTCTTAAACTAACAAAGAAAAATTCTCAACAAAATACTGGAAAATTAAATCTAGTGACATATGAAAAGCATAGAAACCAAGACCAAATGGGATATATGTAAGGAATGCAAGATTGGTTTGACATATGAAAAATCAGTGTTGACACCACATTAATAGAATAGAGAACAGAAGTCACATGATAATAGACACAGAAAAAGCACTTGACAAAATCTAAGTCCCTTTTATCATACAAACACTGAACAAACTAGGAATAGAAGTGAACTTCCTCACCCTGATAAAGAGAATCTACAAAAACTACACAGCTAACATCATACTTAATGGTGAAAAACTGAAAGTGTGCCCTCTAAGATCAGGAACAAGACAAGGATGAGTTATCTTACTGTTTCTATTTAACTTTGTACTGGAGGTTCTAAGCAGGACAGTTAGGTAAGAAAAAGAAAAGCATCCAGATTGGAAAGCCAGAAGAAAAACGTTCTCTATTTGTAGATGACATCTTGTATGTAAAAAAATCTTAAGGAATCCACTAAAAAATTCTTAGAACTAATTAATGAATTCAGCAAGGTTGAAAGATACAAGATCAATATAAAGATCAATTGTATTTATATACACTACCAAGGAACAATCTGGAAATTGAGAAATAAAACTGAGAAATTAAGAAAACAATGACGTTGGCAGTAGCATTAAACAGAATACGCAGGAATAAATATTTACAAATAAGCAAAAGAAGTGCAAGACTTGCACACCAAAAACTACAAAATATTGTTGTGAAAAATTAAATACCTAAATAAGTGGAAAGACATCTGTGTCTTTGAATTAGAAAACTCACATTGTTAAGATAGTAATACACCCCAAATTGTTCTAGTTTCAATGCAGTCTCTATGAAAATTTCAGCTGCCCCTTTTGTAGAAATTGACAAGCTGACCCTAAAATTAATATGGAAATACAAGGAATCCATAATAGCCAAAATAGTATTGAAAAAGAAAAGCAAAGTTTGAAAACTCCCCATTCTCAATTTCAAGACTTACTACAAAGCTATAATAAATAACAGTGTGGTAGTGGCGTAAGGATAGACATACAGATCAATGGAATAGAATTAAGGGTCTAAAAATAAACTGTTACATCTATGGTACACTGATAATCAACAAGGGTACCAAGAATTATCCAATAGTCTTTTCAGCCAGTAGTCTTGGGACAAGTGGATATCCTCACACAATATATAAAAATTAATTCAAAATGGATCAAAGACCTAAATGTAAGAGATAAAAACAATATGAAACTCTTAGAGGAAAACATAGACTGAAATCTTTATAACCTTGTGATAGGCAGTGGTTTCTTAGATTGATACCAAAAGTATAAACAACAAAAGAAAACTATGTAAGATGGACTACACTAAAATTAAAAACTTTTGTACTTCAAAGGATACCATCAAGAAAGTGAAAAGACAGCCCACAAAATGGGAGAAAATATTTGCAAATCTTATATCTGATAAAGAACCTGCATCCAACATATATAAAGAACTGTTACAACTCAACAATAAAAATAACCCAATTAAAACTGGTCAAAGAAATTGAATAGACATTTTTCCGAAGAAGATCTGCAAATTGCCAATGAGCACATGAAAAGATGTGCAACGTCGTTAGTCATTAGGGAATAGCCACAATGAAACACTGCTTCATGCCTCGTGGGATGGCTATAATTTAAATATGGACAAAAACAAGTATTAGTGAGGATTTGTTGACATTGGAAACCCTATACATTACTGGTGGGGATGTAAATGGAAAATTTGTTCGGAAAACAATCTGGAAAATCCTCAAAAGGTTAAACATAGAGTTACTCTAAGACACAGCCAGTATTTATATTGTAAACCTCTTCCCTTCCTATGTGTAACACTGTAAAGGGGTAAATGTTACAGTATGTGAAGTATATCACAAATAGCTCCTCCTAGATGGTCTGTTACTGTGCCAAATTCTTAGGGTACCATATGAACACAAAGGGGTGTGAACCCTACCCTCTAGAGCTTCTTGTCTGTTAGGAGTATGAGGCATTACAATTGTGGTAAGTACCATCAGGGAAAGATACAGGGGCCACTAAGATTATTAACAGGGATATCTGAACCTAGGTCAGGGACAGTTCTCTTAAGGAGGTGATTTTCCTTTGCGATCCAAAGGATGAATCCGAGTTATCTAGGCAAAAAGGGCATAAGATAAGAGGGATTACAGGAAATGGGGGGCCAACAGGTGTAAAGACTCTGTTGAGAGAGTCATGGGGTGTTCAGGAAATGGAAGGAAGGTCAGTGTGAATGAGACAAAGAAAGTGAGGGGGTGAGGAGTGCAGGGTGCGTCCGAGAAGAAGGTCCAGACCAGAGTGTGGACAACCTCATCAATGTGTTATGGCTTTGAAAGGTTTTCAGTCTGGGGTGACACATTCTAATTTGTCTTTTGAAAACATCACTCTGGCTGTGTCAGTTAGAAAAGGGGCAGAAGTGGAAGTGGGAGGGAACAGTGAAGAGTACTCATGGTCTAGGCAGGGACTGATAGAGCAACTTGCACCAGACAGTTGGCAGTGGAGACGAGGAAAAGGGGACATATCTGAAGGCTTTTTGCAAGATAAAATTGATACTATTTGGTGGAAGCCAAGATAGGGGAGGTAAGGGAGAGAGGTGTAAGGCATGGCTCCCAGACACTGGACTTTGGAAAGTGAATGAGTTGGAGGGCTGTTTCTAAGCCAGAGATTTTCCTTCATGATAAACTTTGTTATGAACAACTTCAAGTAACATGAATGGATTTTGTTCTGTTGATAAGTATCTCTTTCTTACCAAGGCAGTCACATATAATACAGAATTATGTGATTTGCTGATAGCAAATATTTGGGGAGAGTACAAATTTTGGAAAATTAGACAATGTTTTTTATTTGCCAGATGAATTTTGCTCTGAGAGTCTCTGTTGTTCTAGTCTGTCTCCTGTGTCTTTTTTTTTTTTTTAACTGTGGCATGAATTGTTTTCAATTTGTTGTGCTGTTACTAAAGTTCTGAGGGCTGCAGTTAAAACATTCCAATTTCTCCTTTCCATCTTTATTGATTCTCAAGATTTTGCAACAGAAAACTCTTTGGGGGCTAGAACAGCAGTAATTGCATCACACTGTTTTCAAGAATTCAAGTTTCAAAAGCAAATCATTAAAAAACAAAAATACAGTTCCTGATTTGAGTTAGATACAGGGACAAAAAAGTAGCACATACTTGAAGGTTACATGGTCTACAAATGTTGGCTATATTTTCCTTGGGAGAGTAGTTCTGTTGGTATATATTTTTTAAATACTCAAAAGGCTCAACCTCAAGCAGTAATAAACACAAGCAAAAGTCCCGTGTCTTCTTATAATGTGTTTGGCCTTGCTGATCCTCCCCCAGTGCTGTAGAGATCATCTGTCATGTGAGCGTCCTCATTTTTAGGTAAGTAATGAAAGTAGACTCTGAAATAATTTTCTGGCAAGTAACTCCCTTCCAATGAGAAATATCTGGACTGAATGTAGTTTTAGAAATTTCTTATTTCCTTGGCCAGCCAAAGTCTTAAAATGCCAAGTTCTTTGGGGATGCTTTTATTCTCCAGTTATGTAGAAGTGATGGTGTTTTCTTATAACTTCTAAAAGCTGAGAGGTGACAGTGTGCTGGCAGCCCTCACTCGCTCTCGGTGCCTCCTCGGCCTTGGCATCCATTCTGGCCGTGCTTGAGGAGTCCTTCAGCCCGCCGCTGCACCGTGGGAGCCCTTCTCTGGGCTGGCTGAGTCCGGAGCCGGCTCCCTTGGCTTGCGGGGAGGTGTGGAGGGAGAGGCACGGGCAGAACCGGGGCTGCATGCAGCGCTTGTGGGCCAGCTAGAGTTCCGGGTGGGCGTGGGCTTGGCGGGCCCCGCACTGGGAGCGGCTGGCTGGCCGGCCCTGCCAGCCCAGGCAGTGAGGGGATTAGGACCTGGGCCAGCAGCTGCGGAGGGTGCATCCGGTCCCCCAGCAGTGCGGCGCTGCGCTCGATTTCTCCCCGGTCCTTAGCTGCCTCCCCGCAGGGAAGGCCTACCTGCAGCCCGACATGCCTGAGTCTCCCCGCTCTGCCATGGGCTCCTGCACCACCTGAGCCTCCCCAAGGAGCACCACCCGCTGCTGCACGGCGCCTGGTCCCATCTACCACCCAAGGGCTGAGGAGTGCGGGCACACTGCGGGACTGGCAGGCAGCTCCACCTGCGGCCCGGTGGGAGATCCACTGGGTGAGGCCAGCTGGGCTCCTGAGTCTAGTGAGGACTTGGAAAACTTTTGTGTCTAGCTAAGGGATTGTGAGTGCACCAGTCAGCACTCTGTGTCTAGCTCAAGGTTTGTAAATGCACCAATCAGCGCTCTGTGTCTAGCTAATCTGGTGGGTACTTGGAGAATCTTTATGTCTAGCTAAGGGATTGTGAATGCACCAATCGGCACTCTATGTCTAGCTCAAAGTTTGTAAATGCACCAGTCAGTGCTCTGTGTCTAGCTAATCTGGTGGGGACTTGGAGAATCTTTATGTCTAGTTAAGGGATTGTGAATGCACCAATTGGCACTCTGTATCTAGCTCAAGGTTTGTAAATGCATGAATCAGCACTCTGTCTAGCTCAAGTTTTGTAAATACACCAATCGACACTCTGTATCTAGGTAATCTAGTGGGGACGTGGAGAATTTTTGTGTCTAGCTCAGGGATTGTAAACACACCAATCAGCACCCTGTCAAAATGGACCAATCAGCTCTCTGTGAAACAGACCAATCAGCTCTCTGTAAAATGGACCAATCAGCAGGATTTAGGTGGGGCCAGATAAGAGAATAAAAGCAGGCTGCCAGTCCCAGCCATGGCAACCCTCTCAGGTAGTCTTCCACACTGTGGAAGCTTTGTTCTTTCGCTCTATGCAATAAATCTTGCTGCTGCCCACTCTTTGGGTCCACACTGCCTTTATGAGCTGTAACACTCACTGCGAAGGTCTGCAGCTTCACTCCTAAAGCCAGCCAGATCACGAACCCACCAGGAGAAACTAACAACTCCAGACGCGCCACCTTAAGAGCTGTAACACTCACAGCGAAAGTCTGTAGCTTCACTCCTGAGCCAGCAAGATCATGAACCCACCAGAAAGAAGAAACTCTGAACACATCTGAACATCAGAAGGAACAAACTCCAGACACACCGCCTTTAAGAACTGTAACACTCACCGTGAGGGTCCGCGGCTTCATTCTTGAAGTCAGTGAGACCAAGAACCCACCAATTGCGGACACATTTTGGCGACCACGAAGGGACCATCGCCTATCGCCAAGCGGTGAGACTATCGCCGAGCGGTGAGACCATCGCCTATTGCCAAGCGACGAGACAATTGCCTATCGCCAAGCAGTGAGTACCATCAGACCCCTTTTGGTTGCTATTCTGTCCTATTTTTCCTTAGAATTCGGGGGCCAAATACCGGGCACCTGTCGGCCAGTTAAAAGTGACTAGCATGGCCCCCGGACTAAAGACAGAGGTGTCAGGCTTTCTGGGAAAGGGCTAGCTAACAACCCCCGACTCAGCGGAACATCAGAAGGAACAAACTCCGGACGTGCCGCCTTTAAGAACTGTAACACTCAGCGCGAGGGTCCGCGGCTTCATTCTTGAAGTCAGTGAGACCAAGAACCCACCAATTCCGGACACAAAGCCACATTGGCAACTTAATGCTACACTGAAATAAATTTTAATTTATACCCTAAAATCGTTTTCATATGATCCCTGAAGAGTTCCACTTGCATTTAGGATGCCAGCACACAGAACCAACTGACCGCTAAAGATCTCATGGGAAAGAGTGTGCAAATGGGTTGTGATTTCAGTTATAACTGTTATAAGAAAGGCGACTTCCTGATTATTAGTGTTTATTGCTAATGTATCAGTAATGGGCAAATACTATAAATCTGCAAATACCAAACAGCAAAGCTAGAGGCAAATTTGTATTAGGAGAATCAGGACAGTCATTTAGAGAAAATCATAGTGAACTGCCTTTTGCATTTTTCTCCTGGGGTATTTTTACTAACATTTGTTCTCCTGAACCAGCACACACAGGAAGGAATCAGGGATTACTGTTCCTAATTTTTCACTGAGAATACTGATGCTTGCATCTATTTGAATCAAGTTTCCATTTTTCTTACTGCAGTATAGGCCATTTAAAAATTAGCTTTTTATTATTGATGAGCATTAACTATCATTATTTTTCATGTGTACTTACCTTCTGTTGTGCATTTTAATTTCTGAGGATACTGAGGGCAGAACCCAGTACGTGTCTTCAAACCTCAGCTCCACATTTTACTAGCTGGGTGAGCGTAAATAAGTTACTTAATCTCTCTCTGCCTGAATTTCCTTGTATGTAAAATGGGGATCATAAAATATCCATCCCAAGGCTGTGATGAGAATTAAAGAAATTAGCGTATACTTAATGCTTAGAACACTGTTTGGAGCCATAGTAATCTCAAAATAAATGTTAGTTGCTGCTGCTGTTGTACCAATAAAATAGCTCTCTAACTCCCACCTGCTAATTAAGAGGTTAATTCAGTTATGGTTATTGGTGGTGGTGGTTTTCTTTGTTATTTGGGCTATTTTGGTGGAGTGAGGTCAAGTTTACATAGCTAGTAAGTGGTATAAACCAGGTTTACTAAGTCACTGGTTTAGAGTAGGGATTAGCAAACCAAATTGGGCCTGGTTTTGTGTGGCCTGCAAGCTAAGAATGATTTTTATATTTCTAAATTGTTGAAAA
Organism: Homo sapiens; assembly: GCF_000001405.40. Classification (NCBI taxonomy): domain Eukaryota; kingdom Metazoa; phylum Chordata; class Mammalia; order Primates; family Hominidae; genus Homo; species Homo sapiens. The sequence continues at coordinate 30,900,229 of NC_000010.11, read as the reverse complement.
AAAACAAAGGATGATATTTTGTGATCAATGAAAATGATATAAAATTTAGTTTCAGTATCCATACATAGTTTTTATTGGAACTTTGTAAATAATCTTATATATTGCTTGTAGCTGTTTTCTTACTACACTAGTAGAATAGAGTAGTTATGACACAGATGGTAGGGTCCACAAAACTGAAAATATTTACCATGTAACCCTTTACAGAAAAAGTTTTCCAGCACCTGCTTTGTGGAGTTATCAGTTATGTCGATTAGAGTGAATGCCTACTTTTTATACTGCCCTACTTTGACAAAAGATTGTTGCATAAGAAAGTATATAATTTTAATTAGCTATCCTTGTGGCCAGAAAACTTTGGTTTGTTTTGTTTTGTTTTCAAAAGGATAATTTTCTACGTTGGTTAAAATTTTCTTGAAACTCACATACAAGTTCAGGAGTAGAGTTAATTAAACTCTAGTAGATTGTGTAAGTATATACATGCCAAAAACTATACATATTCACTAGAGTATTAAGATTTGGATTAGTCTAAGAGTTGTCAAAACAAAAGTCTGACTCTGTGTGCCCTGTGTGTGGGGGGGTGGGGAGGAGGTTCAGTACGTTTGCTATTCTGTATTTCTTTTTTAAAAGATTATTGAAATATAATGAATTCTGAAACAGCCTGTTAATAAGGTGAATTTTTCAATGATAATGTACCTTAAGAGTATAGTATTATAATCCCATTTTGGAAGTTACTTGTGGTTATTTCTTTAAAGCCTTTGTTTTTGTGACTGAAAGCCTGATACTTATAAGGTGGCCAAACTCTGGAGGCTTTTAGCAGTTGTACTTGGAGAGCATGTGCTTTAATTTTGTCACACGAATCATTTAGGCAAATAACCTTTTCTTCTGTCTATGTGCTGTTTCTAAGTATGATGTGGATCTTTCTTATTTGGTTAGTTATATAATCTTTATTTAGCATCTTCTTTCCCCTTGAATATCTACAAAATCTTGTAACTCCTTTTTTTTAAAGTTTATACCATTCAAAGTTAACTCATCAAATATTTTTGAAAGACTTTGTCCAAGGTCCTGAAGCTAAGAATGTGACAGACTTGCACCCTGCCCCTGTAGAGTTTTGAGTCTGGTGAGGAAGATAGATGTGAAGTTAATGTAAGTTTGGTCAGTGTTGGGAAAGGAGAATTAAATTGTGCAAAGAAAAGATAGAATAACGGGACCTTAACTAATCTGAAGAAGGTGGAGAATATTCTTTGGATTTTTAAAAAAATTTGTGATGATTTTGAAGATCCATCCTTAACTAAAGATCTGTTACTAAGTTGAAATTATTTTGAGTTTAGAAAAAGTATTGAGTGAGAATTATAGGAAATTACGTATGGTGTCCCTCTTATTGATACAGGTGCAATCTACTAAATTGCTATACTGGATGATGGATGATTGATGGATGGACTTTACACATTTGATTTTGCCAGGAAATTATATATTGAGTGTAATGGTCACCATGAAATTGGAATGCGGAAAATACCAAAAGTGAAAAAAAGACTACTTGAAAATCAAAATATCTGTTCTTAAACAGAAATATATTTTTAAAGTGGAATCTAACTAAGCGTTCCCCCCCTTTTAGAACGGTTATTATTTTTAGTATAAAAATAGATGGTTATGTAGTTATGTATGTATTATATAAATATATACAATATAGTTATATATGTGTGTGTATATGCACACACATACATGTATTATACCCAATTAAAGGTGGAAGTGCCACCAAGTCAAGCCCCAAAAGTAACCACTGTTGATAATTTGATGTTTCTCTGTGAGAATACAACTTTTTTTCCTTTAAGGGCAAAGGAGATCAGAATATACCTACTGTTCCACAGCTTGCTTCACTTAAGATGATGTTATGGACATCTTTCCCTGGCAGTGTTGATTGAGAACCACCTCTCTCCCTAGATCTACTTTATTCTTGTTGTTCTCATTGTTGATACTGCTGTTTTAAGTTGTATTCTGTAAGGTAGAACATTCAAAAGGTTACAAAAAAGTATACATAGAAAGTCATTTTTCTTTCCAATTCTTCCTTTTCCAGAGGCTACCACCCTTAGCAATTTCTTACCTCTTGAAATCATCCAGTTACTATTATATGCCTTTACTTAGACTAAAGTTAACCCCCCAAACTAATCATTCATGAGGAAACCAAATGCTTAGTGAATTTACAGCAGCAACCAATTGATTTTGTAATATTATATTTAATATAGTATTTAATTGTATTTAAGATTGTATACCAAAATGGTAACAGATTTCCCATTTGTTGTATTTCAGTTTCAAGTTTAATGCTGTGTGATTGTTGTTAGAGGATGCAGTCTGGAGGTGAACAATCTCTGTCAGCGGTTTAGATCTTTCAAGTAACTGTTTCAGGAGCAACCCCACAAGGCCCTGTGTGCCCCAGAGCACTGCCCCCACATGTCCTCACCACTGTCTGCTTGTCTCACTGTCAGTGTTGTGAGTACAGACCCAGGTCTTGAAGATCCCAGGAGGAAATGACCTTGCTGCTTTAATCTGAAAGTTAATTTAGGGGTTTACAGCTCATCTCTGTGATGTCATATTTTCATCTGATGATTGTAATCTGGAACCACTGGGTTAACCTGCTGTTTTCAGGCCAGCTTTGTTAATGCCAGAGCCTGGGGAGTGGAGGTGGCTGGGTGGTGATAGATTTAAGGGAGGTCAGGAATCTCCTCTGCTGGGACCAATCTGGAGCTGAGAAGATGTTATTTGTTGAAGCACTTGCTCTATAGCACTGGATCTTTTGTCAGCTGCTAATACTAAGATGGCCTTCTGAACAAGATTACCTGAAACTCCCTGCCTTTCTAATAAACTCACCAGAGAACATGGGGTGATAGTATTGGGGGGAATATAGAAAGAAGTTAACCAGATCCAATCTTCAGAGTGGCTGTGTTGATATCCTATGGCCTGAAGAGCCCTAGGCTAGTACTTCCCTTTTTATAGGCAGTATTTACTTTTGTATAAAATATGTTCCTCAAAAAACTACCCAGATATACAGTGTGTAAAAGTAAAACAAACAAAAAGACATATGCTAAGAAGATATTCCTTTACCAGAGTACTAGTAAAACATTATACAATTCAAAAAGAATATGTCATTCTTTCTGACATAGATGTATGTCTAGTATGAATATTGTATACTTTGTAAATATTCTTTAGTTTTATCATTTTTCTTTACAGTTGAGCACATGCCTGGCTTAAGTCAAGTATGCTTCCAGTAAAAGTTAAAAGACTTGCCACATAAAACACCCTGAGTGATTGCCATTTTTGCCTAAACTTAATATTGTTTACAAGGCCTATGCTTCATGTCAGTACTATGATCACATTTACTTTTTTTATTGTGGTAAAAAACACATAACTTAAAATTTACCTTCTTAACCCTTTTTAAGTGTACATTTCAGTAGTGTTAATTACATTCACATTGTCGTGCAGCCAAACTCTAGAATTTTTCATCTTGTAAAACTGGAACCGTATACCCATCAAACAACTCCCAATTTCTCCCTGGTTTCTTCTCTTCCGGCCTCCCCTCCTCCCCACAACCCCATATCCCCCAGAAACCACTATTCTGCTGTCTATCTTTGAATTTAATTACTCTAGATACCTGATATATATGGAATCATACAATGTTTGCCCTTTTCTGACGGGCTTATTTCATTTAACATAGTCTCCTCAAGGTTCATTCATATTATAGCATGTGTCAGAATTTCCTTTCTTTTTAAAGTTGAATAATCCATTGTATGTATATATCACATTTTGTTGATCCATCTATCTGTCAATGGGCAGTTGAGTTGTTTCACTTCTTGGCTACTATGAAAAATGCTGCTATGAACATGGATGTGCATATATCTCTTTGAGATCTTGCTTTCAGTTTTTTGTTTTTTTTTTTTTTTTTTTTGAGATGGAGTCTCACTCAGTTGCCCAGGCTGGAGTGCCGTGGCGCGGTCTCGGCTCACTGCAAGCTCTGCCTCCCAGGTTCATGCCGTTCTCCTGCCTCAGCCTCCCAAGTATCTGGGACTACAGGTGCCCGTCACTATGCCCAGCTAATTTTTTTGTATTTTTAGTAGAGATGGGGTTTCACCGTGTTAGCCAGGATGGTCTTGATCTGACATGATCTGCCCCTCTCGGCCTCCCAAAGTACTGGGATTACAGGCGTGAGGCACCGTGCCTGGCCTCAGTTCTTTTTGACATTCACACAGATGTGGAATTGCTAGACCATATGGTAATTCTATTTTTAATTTTTTGAGGTACTGCTATACAGTATTCCATAGTTGCTGCACCATTTTACATTTCCAATGGTAAATAAGAGTTTCAATTCCTCCATATCCTCACCAACATTTGTTATTTTCTCAGTTTTGTTTTTTAAATAGTAGCCATCCTAATGAGTGTGAGGTGTTATTTCATTGTGGTTTTGATTTGCATTTTTCTAATTAGTGATCATCTTTTAATATGCTTGTTGGCCATTTGTACATCATCTTTAGAGAAATGTCTATACAAATGCTTCGCTCTGTTTAAGTTGGGTTATTTGGGTTTTGTTGAGTCATAGGAGTTCTTTATATATTCTGGATATTAATCCCTTATCAGATAATTATTTGCAAATATTTTCTTTCATTCTATAAGTTGCCTTTTCACTCTGTTGATTGTATCTGTTGATACATGGAAGTTTTAAATTTTGGTATAGTCCAGTTTATCTATTTTTACCTTTGCTGCCTATGTTTTTGGTGTCATCTCAGTCACATTTACTTTCCATCTTTTCATCTCCAAACACCCAAACTAATTTTTCTAAAGAACAAAATGTAATGAAATATTTAAATAATTATAAAATAACTACTGCAAGACAAAGATGACTACTCCTGAAAGTGAACTCTTGGCTAGCACCATCATGCCCTAACTCGAAGTGTTGCTTCATCCACTAATGTGAAAATGTACACATTTGGAGTACAAAATGCAGTTGGAGGAGTGGATCTAGAAATAGATTGTGGGGACATGGGCAAATATAGGAAAACAAAGGAAGAGGAAAGCACACCTAGTTGTATCCTTTTAATTAGGATCCTTGAGTATCCACAAGTAAACTATTTAACAAATCCTTGCAAGAAAAAAATGGTCCTCTAGGGCCTTCTGCGTTCTGATTTTTCTCATCTTTCCTATGTGTTAATGCCTCATAGTCTGCTAACACCTCTAAACAGAGACGAGTTAGAAATTTTTGTTGTAAGGTTAACTTTCAAATTTAGAGAAATAAAGATGCTCTTCAAATATTTAACTTTATCCCAACCTAAATTTTAATAAACTATTGAAGTTGACTAGCAACATGGCCATTTATACCAATTAGTAGTTATAGACTATCAAGACTGTCAGCCGTGCACACAAAAGTACTATAAGCATCTTTTCTAACTGCAAGAGTGTATGAACCAGTGCTTGAATGGTTTTCTGAGATATTTAAAGAAACTGGAATTTAAGTGATTTTTTTTCTTCAAATGCTCTTTCTCCTTGTATAATAATGTTGCCATTGTTCCTTTTTTCTTCCTACTTTTTCTTTCTTTTGTGATTGCTACTTACTCATCTTTCTCTTGATCGTTAGTTCTACACAGATGTTGATAGTTCTCCTTGCCTAATTTTTCTTCCCCACCCACCCAGACTCATTATTCACTGTCCTCAGCCCTGATCGCTGTCCTCCAGCATTTACAAGGATTAAAATGAGCCTGCCAGAGTCTGTGTGGCTATGATTCTCGTTTCAGGGCACTAGAGGACACACACATTAATACTTCCCAGGTGCTGGGTCAGCGGCTTCCTCTCCCACCTGGTGCTCAGGCCAGGTGTTGGTAAGACGGTAGGAACCTGAACTGGCAGGAAATTATTAAGCCTAGATGTTGCCTCTGGACTGTCTAGTCCTCCAAACACCCGAAGCAGTTTGATTCTTAAAAACTTACTCAGAAAAAGAAGCTACTGAGATATTTTCCCTTTTTATTTTCTTTTGGGTTTAAATAAATAGTAATGGTTATTCTACCCATGTGAAGTTTTTACTTCTTAAATAAACCCCTGTAACAAGTAGAGCATCTTCTGCAAAGAGAGTCCATGGATGCTTATTAATACATTAAATGTTCCAGTTAAGCTCTAGGTTAATGAAAATTCAAGTTTTTGAGTGGTTACTTTGTTCTAGTCCTCTGATGTACCATTTTGCTGTGTGCAACAGTACAGTATTATTTGAGTGGTTTTATTCATTAACAAAATGTACCAAAATAAATTTAGCTAGGGTCACAGTGTTTAATTTAATAGTATTACAATAATAACTACCATAATTAGTTTCAGATTTGCCTTCCTTCCCAGAGGATAAGACTTTTTTAGTTTTGAATGCGTTCTGAAGGTATGATAATGACAGCAAAATTAATGTCATGACCTTTATAGCCTGTTTATAGTTTTTCCATGTTGTACCCTAAAGGATTTAGGGAGCAGTGTACATCTAAAATAAACCACTTAGTATGGACAAGTTAAAAATTGGGTTAATTGGGTTCACATATCCTCAGCTGGTAGCACCTCAGTCAAGACACCATTTCATCTTACATAAAGGAGCATGATTTTTACACTATAAAATCATCTTAAAACTGTACCTGTAATGTTTTAAAAAGAAAAACATTTTAAAAGGCTACTTTTTCAAATATGTAACAATGTTTTCTCTAATTATGTTATGTGGTTTGACTTTTTCAATTAGGAAATCAAGTTGTTTTCATAGCAAGAAAATGTTGATACAAACTAATGTGTCATGCTGCATGAACACTAATGCTCACTTCCTTTTGGTGATGTTGGGCAGCAGCACTGTCTCTTGCAACGGACTCCTTTTCCCATTTGTAGTTTGTTGGTGGGACTTCCCATAAACAATCACCCTTCTAAGTCCTGGAGATGGGAAACTTGGTTTTCATTGTTTATATATTTCAGTAAAATACAGTGTTTGCATATTCAGCTAAAGTTGAGACAATTACATAGGCATGTTAGAATCCTTAAACGTTTTGAGTATTTGATTGAAAAATTCCTATGGCAATTTTTGCAAGTGATGGTTTTGAGGCACTTTCATGCGTTGTTAGATAAATCAGTGCAACTTCTTTGAAGGACAGTTTGGCAAAATCTAGAAAAATATTAAGTCAACCCAGAAATTTCTTACTGTGACTTCCTGCAGATAGACTTCCCACGTGTTAGCAAAGATGTACATGCAAGGGTGCACACTGTATGTAGCTTTGTAAGAGCAGAAGGCTAAGAACAATCTAATTGTCAACCAGTGGGTTAAAAAATAATGGTTCCACACAATCAAATACTATGCAGTCTTTAAAAAGAATGAAGATGCTTTATAAGTGCTGAGATAGCAAACTCTCAAAAATATATTAAGTGAAAAAAGAACAGCATGTATAATCTGCTTCAGTATGGAAATACGGACAGGGGACAGAGCTTATTTCTATGTGTTAGTTTCTGTAAACATAAAACCATTTCTGAAAGGGTGCCCAGAAAGGTGCAAAGAGCTGTTGAGCCGTTGCCTCTGAGGAGGGGAATTGGGGGAATAGAATGAGAAGGAGACTTATTTTTCAATTTATTCTCTTTTTTTTAGTGCTTGAACTTTTTTTTTTTGGACTGGTATTCATATTTTTAATCAATATACAAACAGAATGTTAAAAAAAAGTTTTTGAAGACTGTAGCAATGTAAGTAAATTCTTAATATATAAATGCAATGGTCTTCCCTTATTTGTGATTTCTCTTCTCATTTCAGTTACCTGAGATACAGTACAATAAGATAGAGTTTTGATAGAGACCACATTCACATAACCTTTGTATGTTGTTACATATGTGTTCACATTCACACATTATATGTTGTTACAATTGTTGTATTTTCTTATTAGTTATTGTTAATTTCTTCCTGTGCCTAATTTATAAATTAAACTTCATCATAGGTATGTATGTATAGGAAAAAATACAGTATATATAGGGTTTCGTACTATCCACAGTTTTAGACATCCACTGGGGATCTTGGAATGTATCCCCAGCAAAAATGGTGGAAATGTGATCATTTCAAAAGCAGTGAATTAAATCCAAACTGATCAAAGCCCTGCCAGCCAGATTGATTGAGGAAAACAAAATAAAGAACAATTTCACAATACATGTCTATATTATGGAAGTGTAAATGACAGCCTCTTTATTTTATGGTTTTTATTTTGCTGCTAAGTATCAGTTATTAGCAAATAATGCAATTCTTTTTTGAAAAGCGTTCATCTTTGTTGTGTTGGTAACTTCACTGGCCTGAATGCCTTCTGAACATTCTGTTAGCATTGGAAATCCAGGCTAGAAATTCCAAGGATGTTCTGCTTGATGTAGAAAGACTCAAATCTTTTTCTTATATCTGTATCCTAGACATTTGAACAAATAAGAAAACGGAGGATAGGCCTGTTTGTTAAAATTTGCCACAAACGTGAGTCTTTCTAGACTTAACTAAAATGCACTATGGCAGCATAGTCACTGTATTGCATTTATAGATAATATTGGAAATCAGTGTTTCCTAGGACTTGTTGTCTTTAGTTAGTGAAACTTAATATTGATACATCTGAAAGGCCCCCAAACCTGATGTTAGATAAATTCAAGAGACTAGGACAATTTTTACTTTTACATAAAATAAATTTGTTAAATTATTTTAAGAGTGCTGCAGTCCTTCTAAAAACAGAACCAAGCAATCTATACAAATCAAATAAACTTAATTATCTGTCACTTTTAGTTACGGAAAAGTTTATTAATGGCAGAATTAATAAGACATTGCTTCAAATTTTAAAAATCACAGATGGAACACATTTTTAACACTGGGAGGTAAAGTTAAGGAATTTTTCCAGAAAGAGCAAAAATTAATAAATAGAAAGCAAAACATAATAAAGAGGAGAAAAGCATAACCAGCCAGGGAAGCCCAACATTTCAATAATAGGAATTCAAGGGGGAAAAAAAGAGAGCAGAGCAAAGTAAATGAGGAAATCTTAGAAAAATAATTGAAGAAAATATCCCAGGAATTGAAATGCACAAATTTTCTGATTAAGAGGCCCCACCAAACACTTGGAAAGTGGAAGAAAATAGACTGAGACACTTCACTGTGAAGTTTATAAACATTGTTTCCACAATAAAAGCAAATTATATACAAAGAACTACTCACAGTGGCTTTGGATTTCTTCACACCGACATTGGAAACCAGAATACAGTGGAATATTGCCTTTAATTTTCAACCTGGAATTGCGTACCCACAAAAATTATCCGACATTTTTATTGATGAGAGAGAAAGTAAATCTTCATCCTCCATTGTGGGACATCAGTTGATAATGCCTAAAATTGAACAATCAAGAAGTGAAATTATAAGCATGTTATTAACGATAATGGAGGTCTAAATGCTGGAAGAATCAACTCTAAGAATTGAGAGTGCATGTCTCTGAGGAAGAGGACATGATTGCATTTTCAAAATAATAAGCTGTGTAGAAATGTTTACTTGACTTGAATTTTTTTAGATTGCAAAGTAAAAATGGAAAGATTATTCTAGTTGCATCAGAGAGAATAGATTGGACTGGAGGCAGGAAGACAATTTAGGAGCTATTGTAATACAGGCAACAAGCAGTGAGGACCTGACCTAAGGCAGTAAAGGTGCCCATAGAGCAAAGACAATGGCTTTAGAAAATAGAGAAGGAGCACATTTGGAGGCAGGAGCTGCCTTGAGTTTGGAGGTAGCCATTTAGAGATATGTAGGAAGGAGAGAACATTTCACCCTGGAACCTGGGAATTAAAAATATAAATTTGCAATTGTAGTTAGAACCAGATGAGTTGGAAGAAAATGAATAGAAAACCTATGAAGGAAAAATAAGGATCTAGGCTAGAACATATTTTCCTAATAGATTTTTATTGAGGCAGAAAAATGCCCTCTTAAACATTCTTAATCTACCAAGTTCAGTCATATGTGCAACACATGTTAAGGAACACAGGTGCCTGTATGTGCATGCATTTTATAACAGTCAATGATTAGATCATACAATTGGAAATAATGTTTTTTGGACTTCTAAGTATATTCTAGTACATTTCTTTTTTTTTCTTTTTTTTTTTTTTTTTTTTGGAAATGCCAAAGATAATAAAACCTTTCTTTGTAAAGAATTCTGGAGAACTTTATTAACATGTAATGTAATATGCTGTTTTTTGAGTAATTTTTTTACAAAGTATTTTCAGCATGTAGTATCCAGTTTAATCCTTTCTCCAGCAAAAAGAGTTAAGTATTTTATCTCTAACCTTCTATGAGCAGAAACTGAAATGGAAAAAAAGATTAAATGATTTGTCCAAGATCATACAGTAAGAAGTTTCAGTTAGAAATGTACATCTCCCCACTCAGTTCCCCAGGTTTTTAACTCATTGCATACCTGAGATTGGGCAGGAACATGATCCTGAAAATTAAGGGTGAGTCTAGTTCAATGACTGACATTCAGAAATATGTGTTGATGCCGGACACGGTGGCTCACACCTATAATCCTAGCACTTCGGGAGGCCGAGGTGGGCAGATCACTTCAGGTCAGGAGTTCAAGACCAGCCTGGCCAACATGGTGAAACCCCATCTCTACTAAAAACACAAACAGGAGCCGCATGTGGTGGCACACGCCTGTAATCCCAGCTACTGGGGAGGCTGAGACAGGAGAATCACTTGAATTCGGGAGGTGGAGGTTGCAGTGAGCCAAGATGGTGCCACTCCATCCAGGGTGACAGAGTGAGACTCAGGAGACGAGAGAAGAGAGGAGGGAAGAGGGGAGGGGAGTATTTTTTAATCAAACCCGTTAGCAGCATGCAGCCATTTAGGGAAGGAAGGTGATTGCCAAACATTGATACATTGTATTAATGCAAGTATCAATATAAGCATTAAGAATTTACTATGTGGATTAAAATTTATTCTGTAGATTAAGTTTTAGCTCCTCTAAAGCTTTAGTAACATTTTGAGAATTTTGTTTTTATTTGTTTCTGAAATGGGACAGATTGAGATAAGAATAAGCATTACAGTTGAGCCAATGAAGAATACTGTTATTACAATTGAGCAAATGATGAGTACTATTATTAGTCAGGATTTATGTACTATTAGCTTCTATTAGATATTATTGTATATATATGTGTGTGCATGTTAGATGCTGACAAGGTTGAAGAGAAAAGGAAATGGCTTATACACTGTTGGTGGGAGTATAAATTAGTTTGGTCACTGTGGAAAGCAGTGTGGTGATTCCTCAAAGACCTAAAAATAGAACTACAATTGGATCCAGCAATCCCATCACTGGGTATAAACCCAAAGGAATATAAATAATTTTACTGCAAAGACATATGCAGACATATGTTCATTGCAGCACTATTCACAATAGCAAAGACATAGAATCAACCTAAAATGCCCATCAGTGGTACTGGATGAAGAAATTGTGGTACATATACACCATGGAATACGATGCAGCCATAAAAAAGAATGAGATCATGCCCTTTATAGGAACATGGATGGAGCTGGAGGCCATCATCCTTAGCAAACTAATGCAGGAACAGCAAACCAAATACTGCATGTTCTCACTTATAAGTGGGAGCTAAATGATGAGAACACGTGGACACAAGGGAACAACAGACCCTGGAGCCTACTTGAGGGTAGAGGGTGGAGGGTGGGAGGAGGGAGAGGAGCAGAAAAAATAACTATTGGGTATTAGGTTTAGTACCTGGGTAACAAAATAATCTGTACAGCAGACTCCCATGACATGAGTTTACCTATATATCAAACTCGCACATGTACTCCTGAACCTAAAATAAAAGCTAAATGTGTGTGTTTGTGTGTGTGTGTGTGTTTATAATATTATATAACTAAAGTGGGCCTGAAGGTATTTGGGTTCTCTTGCTCTTGAGAAACATAAATTCCATCATTGCTTAGAAGAGGTAGTTTTTTTAAATAAATGAAATATAGTACAACCACTATGGAGAACAAGCAATTGCTTCTAAAGTTAAGTGGTCCGTGCTTAATAGACCACTTAATAATTCCACTCCCAGGTTTTTACCCAAGAGATATTAAAACATTTATCTATACAGAAACTTGGACACACACATTTATATTTATATTAATTCATGATAACCAAAAACTGGCAGCAACTCAAATGCATATCAGTTAATGGATTAAAAATTGTGTTATATTCATATAATGGAATATGATTCAGCAACAGAAAGGAATGGTCTACTGATACACATAATAAGTGAATAGTTACTGTCTGATGTATATGAAATGACAGGAAATTCTAGGACAAGCAAAACTAATTTATAGTGACAGAAAACATCAGTGATTGCCTGGGGCCATAGGTGAGGGTGGAAATTTATTACAGAAGAGCACAAGGGGACTTTTGAGATGATATTATATATTTTCAATAGGGTGATTGTTTTAAAATGTACTTGGGTTTGTTTTAGTCAGGTATGGTAAAGTGACAGGAGACAACTGCCTTTGAAAGAGGAGTTTAGGCCGGGCGCGGTGGCTCACGCCTGTAATCCCAGCACTTTGGGAGGCCGAGATGGGCAGATCAGGAGGTCAGGAGTTCGAGACCAGCCTGGCCAACATGGTGAAACCCCGTCTCTACTAAAAATACAAAAAATTAGCTGGACGTGATGGCTGGCATCTGTAATCCCAGCTACTCAGGAGCCTGAGGCAGGAGAATCGCTTGAACCCGGGAGCCGGAGGAGGAATCTGGGCTGGAGTACAGTGAGCCGAGACCTCACCACTGCACTCCAGCCTGGGCAACAGTGTGAGACTCCGTCTCAAAAAAAAAGAGTTTATTACTTACAGTCCCTTAGAGGAGGGGGCGCAGCATACCATTCAAAGCCACAGGGAGAAGCACCTGGGTCAGTCAGGAGGCAGAAGGAGCCAGGGGAAAGCATGGCCCAGAGCCTTTGTTGTAGTTTCCCCAGGAAAGACAAGGTAGGATATGAAAAGCTGTTTAACATTGGCTAGCTTGAATAATTTCAGTGGTCCCTGGCCTATAAGGTAGTCCATCTCACTCCAGTGATTTAGGCTGGAGAAATATTGGCTTGGTGTGTTAGTTAGATAAAGGATGTGATTGAGGATATGGGCTTTGGATTGGTTGGTTTGCGTATGAAAGACACGCTCACAGGGGAGTCATTTGCAATATATAGGAATTAGCTAGCCCTGGAAGGGGCAGTATCTTCCCCTCTCTAGCAAGTCCTCTAAGATGTCAAATCATCATAAAATTTAACAAAAAGCCATGATTAATACAGTGATCACTGTAAAGGTATATACATTTGTCAAAGCTCATCTTAAAGTGGGGTGCATTTTGTTGAATGTAAATTATCCTTCAATAACGTTACTTTAAAAGTAAAAAAACAAAAAAAGTTAATGAAATGGACCAACAGTCCCTGATGTACCTTAGTTCAACTCAAGATTTTTCAACTTTACAATGGTGCGAAAGCCATGTGCATTCAGTAGAAACTGTACTTTGACTAGCCATACAGCCATTCTGTTTATCACTTTTAGCACAGTATTCAATAAATTACATGAGATATTCAACACTTTATTATAAAACAGGCTTTGTGTTAGATGATTTTGCCTAACTATAGGCTAATTTAAGTATTCTGAGCATGTTTAAGGTAGGCTAAGTTACGACGTTTGGTAGGTTAGGTGTATTCAACACATTTTTGAATTATGCTATTTTCAAGACTTAGGATGGGTTTATCAGTATATAGCCCCATCATAAGTTGAAGGGGCATCTGTAAATGGGTACATGAAATTACTTAAAACAAGCCAGGAAAATTCATCCTCAAGTGCATTAAAAATTTTCAAACAACACCTAAGTATATAAAGGCAAAGAGCAGCATTGAATACTTAAGAATTACAAGTTCATCCAGGCAGTTCCTATTTTTCTTCCATATGTCATAACCATTTTCATGTTATGGCAAAAGAAAAAGGTGGCATTTTCAGTTATATGGTGTCTGAGTTTATACAACATTTTGGAGTTCTTTCCTGCCATATTCCTAAGGAATACTAATATGTATTTATTTTGATAGTTAACAATAAAAGGCTTCACTCAGCTTCTTCAGGTTTTTCAGTGATGAAGTTATATAGCATCCAGTCCATAGTTGAGTATCAGTAATCATGAGAAAGCTCTTTCTTATATCCAGTTGAAATTTGCCTCCTTGTAACTTTGTCTTCCTTACTGGTCCTAGTCCTGTCCACTGGAGTTACGTAGGATTCCTCTAATCCTGCTTCTAAAATAACAGTTCTTCAGATATTTGAAGATGGCTAGCATCTCCCCTTGAATTTTTTTATTTCCCAGGTTCGTTCCTTTCCCAGCTTTTTATAAAACTCACTTTTCCCTATTACTTTGTCCTTGCCATTCTTTGTTTTACTGACTTTCCTTTATTTTTAATAGTTGCACAGAGACATTCTACATTGATTTCCATCAGAACACCCTTGTCTATAGGTACATGTATGCATGGGAAAGGGATGAGGGGCAGAGGGAGAGGGAGAAGCTGCACTCAGGAGAGCATGAGGAGTGTATATATGGAAATGACACACACCTTGGGAATGAATTCTGGCCCATCTGAGTGACCTTGAGCAAGATGCTTAATTTTCTTTGAGCACCTCAGTTTCTTAACTTGATGATAACAGTGCAGATCCTCATATGTGGATGAGGTATTTGTGAATTACCTAGTGGTAGGTCTAGCACATAGTAGCATTTGTTGCAAAAGAGCTACAGTGTAGAATACAATCTAGGTGAAGCTGTCATCCATGGCTTCACTGACTGGTTCTAGGCTGAAAATAAGATCTTGTGTGATTATCAACCTGTTACATTTTAAAATCAAGAGGCACAGCCTAACAGTAGAATCAAAACTGGAAGACGGCCTGTCAAAAGAGCAGCTGCCCAATCAAAGTAGGTTAGTAACATTATCTTAATGTATAAAGAAAAGCCTGTTATGAATTACCTAAAGCTCTGAGACATTAAAAGACTCATTACCTTTTTTATATTTGCATGTTTTAAGTTATCCTGGCCAAATTTATTATATTATGGCATTTATCTGAATGACAGTATGTCAGTGTGATGATATATGACATGTTTATTCCCTAGGAAATAGTTTCCTAGAAATAATAATCTAGATTGACATCTACATCGCAACTCTGTGACTGGTGGCCACATACACATACAAGAGCATGCACTTATACATGTACTCACAACATGGGTTAAAGTTAATCAGCATGTTGAGCATGGAGCAAATTATTTTCTGTTATTCTCTTATGTTTCTTTATCTACATTTATTTTTAGGAACCTTAACAAAGCAGCATAACAAAGACAAAGCAGTGTCTGCCTTAGATTTCTTCAACAAGGAATAAATGGAAAAATTTTCATTTACATCAGGCTGTCACTTTGTCAAGTAACCAATTCACCTAATTTTCATTTTTAATCAACTCTCTTTAAATATGGCTTATTAACTAAAATAAAAAGTAATCATGTAACTGGTTTATAAAGCACATTGTATTAGATCTTGCTATCATTGATTGTATTTGCTGTTTGCATTCTTTAATTTTATTCCTTTCTGATAGATTTTTCTATTTAATATACTTTTCAGCAATTTAAGAAAAGTCAGGTTATAATTTTCAGAGGTTTTTCCTTATAAACTATGAAGGATGCAGTGGCTGTTAGTGCTATACTATGATTCCTTGAGTAAAAATGCACACTTACTCAAGGAATCGTATAAGGTTTATTAAATACTGTTAGATTTTATGTAACTATTTAATGCATATTTTCCTCTAGCATATTTATATTATTATCCAGTCAAATCAGAGGATCAAATCAGAGGATGCAATATTGTAACTATCCAAAAATTTTTTAATAAGTGTTAGGTATATTTATTATATAACTTATTCATGTTTAATAATTATAATAGAATTAAATGCAGCAATGCTTTGTGTCACAGCAAAAAACAATACAGCTTCATTTGAGTGGGTGTCCTACATGAAATACCAAGATATTAGGAATACAGTTAAAATTATTTTGATGGCACTCCTCTTCTAACATAGTATTTCAAAACAATGAAAATAAAAACATTTTTTTCTGATTGCAAAAGCAGTATTTATTCATTGGGGAAACTTTGTAATATCACTTTATAAGCATAAAAAGGAAGATTATGTAGCACTTTAATGCCCCGCTGAGAGATGCATACTTTTAATATTGGGTAATTTTTCTCATGAGTTATGAAAAAAATAACTGAACCATACTGATCTGTAACTAACACTTTTTTTTGGAGTGAAAACAGAGTCTCAGTCTGTCACTTAGTCTGGAGTGCGTGCAGTGGCACAGTCAGGGCTCACTGCAACCTCAACCTCCTGTCGTCAAGGGATCCTCCCACCTCAGCTTCCAGAGTATCTGGACTATGGATACGCACCTGGCCAATTTTTGTATTTTTTGTAGAGATGGGTTTTTTGTATTTTTTGTAGAGATGGGTTTCACTGTGTTGCTCAGGCTGGTCTCAAACTCTGGGCTTAGGCGATGCTTCCACCTCTGCCCCCAAAAGTGTTGGGATTACAGGCGTGAGCCACAGCATATGGCAATAACCAGCCCCTTTATACAAAAACATGTCATAAGCAATTTTTATATTTCTTAATATTTTAAGAAACATTTTTAAAAATGGCTTTATTATAAAAATATACCCTAATTCTAAGTTTTACATTTTTTGTGTATTTTAAATAGCACCCTTAACATTTCTTTAAAGGTAATGAGGATGATGATAATGATGATGGCTTTACACATTACAATGATGATTTTTTGAGCAAAATTCCTGCATGTGGAAGGAAGGAAGGTCTGGGCCAAAAGGAATGCAGAATTATAAAGCTCAGGATGCACATTGCCAGAGAGTTTGTACCAACTATAATACAGGAAGTAAATGAGCATACCCCTTTCCTCAGACTTCCCCCAAAGTTTGTATTATCATTTTTCTGCCAATTTAGAGGCAAAAAAGTAGTATTATTTTAGAAATTTGCAATTCTTTGATTTTTAGTAAGTCTTAACATTCTTTCTGATGATTACTTGTTAAATGTTGTCTTCTATAAATTTTTTAAGTCCTTACTCATTTTTATAGTAGAGCATTATCTCATTGTTATTTCTTTTATATTAGACAAGAATACAAGAACCATGTCCAGTATATCTTTTCCAGAGTGCATAGTAATACTGCAAACAACATCTGTTAAATGAATAAATGTATGTCTGTATGTCTATTAGAATTTTTAAATTTTTTCCCAATATTTACCTTTTAATTTTTAACAGCTATATTAGGATACGATTGGCATACAGTCAATTGCATATATTTAAAGTACAATGAGATAAATTTTGATATACGTATATACCCTTGGAACCTTAATCATAATCAAGATAATGAATATATTCTTCACCTCGATGGATGGGTATATGTTGTTTCTCAGGTCTGCTTATAGAGTCTGTCCCCCCAACCTTCTCTGTCTCCCCTGTCCCCAGGCAACCATTGATCTGCTTTCTGCCACTATAGTTTATAGTCTCTAAAATCTTATGCAAGTAGAATCATAGAGTATTGCTCTTTAATGTCTATCTTCTTTCGTATAGCATCATGTTTCTTCATTTCTATTGTGATGTAGGTCAACAGTTCCTTTAAAATGCTGAGTAATGTTCCATTGTATGTTTATATATTCCATCTGTTGGTGAACATTTGGGTTGTTTCTGGCTTGGAACTACTACAAATATAGCTGCTGTGAACATTCTTTGTACAAGTTTTTGTATAGACATTTGCTTTTGTTTCTCTTGGGTTGGTAGGAAGGGATTAGCTGGATCCTAAGGCAGGTGTATCTTTTCTTAATAACCAGTGATGTTGAACATCTTCTTATGTTCTTATTTGCAGGCCAGTTATCTTTTTTGGAGAAGTGTATGTTCACCTCTTTAGCCCATTGTAAATTGGGAGATTTGTTTTCTTATTTAGTTTTGAGAGTTTTTATATACAATTTCTTTATCAGATTATTTTCAAATAGTTTCTCCCATTTATGGCTCGTCTTTTCATTGTCTTATTGATATCTTTTGAAGAGCAGAATTTTGCAATTTTGATGAAGTTTAGCATATTAGTTTGTTATTTTATGGATTATGTTTCAGATGCCATGTCCAAGATACCTTTGCCTGACTAAAGGGCACAGTATTTTCTTTTAGAAGTTTTATATTTCAGAAGTTTTGTGTTTTACATTTGGGTATATGATGCATTTCAAATTTTGTATATGGTGTGAGGTGTGGCTCAAAGTTCTTTTTTGTTTTTTGCATACAGAGAAAGCATCATCCTTTGTTGAAGGGACTATTCATGTTCCACAGCTTTCCCTTTGGACTCTCATGAAAATACATATCTGTGTAGATTTATTTATGGACTCTCTATTTTGTTGCATTGATCTATATATCTCTTTCTTGAAACTAAAGTAGCATTAGTCTGATTTCTTTCTTCTTTTTTAAGAAAATTTTGATTATTCTGAGCTCTATTTTCATGTGAATTTTAAAAATTAAATTGGTTAATTTCTACAAAAAGTCTACTGGGATTTTGATTAGGATCACATTGAATTTATATATTTATTTGAAGAGAATTGCCATTTTAACAACATCGAGTCTTCCAACCTTTGAATGTGGTATATATCTCTTCATTTGTTTAGATCTTTTAAAATTTCTCTCTATGAGTGTTTTTTAGTTTTCAGTGTATAGGTCTTTCACATACTTTGCCAGGCTTATCCTTAATTATTTCATTTTTATGCTGTTATAAATGGTGTCTCAATTTCTGATTTATTGTCTCAATTTCTGATTATTTCTAGGATACAAAAATATAATTTATTTTTGCATATTGATTTTGTATTGTGTAACCTTGCTAAACTCAGTTATTAGAAGAGCTTTTTTTGTAGATTCTATTGAATTTTCTAATTAGACAATCATGTCATCTGCAGATAAAGACCATTTTAAGTCTTGCTTCACAATCTGAATACATTTTATTTATTTTTGCTCTATTGCACTGGCTAGAACTTCCAATACAGGGTTGAATAGAAGTGGTGAGAATAGATATCCTTCTCTTGTTTGTGAACTTGGAGGGAAAGCATTCAGTCTTTCATTATTTAGCATGATTTTAGCTTTAGGTTTCTCATAAGATGTGTTTCACCAGAGTGAGGAGTTCCTTTCTATTCTTAATTTATAAAGGGTTGTTTTTTTTTAATCAGTAATGGATGTTGGATTTTATCACATACAATTTTTGTGTCTGTTTAAATAATCATGTAGTTTTCTTTTATAACATTAAGATGGTAAATTGCATTTATTTTGAATGTTAAACCAGTTGTGTATTCCTGGATATCTCTACTTGGTCATGACGTATTCTCATATTGTTGGATTTGATTTACTAGTAGTTTGTTTATTACTTTTGCATCTGTGCTTATGAGGGATATTGGGACATAGGAATCTTTTCTATGTCTGGATTTGTCTGGTTTTGATATCTAGATAATCCGGCCTTTTTAGATAGTAAACATTTCCTCCTTTTCAATTTTCTGGAAGGATTTATATATAATTGGTATAATTTCCTCCTTAAATATTCAGTAGAAGTCACCAGAGAAGACATCAGGGCCTAGAGGTCTAAGAATTCTAGATTACAGTTGTTATTATTGTTTATTGTCTTCAGACTTGCATTATTTTTGTTTTTGTTTTTTTCTTTTTCTTTTTTTTTTTTTTTTTAGATAGAATTTTGCTCTTGTTGCCCAGGCTGGAGTGCAATAGCACAATCTCGGCTCACTGCAGCCTCCGCCTCCTGGGTTCAAGCGATTCTCCTGCCTCAGCCTCCCGAGTACCTGGAATTACAGGCATGCACCACCATGCCCAGCTAATTTTTGTATTTTTAGTAGAGACAGGGTTTCTCCATGTTGGTCAGGCTGGTCTCAAACTCCCAACCTGAGGTGATCTGCCCGCCTTGGTCTCCCAAAGTGCTGGGATTCCAGGTGTGAGCCTCCGCGTCCAGCCAGACTTGCATCATTTTATTAATAGTAAGAAATCTGTTGTTATCCTTATCATTGTTCCTTTATATGCAATGTGTCTTTTTCTCTGGGTGCTTTAAAAACTTTTTTTTTTCACCAGTTTTGAGCAGTTTGGCAATGATATACCTTAATATGTTTTCATGTTTCTCGTGAATCAGTGTTTTGAGATGTTTGGATCTGTGTGTTCACAGCTTCATCAAATTTGGAAAATGTTCTGCCATTCTTTCTTAAAATAATTTTTTTGCCCTTCCATCTCTCCCCTCTTCAAATACTGGTATGTTAATCTTCTTAAAGTTGGCCTGCAGCTCACTGATGCTCTCAATTCTGATTTTTGTTTTTTGTTTTTTTAATTTTACTGTCTTCTCCATTCTGTGTAGTCTCAATAGCTGTGCCTTCAGATTTGCTAATATTTTCTTCTGACGTGTCTAATGTGCCATTAATTTCATGCAGTATATTTTTCATCTTATACATTATAGTTTTTATCTCTAGAAATTTTATTTGAATTTTTTCATGTCTTTTCTACCTGTACTTAACATTTTGAGCACATGAAATCTAGTTACACACTTAATGTCCTTGTCTGCTAATTCTAATATATGTCAGTCCTGCTCAGTTTTGATTGTTTTCTAAATTATGGATCATATTTTTCTGCGTTTCTGCATGCTTGATAATTTTTATTAGATGTCAGTCATTATGAATTTTACTTTATTGGGTGGTAGATATTTTTGTATTTCTATAAATATTTTGTGATTTTTTCTGGTACATAGTTAAAATAGTTTGAAACAGTTTGATTCTTTCATGTCTTGCTTTAAGATTTACGTGAAACCAGAGAAATGCACAGTTTAGAATTAAGTATTCCCCCCTACTAAGGCAAGACCCTTCTGTGTACTCTACCCATTCCTTTGTGGATTATGAGTTTTTTTACCCTAGCTAATGGGAACAGGCAATATTCCCGTTCTTCTGTGACTGTAGTGTACCTTGGACCTTTCCCTGGTCTTGGGGTGTTTCCTCACTTGCCTGTGCTGATCATTACAAAGGTAAATAACCCAGCGAGGACCCTCTCTGTTGTGCTGTGTCTGTGTGTAGCTCTCTTTTCCAGTATTCTGGAAATCTCTGCAAGGATCTGTCCTCACATAGAGCTCATCGCAGTTGTTTCAATAGGGCTCATTGCAATTGTTTCCTGGCTCTCGGGGATCAGTTTTTCTTGACCTGATGATGCAGGATTTTTCTCGACCCCTTTGTCAGATTTGCAATGGGGGTGCCCTGTTTACTCAGCCTGCCACACTCAACCCCTTGCAGGAGGGAGCACGTGAGCAAGCGAGTGGGTTCAGGCTGGCTGCTTTGGGTGCCGGCAGGAGCAAGCTCCATGCACACCCTGTGGCGGTGCCCAGGTGGGAGTGCCTGTGATCCCCAGAATCCCAGAGGGCATGCTACAATGCCCTCTTAGCTTAGCTTTACCGTTTATGGACAGCAGTGTTATCAGCTCAGTGGGCCCCTTGTCTTGTCATGTGGGGTGTCTACACTCCACCAGCAAGGGCAAAGGGCTAGTGTGACAGCCTTTTTTGGGTACCTGCATCCAGTGGGTCCCAAGCCCTTGTGTGGTGTCCAAGAAGAACGAGGTCATGCTGACACTTGAAGGATGGTGGAGGCAGATAATTTTATTTAGCGATGGATGTCTCTCAGTGGAGAGAGGAGCTGGAAAGGGGGATGGGATGGTCAGGTAATCTTCCCTGAAGTCAGAGCGTCCCTCTGAAGTTAAGCTATCTTTCCTCTGAAGTCCAGCTGTCCCTCTGAAGTCAAGTTGCTTCTCTCCAGTCAAGCTGCTTCTCTCCTCTACTGACTGAGTCCAGGGTCTTTAGAGGCACAGAATGGGGGTGCAGGGCAAGCCATGGGTAGTTTTGGAAAAGGCAACATTCGATTGGTAAAAAGACATTATTCAGAAAGAACCAATCAGGAGAGAACAGGCAAACAGGGATAGAAGTTCTCACCTTGGGCAGCAGGTTTCAGGCTACTTTGACTTGAAGGTGCTGTTTCACTGGGGACCCGCCCCTGTCTGCCTAGAATTTCTCTGCCTCCTGCTTCCATCGCTGATGTTCAGTGTTTTGAAGACATTGTTTCATATGTTCTGTCTGTGTTTTGGTTGTTTCAGGCAGAAGCATGAATCTGGTCTCTGTTACTCCATCTTGGCTAGAAGTAGGAATCATGCCTTTTAATTTTGTCCAATTTTCTTACTTTAAAAATATTTAAAATTTTAAATAGAAAAATTCATCAGTCTTTACCTTAATGGGCTCTGTACTTGGTGTCATGCTTAGGAACATTTTTTTGTTTAAGAACTTATAAAAAAATTTACTTCTATTTTTCAAATATTTGAATTGTCTTATTCAGATATTTTATTAATATGGAACACTACATTATACACAATTTGGAAAATAGCTAAAATATGGGGAATGGGGGAGAACACCTGTAATTCCATCACCAAACACACTGTAAATTTATATATTGACATATTTTCTTCCATGTGTTTTCCTGTGCCTTTATTTTTTGTGTATTTGTAATGCTGGTGTCCATCATTTAGCATGTTCATCCATGTTTATCCAGTGCATCGCATCATTAACATTTTTTATGTTGCTACATAATCTTCACAGTTGCATTTTAATGACTGAGTTATATTTCATCAAATGATTATATTACAATTATATTACCTTTATACTGTTAAGCATGTTAGCTATTTCTTCTTAAAGTATATGAAGCAATTATCAGAGAGTACATTTTCAGAGAATCCTAACTTTGCCTACTTACACATGACCCCATGAGAGCAGAAGTGTGACTAAGGCCCCTGATGTGTCATTGCATCTGTCTCTAAGCCCATTCTAGTACATTCAATAAAATCCTATTTGTAGAAAAATGAGAAGAAAATAAAAACATCAATTCTTAATAGCTCAATCCATTTCTTATTACTCATATAGTTATAAAACAAACTTTAAAAAACAGCTTAGAATTTCTATATTTAGTATGCATTAACATGCTCTCTCAATTACTTTCTAATACTTATTTGTGCTTGCTTATTTTTAGGAAAGATACTATTCAAGTCCAGTACATCATAATGCAGAATTCTGTATCAGTACCACCAAAAGATGAAGGTAAGTTAAACTGCTGAGGAAAATGGTGATGAGTCTGTTATAGTTTTAATTTGATACATTGAATGTCATTGACCTCTAATCATAAGGTAACTTATTTCCTAGAATTAAAAATAAAAATTATAATTATATATGAAAACTCATTTCTTTTGGTAAATAATTTGAGTGTATATGGATTCCTGAGTTTTAAGGACCTGTCTCCTTTATAGGCTATAGCGCCTTGAGAGCCCAGCCATCTCATTCCACCCAAAACTCACAGAGCCCTGCTTATTCACTGGCAGTTAACTGGCACTAACAGATATCAGTAAAATTAAAAAGTGTTGGCTTTATTGAAGCAAAATAACACAAGTATTTTAGTGAGTAGAAGAATATATGCATATATATTCACACACACATCTGTAGACATACACTTAGAGGATATAGAATTTGTGTATACATTTCTTTGCCTGTTTCCCCTGATATCCATTTAAAAAGAAATAGAAAAACTATTTTACTTTTTGCAATGTATAAAAAATAAAATAATGATTTTTTAACAGGCACTTCTGGACCTTCCAGAAGAACCTGTACCTCCAGATGGAGGTAGAGTCCTTTCTTCATCAAGAGTAATTAAATTACCCTCACCATAAAGGGTACACTCTAACCCCGGGGAGAAATACCAGTCTTTCCCTGCCCCATCTAGTCTCTTCCACACAGAAGAGAAGTTCTGACATGTATGAGAAAAAAGACATATCTTTAATGAGGCAAAATTAGGTTGCCTTAGTGGAACATGTAGCTTTTAGTGAAAGGAGGGAATTTGTTATGAAGGACCCTTAAATAGAGCAAACACCCTTTGATCTCTCTACCAGTGAGAAAGGTAGTATCATAACTCTTGAGCACATGGAATCTGGATTTGAAACTCAGTCCTACCACTTAACTGTAAAACTTTAGGTGTATCACTTGACCTCAGCTTCCACATCTGTAAATCTATAAAATGAAGATAATAAGTTCCACTCTATAGGATATGTGGAGACTAAAGGAAATAGCATATGTAAATCACCTAGCATATTGTTGTTTGCATAGTAGGCACTTATATGATGATAAAACTACCATTCTCAATGGCTATTATTAATATCTGGGACATCCTCATCTTTGAGACTGGTCAGTGAGATGGCCATGAGGCCGCCTCTTGCCTGGGATGCCTAATGGCCTTGGAAGGCCAAACATGCTCCAAGGGGACCCATGGGGAGTAAGCAGGAATTAGACCGCTTGGTTTGATTCTTACCCAGGAGTTGATCCGAAGAGAGAGTGAGAGTCCTTGAGACTCACACAAAATCCAGCCGGGAACACTAGGGCAAGAAAGGAGATGGGCAAACCCCAACTAGAAATAAAGAGCATGTGTTTTTCTTGAGTGTTCTCTGGTATATATCCTCTGGAAGATTTGTGCAGCACTTGGTAGCTGATGAAGGGTTTGAAATTCAGTGTCCTAGCTGGTATTACCTTTTTTTATCCAAGCAAGCAAGGAGAAGCTTAGGAGAAAAAATAATGGAACAAGTATCAGGAAAGCTGGACTCCATTCCATACCTGCCTCCAACCAGCTGTGGAACCCCAGGCAAAGTTATTTTGCCCCTGAGCCTCAGTTTTCTCATTGAAAAATCGAGAATGACTAGGTGTTCCTTTCAGGCTCTAAAAAGGTGAGTCTATGTGAGTAACTAAGCAACAAGCTGCTTGGCTCTGGCTGATACAGAGGGAGAAAGCACTCACACCTCTTGGCTGCTTTGCTTCTCATCACAGTTTGTTTTGTTCTGATGCCTACCTCTCTGGGCTATCACATAAGCTTGGATACTTCCATTGACCGGAAAGTAAGACCCCTTGGCCCTACCCAGAGCTCAAGTAAACCTCCTTACCCAGTCTTTTCTGGGACTAAAGATGCTTAAGCCCAATCCTGGAATTTGACAGAGGATATATAATAGCTTAAAAAAACCTCAATCATGTGCCTCCATTGTGATAATCATTCTACCTACAACTTTACATCCTTTATTTAATCTTCACAATAAGTTAGACGTAAACCTTATTTTACAACTTCAAGATTAGGTACTTTTTGCCAAGACCACCAACCAGTAAGTGACTGATCCAAGATTTGAACTCAGATCTATCATAAAATTTATAAAGAATATTTATATAAATTATAGAGAATATATATTTATAAAGAATATTTAATTTATAAAGATATTTCTATAAGAATTTACAATTTATAAAGAATATTTCTAATAATTTTTGATCATCTCCTTTTTCTCTCATCAAACATACTATGCTTAATTACACATATGAATGCTTAAAGCCATTTTAAACCAAAGTGAGCAGAAATTATAACTTAAATTATGGAAAATTACATCAATAAGGAAAAATAATATATGTGAATACATGTAAGTCCTATGAATTGCCCAGTTATTCATTAATTTACTCATTCATTCATTCAAATGCTTTCTGTATGTCTTAGATTAATATTAATATTTTTTAACAAAAGCATCAGATGTATTAATTATGATTCTGTTTATGATCAAATATAATTTATGGCTAGGTACAGCAGCTCCCACCTGTAATCCCAGCACTTTGGGAGGCTGAGGTGGGAGGATAACTTGAGGCCAGGAGTTAGAGACCAGCCTGGGCAACATAGCAAGACTCCATCTCTACAAAAAAATTTCAAAATTAGCTAGGCGTGATGGCTCATGCCTATAGTCCCAGCTACTTGGAAGGCTGAGCTAGGAGGATTGCTTGAGCATAGGAGTTTGAGGCTGCAGTGAGCTATGATCATGCCATGGCATTCCAGCCTGGACAACAGAACAAGACCTTGTCTCTAAATATATATATATATATATATATATATATATATATATATATATATATATACACACACACACCCCCACACACCCACACGTAATATATTACATATATATTTGTTTAATTGCATGTACATAATTTGTGTGACATGAGAAGTTTGCTGGGCACATGCTATTTATTAATTAAATGCAGATTGATTTATTTAACAAACCATTGATGGCTAGCTATAAATTATGATACCTTTGAATTTCCAACTTATAAACACATACACACGTATTATATGCATTTCTGTATAAAATTCAGATAAGACATCACCAACAGAGTTGTGAGGCTTAAATTAAGGAAAATATGCTGTACTAACATACTGTCCCCAAACAAAGTTCATATGGTAGAAGCAGGTTTAATGATCACCAAGGTAATTCATACGAGGAACTATCAGATGCTATGAAGAATCCAAAGGTAAATCATACAGAGCCTGAGCTTTTAGGCTCTAAAATCCTGTTGGAACAGCATATGTGCATGTCCTTAATTAGAATAAAGCATGACTAATGCTGTACTAGAAGTGAGTATGACATACTTTGAAAATCAGAATGAAAGGACAGTTGGCTAAGCCAGAGATTTTGAGGCTGGTCAGGAAACAAAATGGAGGAGATGACATTTGTTCAGGATATTAACATATATGTACAAGTCAAGCAAGTGGAATTTAAGCCAGGGGTTTAAAGCTAGGAAGAGCTGGCAGCATTATTAATGGAGAAAACAAATTTGAAATTCTGGTTTCTTCTATTTAAATGTTATCTAATTTCAGATAAAGAGATTTAACATTGTACTGTCACTCTAACGATAAGTTATACTATATTACAGATTTTTCTATTATAAACTAGTGTCACCGTTATTCCTTTCTGTGTGAGAATATAATTTATAGAATTTTGAGATGTTCATGAGACTTATTTTGTTACAATTTTCTATATCATTCTTTCAGGATTTAGGGATAGAATTTAGTTTTCCATAACCTCCTTTTTTTGTCTGTTATTTTCAAATGATGAGCTAAACTGTGTTTTTCAAAAAAGAGGCATGAAAACAACATAATAAGGCCAACTATTTAGATTTGGTGAAAGAAAGACAAAGTCACCACACTGATTAAAAATGCAAGTGAATTTATTTACTTCCCATATAAGAAAACTCATACAGGTGAGCAGTATCACCAAATGATTCTCTGACAGGGACAATGTATGTGTCTTATGTGCTAAGAAGTAGTTCACTGTGATTATGCCAATTGACCATTGAAGTTTGTATCTTGGGTAGTCAGAATGAATTTTAAGTTCCTACACAGTTGGTTAATGCAAGTCTCATTGTTCATTGGTCAGGAAGGAATCTTCATTTAAGTCAAGTGAGAGTCTGTTTTACTGGAGTCAATTCTTTTTTTTTTTTTTTTTTGAGACAGAGTCTCACTCTGTCACCCAGGCTGGAGTGCAGTGGTGCGATCTTGGCTCACTGCAAGCTCCGCCTCCCAGGTTCATGCCATTCTCCTGCCTCAGCCTCCCAAGTAGCTGGGACTACAGGTGCCTGCCCCCACCCCCGGCTAATTTTTTGTATTTTTAGTCAAGACGGGGTTTCACCATGTTAGCCAGGTTGGTCTCAATCTCCTGACCTCGTGATCTGTCCGCCTCGGCCTCCCAAAGTGCTGGGATTACAGGTGTCAGCCACTGCGCCTGACCTCTTTTTTTTTTTTTTTTTTTTTTTTTTTTTTTTTTTTTTTTTGAGACAGAGTCTTGTTCTGTCACCCAGGCTAGAGTGCAGTGGTGCAATCTCGGCTCACTGCAATCTCCACCTCCCGGGTTCAAGTGATTCTTCTGCCTCAGCCTCCCGAATAGCTGGGACTACAGGAGCGCACCACCACACGTGGCTAATTTTTGTATTTTTAGTAGAGAGGGGATTTTACCATGTTGGCCAGACTGATCTTGAATTTAACCCCCTGGCTTAAATTCCACTTGCTTGACTTGTACCTTGTAATCCGCCCACCTCAGCCTCCCAAGGTGCTGGGATTACAGGCCTGAGCCACCGTGCCTGGCCGAGTCTCTCAATTCTTAGTCACTTGTCAGCCTTACAGTTAAGTTTGCCATTTCCTAGACAAGTCTTCTGCAAGTAGAAAAGTTTTCTTATACAGTTCTTCTACCACTTTTCTCAACTCTGTCATAACATTTGTGTTATTTAAAGGTAGTTTTCAAATTGTGAGTGTTATTTCTATTTCATAAAAGTAAGAAGTCGGGGTGGAGAGAGCAAATGGTTTGACGCAGACACACAGGCGGCCCCCTCTGGACCCACTGCAGTTAGCTGGACATGTGCTGTACAGCTACTACTAATTTCCCAAATCTTTACATGATTTGACTGCACAACCACAGCCATTACTGTCTATCATGTGAATTCATATTTGAATCTTTTTTAAAAACCCCTAGATTTTCTGATTCAATAAAAAATGGTTATGATACTGTCTAAAAAATGTATTCTATGTCTTGCAGACATAAAAGTGTATACTTACAGCTTACAGACCTAACATTTTGGTATTTGTGAATAAGAATATTAGAACTCAAGTAAGGCATACTTAGGGAGGAGCTAGTTAATACTCATATCATTCTTAAAGTTTGAGGAAAAGACCTTACTTATTTTGGACTTAGTATCAATTAGGTCTTTTATAAAGTTCTTGATGAATTTTCTATCTTTAGTAGGATTTAAAGCGTCCTGGCATGTAGTAGGCTCTCAAAATGCATATTAAATTATGTATAAAATGCTTTAAACTCTCAAACAGTTTTTATAAATCAATCACACCTGTTGCTGTGAAAATATTGTCATCTTTTTTTTTAATGAAACACCAAAGTGGATGGAATTCTAAGGCCAATGAAAGCAAATGTTCATTTAACAAGTATTTATTGCCTTTGAAGAGACAATGAGCAAAAGAAGCAAAGGGGGGAAAATAAAACCAAACTAAGCTCCTCTCTTGCAGCTGTTGTAATTAATAACACTGGGCTGCCTATCCAAGCAGGGGTTTCCTTTTATGGGGATTTAACCTGAAAGTGGTTTATTCTTGTTATCTAATCGTAGTTTCACTCTTTCGAACATGGTATGAAAGCTATTTTCTTAAGCTCTCTATTTTTTTCTTTTCCTCCTTGGCCATATCTCCCCTTTCCTCTCCATCTGGTGAAGGAACACTGATCTGGACAGCTGAGCTCTGGTCATTGTTACATGCTTCTTTTTAGGCTCTGTGATCTTGGCCAAATAAGTAAACCTCAGTCCCTTCATCTTTCCAATGGAGATAGTAATTCTCATCCTGTAACAGTCAAATGCAGTAGGTATGGTTGATTCTCATTATTTGTAGTGTTTATATTCTAGAAGGCTATTAGGAACACTGAATTAGCAAATACTGAGCCATTTGTTCCTAGGCGATATTCAAGGATAGGTTCTTGTGAGCCTCTAGTCACAACATTTTTGTCAACAGCTGATACATGACCTTGTTATAAGTGTATTTCTGTTAAAAGATACTTTATTTAATAGACAGGGTTAATTTTTTAACATTGAACTCAGAGACACAGCACTATAACTCATGCCCCAACAAAGCTTCTCTAATACAAGTGTTTTCTCCGTAGAGCACATCCCAGTTCTCTTGTGTTAGGAGCACTAGACAGCACCCAGCACTATGCTGGAGACCGTAAGTAAACAGTAAAATCACCAAGAAAAAGAAGCACAAAAAATGCAAAAAAAAAAAAGTGACAGTTTTTGAAATGTAAAAAGGATGCGTGTTTACAGTATGAGAGCTGAAAGAAGAAGGCAGGACATCACCTTGTTCTGCCTAACCTGGGAATTTGCGTGTCAAGTGGCTCAAACTTTTTTTTTCTCCACACATGTCCATGAATGACCGTGAAAGCACCACAAGTATTGATTTTGGGGTTAAAAATAAATTTTAGCAAGTAGGCAAATTCACAAATACAGAATCTACAAATAATGAGAATCAACTGTATATGAATACACCTTGTAAAAACTTTGAAAGCACAGTAGAAGCCTCAGGATAATTTACAGAATAAAAGCTATTTTTTATGACGTTTTTCTCAGATAAAATGACTTTGTGCATTATAAATTTCAAGTTAATAAAGTAACATATTATTTGAAGGTGACCATAAATTCTTAGTTCAGTAAAGCTACAAAGAAAACTACTATTGCAAGATCTGTGACTCTCCAGCCCTCACATTGAACACACAGTAGCAAGGAGTACCACTGTAATTTGATGCTTTGCATTTAGTGCTTAACATTGCTTTATGACCTCACTATTGGGGGAAAATATCATTCCCTATGTATTACCAAAATATTATGTTTCCAAATATGTGATATTCATATGGAAACATTTTGATCTTAACAAGTGGTGTAAATGCTGTTCTTGGACTTTTGGTACCATTTTATGCTGCAGAGCAAGTACAGATTGACATTTGCAAGCTGGTTTTGGTTAACTACTTAATGTTGGAAATTGGAACTTTCTGATGTAATAACTTCTACAAAATACCATTGTGCATTATTAGTATGTTATACTGTTGACAGAAGAACAAATGGAAAACACACACATGCCTGTAGAAATATCCTTTTAGAATAAATGGAAATGACCTGGGTGGCCTAAAACCATAAAGTAGACCAGCCATATATGGAAGTTGAAATAAAATATTAGAGTTTAAAATATTAGTAAATTTAGATTATGAGTATTTTTGTTGTTTAAAATAGCTGTATTTCTTTCTTTCCTCTTTCTTTTCTTTTCTTTTTTGTTTTGTTTTTGAGACGGAGTTTAGCTCTTGTTGTCCAGGCTGGAGTGCAATGGTGTGATCTTGGCTCACTGCAACCTCCGCCTCCCTGGTTCAAGCGATTCTCCTGCCTCAGCCTCCCAAGTACCTGGGATCACAGGCACGCACCACCACACCTGGCTAATTTTTTGTATTTTTAGTAGAAACAGGGTTTCACCGTGTTAGCCAGGCTGGTCTCAAACTCCTGACCTCAGGTGATCTGCCTGCCTTGGCCTCCCAAAGTGCTGGGATTACAGGCGTGAGCCACTGTGGCCGGCCGAAATAGCTGTATTTCTGTTGCCTGAAAAACAGGCTGGTAATCGGATAATTTACTTGGGTATGTATCATTGTCAGTGTGGCCGTTTGGCAGCAGAGTCTCTCAGAAATTCCAATTAACCATGTAAATATATTTCATAGCATCACATCTCACTTTGTCAGAACCCCTGCTGCCTTTATATCATTAACATAAATGCAGGTGCAAATAGCATTTATGTACTTTGATAGAAAGCAGTTGGAGACATTTCACTGTGGGACACAACACTTCCAGATTGTGTACATCTGTTCAAATAATGTATCCAGCCCCAGTGACATGAACACAAGGATGGAAACATCTGCCCCTGAGACCATTTGCAATATAGCAGATGCTTGCATCTTTATTTATGCAGATGGTTAGTGTGATGGCTTGAGCAGGGATAAAAGCAAAGTAGTTTGACAGGGGTATTTAGGATTTTATGCAAGCCAAAAATAAAGGATAGGCATTTTCTGTTTTTAAAAATCTAATAGCAATAGGAATAGAAATTCATAAATCTAGTAATGCTTTTTAATAGAGTAAACATATTGTTCTTGTCTTTAAATTAATGGGCAACAAAATCCTAAAAACATTTATAGAATTCCAGCATCTAACTTGTATTAATTAGGAAGAGCAACTTATGATTACTTTTGTTTGGATAAAATAATTTTAAATGACTTTGAATACTTTTTGTTTAAAAAAATCCTTCAGGCCGGGCACGGTGGTTCACACCTGTAATCCCAGCACTTTGGGAGGCTGAGGCGGGCGGATCACCTGCGGTCAGGAGTTCAAAACCAGCCTATCCAACATAGTGAAACCCCATCTCTACTAAAAATGCAAAACATTAGCTGGGTGGGGTGGCGGGCACCTGTAATCCCAGCTACTTGGGAGGCTGAGGCAAAAGAATTGCTTGAACTGGGGAGACGGAAGTTGCAGTGAGTTGAGATCGTGCCATTGCACTCCAGCCTGGGCAACAAAAGCGAAACTCCGTCTCAAAAAAAAAAAAATTCTTTAAAAACACTGCTCTGTTTTTTGAAAAGATTATATACTACCAAGAGTATCTTGTGATGATATTTCTTAAAATTGGGGGAAAAATATAAATGTCATTTGAATATAACTTATACTCCATAAATATAAATTTAAGTAAGATAAGTTTTTGAAACATTATATAAGATTTTTGTCAAGCATTTTATTTGGTTCATATTCTAATGTTGACAGCTAGTGATATTTTAATTATAATTAATATTTGTGTTAGGATGACTTACCTTTTAATACTTTATTATCAAAACTCTCTCCTATTGATCTGCCATGTTATATTCTCAAGGAAACAAAGGTGAAGGGAATAAAACCTAACAACAAAAAGTAAAACATTTCTAGATGTGATTTTCTATTCTCATTCACACAAACCTGCCCACTCGTACTCATCAACACACACAATTATAGAATCTCAAAAGACATAGGAAGTTAGATTTCATCTAATTCAGTTGTTCTCAGACTTTGTAGCTTCAGGACCCTTTACACTCTCAAAAATTATTGAGGACTCTAAAGAGCATTTGCTTGTATGGGTTGTATCTGTCAATATTTACCATATTGGGTGATTATAAAAAATATTGAAATATTTATGTCATTTTGAAATAACAGCTCATTACATCTTAACAAAAATAACCTAGTTTAACGAAATTGACTATACTATAAAACTAATGACAAAAACCACAATTACTTTTGCACCAACCTAAATATTTTTCTAAAGCAAAAAAAATAATGAGAAGACTGGCATTGATTTACATTTTCTGCAAATATCTTTAAATTCTGGCTTCATTGAAGATAGTTTGAGTCTCATATCTAGTCCTGCATTCAGTCAGTTGTGATGTTGTATATGTTGACATATTTTTTTAAAAGCCAGCTTTCCAGTAGTCAGAAAGGAAGGGGATATTTTGGTAGGCTTTTCAGATAATCATGGATATTTTTCTTTGATACTATGCCAAAGTTTGTCAGATGGAAACTTCTTTCAGTTTAATTGTACTGTGAAATTTGAAACCCTGTCCATGTACTTTTGTATTCTATTAGATTTTGAGTCTCATACTTAAGTGATTCTTTTATCCACGCATGTAACGTTAAACTAAACTGGTCATTTAGAAAACACTAGTTAAGTGAGTTAAGCAAATCTTCCATATACTTCATTGTGCGATATTTTAAAAATCATTCATTAACGTAAGCACCAGTTTTCGTTTTTGGTTTTTTTTTTTTGAGACAGAGTCTCGCTCTGTCGCTCAGGCTGGAGTGCAGTGGCGCGATCTCGGCTCACTGCAAGCTCCACCTCCCAGGTTCATGCCATTCTCCTGCCTCAGCCTCCCGAGTAGCTGGGACTACAGGTGCCTGTCACCACGCTCGGCTAATTTTTTGTATTTTTAGTAGAGGAGGGGTTTCACCGTGTTAGCCAGGATGGTCTCGATCTCCTGACCTCGTGATCTGCCTTCCTTGGCCTCCCAAAGTGCTGGGATTACAGGCGTGAGCCACCGCGCCTGACCCATAAGCACCAGTTTTACCTGAAAAGTAACTACTGGGAAACTTCAAGTTCCTGGTGGTGAATTCAAATTTTCCAAAATTCCAATTGCCACTTGAAAGAAAATGACTTTTATCATTGGCAACAAATACTGTTAGAAGTTCTTTCTTGTAATGCCAAGTTCCATTCATTCACTTTTGAGAAAATGTCTGCCAGATACCCAAGTCTTAATATGTTCATTCAACATATTTCAGCATATGTCTGTCAGCCATTTTATTCAAGTAAAAATTGTATTCCATGAAAAAAGTAGCCAGGTCAGCTTTACGGCTGAATTGAGTGCTTGTCCTCAGAACAACAGTCCTATTTCCATATGCAGCAGACATGTACTCTGACTGTGAACGATTTCATCACAGAATATTAAAAAGGCATGTACTCAAGGATCAAAATTTTATAAAACTAAAATTTTGTACTGCTTTTTTGTTGTTCCACTGTGAGAGTACCACAGTGAAGAATATGACTGCTTGAACAGTTTGTGGGCACTACCTTACTTGGCTAAGTTGCTAGAGAAGTTTTACCCCATCAGCGCAACAAGTGCAAATGTCGACACAAGGCAAATGACATCTTGATATGAGTATGAAAAGAGTATTCGGGACCCTTCCTGAGGTTCTGCAAACCCTACTTTGAGAAACACTAATCTAATCTAATCCCCTCTTGCTAAAGAGAGGAAACTACGGCCAGGAAGGCCGAAGGATTATTATCTTGCTCAAATTCATTCCAGCAGTATAATAAATAGAAACACCAAAGCCAGACGTCTACTCTCTATCATACACGAAATGCAGTTTGTCTTGTTTTCTCTGAGGAACTCCTCCCCCAGCCTTCCGCAAAAAGAAAATTCCTCAGATCCAAATCATTACACCATAGCACTGATATATTATCAAGTTTAGTAAAGGAGCAGGACTTGCCACATAAGGAATTTAGAAATTGTTTTAGCATTTTAGACTTTTCTTTCAGTCCTAGTGTTCTTTAGTGTCATCAGTTTTAGAAGAAGGTGGTGTAAGATTAAGAAGTATCTAAGAAATGTATATTATTTTTAAAATTATAAAAGACCTTTGTCATTTTTTTTCTTCATTTTTACTCATTGAAGAATTACTTTGTCGCTGCTTAAAAGTGTCATTAAATGTATTGTGTAATTGTTGCTTCAGAAAAGTCAGATTCTGGTGTGAGCCTGATTTGGTCACCAGAAGTTCTGTTAAAAGAAGGCCATAGATACAGTGCTGTAGGGTATTGCGCATTGCTATGTGTGAGTTCATTAACTACCTCTCCAGTGACCATGCTGTAGATGTCTCTTAGAAGAAAGACATGTTCTCTCTCTCCTAACAGTTGCACTGTGATTGGAAAAAGGTTGTTCAAAAAGATCTTTCTTTTCTCAACATTGAGATGGATTATGTGGCACTCACCGGTCACTGGAAGAGACTGACATGTAAACAGATAAATTGCTAAACAACTTAGTTCTAAGTTCAGCGTGTTGGAATGGAGGGAGAACAGCTTTGGTGCCAGACAGTCCTGGGTTAAAATCCAAGTCTCAATACCTGCTTTGTGATCTTGCAAGAAGTGTTGTTTTCACATCTATGGACTGGAGGTGTTAATACCAAGAATTGGTGAAGGACTTGAGATAGTAGATTAAGCATTCAGTCTAACTTCTGACTGAGGGGCATTTTAGTTGTTCAAAATAGAACTTCAGGATTCTAGGGGTTCGAGGGAAGAATAGAAATAGATGAGTAGAGGCGGTGTATATGTACACATCTACCATAGATTGTCTCAGGAAGAAAAGGAAGGAGATGGGGCCTAACGACTCTTTCTTGTTGCTGTTGTTTTTCTGTTTTTGTGTTCAGCAGTAGCATAGCAGAAGGAAGCCATGTCAATATGGTTGAGAGTTAATAGTTCGTTCCTTCAGTAAAAATTATGTTGTACAACTGCTAGCTGCTGATCTGGAGACTGAGACCCTGTCAGTAACAAAACAAACCCCTGCTCTTTTGGAGCTCACATTTTAGCGAGGAGACAGATAATGTAATATCATCGTGAAGGTAAGTACCTCGAAGGACAGTGAAGCAGAAAAAGAAAATAGCAAGTGATCACATGGAGCTGAGCAGCTCCTTTTAGACAGGATGGTCACAGGCCAGCCTCCCTGAGAGCTGGGGAGCTCACCAATGGTGCAGTATCCCCGAGGCACAAGGGGCCTGGAAGGAAGGGTAGCCTCCAGACCAGGGTTGGGAATACTCCATTTCCTTATTTTCAGATGCACCTTTTTGTACATTTTAATATATCAGGATTTGAGCATTGTATATTTAGAGTTATAGTACTTCTCCTTTCCCCCATCACAGAAAAGGTTTTTATAAATTTATTTGTGTGGCATAATCAAAGACAAAAAGGGAGTTTACAAATAAAAGGGACAGTGAATGAGTTCCCACATAATAGCCTCTCTTTTTTCCACGAAGTCAATGTCAAAAAACATTGGCAAGAGAGAGATGGCCCTGGGGATAGGGCAGGGGTGGGACAGAGGGAGAGTGCCTCAGAAGAGCAGAGGAAGGAATGTGGGCCGCCAAGAGTCTCTTAGGGACAAGTAAATAGACTGTGGAATCGGTTTTGAACTAGAAACTTTAAACTTAGAACACTGTCCAGCGTTCACAATGG
The DNA here is from genome assembly GCF_000001405.40 of Homo sapiens. Taxonomy (NCBI): domain Eukaryota; kingdom Metazoa; phylum Chordata; class Mammalia; order Primates; family Hominidae; genus Homo; species Homo sapiens. The sequence continues at coordinate 30,863,886 of NC_000010.11, read as the reverse complement.
TTGGATTTCTCCAGCACCAAATAACAGGCGGTGGAAGTGGAGAGCACAAGGTGGGGCCAGCTAGGCAAGGTTCTGTAGGAAGACAGCAAGGGGGCGAACCTACAATATGAGGGGAGTGCGTGTGGATGCTCAGCCAGGAGGCCGGCTCTGGAATGGGAGGATCTACCTAAGGAGACCACTCACAGGCACACATAGCCTCGGGGCAAGGAGAAGCAGTGGGCTGTGTCATCACTCCATCTCCAGGGAGGTGGGAAAGTTAACTCTGACATACTCTTCATCTGTGGATGAGAATAGATATTCCCTTCAACCCAGGTTTCATAGTCATCACTAAAAGACAATAAACATATTGATGGAGAAGAAGGATGGCAGAATTCAAAGGCAAAGGAATCCAAAGTAGTCACCACAGCTTTCAAACTCTGCCGCCTTCACTCTTGGTACTGGCTCAGGTCAGAATCTGATGGCATCAGTCACACGACAGGATCTGTAGATGCCAGCTAACTCATAGACAACTAACCTGGTCAGCTCCTCAAAGGTGACCAGCACAAACCAGTCACCTCAGTACCCACCAGTGCCTGGGACTTCATGTTCTTTTTTATTATTTTCTTCAAAGTGTCAGTATTGTAGATGGTCTCTCTATGTTAAGGAAAGGTGTGTCTTCATTAAAGAAATAAGGAACAGTCAAGACTTACCAGCAGAAATGTTAGGGAATAATTATCAGCATAACAGGGGAATACTTGACTTCTTAAAGATCCGTGGCTGTCCACCCTTGTGCATTTGTACTTACAAATCATGAACTATTTGACATAAAAGCTGAGGTATAGAAAAACGTGCAGCAAAAAAATGTTATAAATCACTGTGAGTTAAAGATAAATCAGCAGTGAAGATAAAGCATCTGTAAAACTCTACTATAAAACAGTGAAACAATTCATTTTTTAAAATGTAGTTTGCACATTCCTCAAAAATACCTCTTTTAGATAAAGTGAACTTACTTTTGAAATTATAGTATAAAAGCGATATCTTTGTAATTTTGGTTCCCTGCATTTTGAAACATTGTGATCTTTACCACTTTAGTTTCATAATCATAGTGTTTTGACCAAAGGCAAGAAACTTCCAGCCTTTTGCATGTGTCCTAGTTTAATTGTTCCAACTGACTTCACATTCTGATGTTGAAACCTTATCTTTCTGTTTATCCCACTGAGGAAAAGGTTTTCTTCACCAACTGTCATCTTGTTAGTCATCAAAGATACTTAACTGTTGCAACTGCTATTGAAAACTAAAAGTAGGCCGGGTGCAATGGCTTATGCTTGTAATTCCAACACTTAGGGAACTGAGGTAGGAGGACCTCTTGAGCCCAGGAGTTTGAGGCCAGCCTGGGAAACATGGTGAGACTTCAACTCTACAAAAAAATGTTTAAAAACTAGCCACACAGGGTGGTGTGCATGTGTTGTTCCAGCTACTTGGGAGGCTGAGGCAGGAGGATCACTTGAACCCAGGAGTTTGAGGCTGCGGGTGAGCTATGATCATACCATTGCCCTCCAGCCTGGGTGATAGAGCGAGTCCCTGTCTCAAAAGAAAAAGAAAATATAAAGAAAAAGGGCCCATTTTTAGTTTGTTGGTGGAAGATTTCTTGCCATGCCATATCTGTGCAGCTCACTAAACCTCTTTTGTGGATGTTTCCATGTTCACCAGCCCCATTGAGAAACAGCTGACTCGGCAAATGTCAGAATGTTCTGGAAGGACAGCGTGCACAGGTATTTGTGATGGTGATAGAAGGTCAAATGAAATGACCTGCTGCTTTTCACCATGTTGGAGTTCAGTTGTCAAGGTCCAAATTTCAACTGTAGGACTCAACTGAGTATTAACAATTTTAGTGATAATAACAACAAAAAGAATATTGAGAGAATGGGGTTAACAAAGCATTTCAGAAGTTTCCATTTGCCTGGCTTAGTGTCCTTGGAAGGTCATTAGCTCTTAGTTAACTTCTTATGCTCCTCGGTCATTCTTAGATTTGAGTAAAGATACTGGCTTGGATGTTTTGTAATAATGAATAAAATCTTTTGCGTGCTACAAATTATTTTTGCCAAAAAATAAACAACTTTATCTTTCTAAATGTATTAAAAACAAACATAATTTCATATGGCTTTCAACCATTTTTTATCAGAAGCATTCCAAATCAAAAACAATTCCTTCCAGAAATAACTAATAAAAGCTTCATAATTAGAATGAAGAAGAAATTCATTGAAATTGAGAATCATTAAAATATATTTTAAGTGGTAAAGCTTTTTAAATGTACTTTTCCCTTGGGACATTAACTATATGGCCCTGAAAGAATAATTAGTTACTTCAGTTTATCAACCACATTGTGTTATTTTTTTTAATTGCCACTAGTATTCTAGGTAATTGGCTTTTAAATTCTTTCACAAAGAATGCTTGTTTCCTCTTGCAGCATGATATAGCCAGCCCTCCACATCCTGTTCTGCATCTGTGGGTTCTGCATCCATGGATTCAACTAACCAGAGATTGAAAAAAAATTTCGAACTGCATCTATATTGAATATGTATAGACATTTTTTTCCTTGTCATCATTCCCTAAATAATACAGTAAAACAACTATTTACATAGTATTTACATTGCACTAGGTATTAAAAGCAGTCTAAAGGTGATTTGGGGTATACAGGAGGAGGTATGCATAGGTTATGTGCAAACACTGTGCCATTTTACATCAGGGTTTTGAGCATCTATGGATTTGCGTGTCTAAAGGAGGTCATTGTCCTGTGGAGGAACCAATCCCCCACAGATGGTAAGGGACAACTGTATTTATATATCTCATTTAGTCCATTTTAGGGGCTATAGTTCCTCTTTCAGTGCCTAACTTTTCTTTCTGTACTCAGGCTGTCTTAAAACTTATAATAATTTATTCGGCAAAATACTAAAGTCTGCAAGGCAAGTGTCCCTAACCCCACTCTGGGCCCCATCCCCCATCACAGGGCCACTGAGATCTGTACTTACCCCACTTTCTTGAACAACTACTAGGGTAGTTGCTTTCTTCCCTGCTAGGTTTAAGACCAACAGTTGGCCTCACTACTTACTAGGTATAAACAAAAGTGGGAAGGAGTGTCTCCATAAAGTAGCTCTTTAAAATGCATGTATGTTAACCCTATTCGCATTGAATTGTTAATCCAATTAGCACTTTATCAACTGGGATACAAAAATTTACAGAAGGGCAAGTGGGAGTGGGTTCTGGACAGGGAATCAAAGAGCCTGGCAAGACGGATTGGATTAGATGTTAGGAAAGATTGAGCTACCAGCGTGAGTGTCAAAAGAGAGGCACAAGATTTAAAATACAGTTTCATTATTTACAAGCATAGAGGCAAAGGAAAACTTCCTCTTCACCCCTCTGAAGGTTCACTGATAATGAGCTGACAGATCAGCAGATTAATTGGAGAAAAGGTATATACATTGAATCAGCTGTGTTACATGACACGAGAGCTTTCAGAATGCAGACCCAAAGATGGGAAACTGTCCGTTTTCATGCTGAGGTTCAACAAAACATGGATAGTTGTGGAGAAATATAATTGAACAAAAGGGATGTCATCTAATGCTAATAGAGTGAGTGAGGAAACCCAGCAAGGCTTGTCTGTTTTGGATTGCTATTGACCTCTCTGTGGAACATCCCTTCCTTCTGGGTATGAGGCAGGACCCTCTCTGGAATGCGGGTCCGATGACCTACAATCAAACAAGTAGGTCAGATCATTTCTTTATGGCCAAGGTTAGAGTAATAATTTCAGGTTTTATGGTTGGCTTTGGGGAAAAGTGGTTCTGGTTTCTATGACTCACCTTGGGGAAGAGGGATTCTAGATTCTATGGCTAATCTCGGGGGGAAAATGAAGGGCCAGGGACAGAAGGGCAGAGAGATTTTTGCTTCTGAGGTCTTCATTTTGGGAAGCTATCTTTTGAGGCCAGCACAAGTAATAGCCATTTCTTTTCTCTTTCCTTCATTTACGTTTCAAAATAGAAACACTACTTTAAGGATTCAGAACTACTTCCATATGCTGATCATTCAAGATTTGTGCCTTTTTTTTCCCAACAAAAATAAATGTCAACAACCTGATAGTCTCTAGCAAGAGAAAGTGGAAAACTAGTATATCTGCTGAGCATCTAACATGTAGCAGGAACTACTTGCACCATCATGGGTATTTTTCTCATTTAATCCTGACAGGGACCTTTGTAGGCAGATATTATTATGCCCATTTCATAGATCCTAACATTTAGGCACAGAGAGTGAAGTGCCAAAGCCACAGGTACATGACAGAGCCAGGAGTTGAAACCAAATCTGTCTAAACCCCAAAACACACAGTCTTTCTACTGAAGATCAGATGCTGGCCATAACCACACATAGTAGCTTACAGTCAGCATGCAGAGGTAGAAAGAGCCTTTGGAATAAAATGGGCTAGGATTTGAGTTCCAGCACTGTTACTTATGAGCTTAGAAATCCTTGTAAAACAGACTTGGCTGGGCACAGTGGCTCACGCCTGTAATCACAGCACTTTGGGAGGCTGAGGCAGGTGGATTGCTTAAGTCCAGGAGTTCAAGACCAGCCTGGAAATATGGCAAAACAATATATAAAAAAATACAAAAATTAGCCCAGCATGTTGGTGTGCGCCTGTAGTCCCAGCTACTTGGGAGGCTGACGTGGGAGGATCAGCTGAGCCTGGGGAGTTTGAAGCTGCAGTGAGCCGTGATTACACCACTGCAGTCCAGCCTGAGTGACAGAGTGAGACCCTGTCTCAAAAACAAACAGATACAACAGTGGTTCCTAATTCAGGTTTTTTGGGTATTAAGTGAGATAATGCATGTTATATATTTTGCACAGTACCTAACCCATAAAATCTGCTTATCATTGGGATAATATTAAAGAAACAGTATTGATAAAGAAGCTCAGCTCCTCAGAAAATGAGAATTTCCTTCCCTGCGAAGTGAGGTGATGGATGCACTGTTTGACAAGACAAATCTCAAAGGCCTGTGCTGAGTGGAAGTTGCCCTGCATGTCACTGGTGGTGTTAAGGAGGGAGAGGGGAGTTAGCTAAGAGCAATAATTGAGCAGAACACACAAGTATGTCAAGGAGAATGGACTAAACTAGATTCAGGATACAAGATCTCCAGTTAGGAATGTGCTTGTTTCCTTTGCATTGTCTCAAATTTCCTGAAACTTAGGTCTGAGACATGATGACTCTAGGAGGTCTCCATGCTGCAGATATGTGGACTAGAAATGCATTTGGCATCCTGAGTCCTTAGAAACAAAAGAACACTTGTGCCTATTGCCGGCACGTTTTACAGTGCATGCTCCATAGTCAGTGCTCAATAAATTCCTGTTGACTCTGACTGCTGCTGCAGACCCTGGACAGTAGCTTGGGGAGAGGGTAGGCAATGGCTAAAGGTGTTTATAGGTTTTTCAACAAAATTAAGTTGCACTCCCTTGTGTTATGAGACATTGCTTTTATCCCAGACCTCTCCAGGGTTTTACCATATTTATTTTAACTAGAGACCATCTTGGGAAACAGTTTGAACCCCAAGTGGAATTTATTATTTGAAAGCCAAGTGGCAGGGAAAACAGGGATAACAACGAATGAAATTGAAAATAGAGTATTTCAGTTTAATAAAATTAAAACCAGAACAACACCTAAAATTTTTGGCTCTTTAGTGACCAAGACTTGGCAGAACTTTCCTCGTGAGCCTGGATCCAGGGGGCCTGTTTCAAGAGCAGGGACACGCCTCTCTTTCTCTGCCTGCTCCCTTCTGCACTCTTAGCAGTAGGCCTGTGGGCCCCAGCAGATGGAATAATGGAACTTTGCCCAAACCAGCGACCAGAAGAGGTTGAACAACTTTATTCAGAAGCAACAGAGCAGGCTTTGGTTCTGCCAATGGACATCAGGAAGTGAGCTGTTTGTAGCTATCTAGAGAATTGCCTCATGTGCTTGTCTCTTAATACTATTTGTGGTAGCTGCATTGTGAAACAGTTTAATAAAGCTGGGTAAGACATTGGCACCTAGTGCTATTGAGCCCTCATTCTTTCCTCCACTGCCTTTAACATGTAAATGATATCCATCAGATCCAATCCTTTGATGGCAATGGAGGAGGAGGAGGACACACGTTGCACATTCTCCAAATATCCAACAGCCTTTCTGGATTTCTCAGAGTCCTATGGATAGTAAGTGGCAAATTCAAATATAAAAATATGCTTTTGCTTTCAAATGACTATTAATTTTCTGTGAGTTATCTCTAATAAGTGGGCTTTCAGAAAGTTAGTATAATTTAATGGTAATAGAAATTTTAGGCCAGATGGGGTGGCTCATACCTGTAATCCCAACACTTTGGGAGGCCAAGGCGGGTGGATCACTTTAGGTCAGGAGTTCAAGACCAGCCTGGCCAACATGGTGAAACCCCGCCTCTACTAAAAATAGAAAAATTAGCTGGGCATGGTGGCACATGCCTGTGATCCCAGCTACTCGGGAGGCTAAGGCAGGAGAATCACTTGAACCTGGGAGGTAGAGGTTGCAGTGAGCCAAGATCTCACCACTGCATTCCAGCCTGGGTGACAGCAAGACTGTGTCTCAAAAAAAAAAAAAAAAGAAATTTTAGAATATGACAAGCCATTTCTATTTCAAAATTTATTTTTTCTATTTAAAATTTAGATATGGTATTATATTTTGTGATAAATTCAGACAACTTTACATATAATCCCCCTGCCCTTTGAAGGAAAATGAAGAAAAAGGTCATTGCTTCAAATTGGAGTGGGACAGCTCTGGGTTATGTGGACTTTGGCAGATTATTTAACTTCCTCAAACCTCATTTTTCTTAATCTGTGTAAGGGGAACAGTAATACTTATTCGCAGAGTTTGGATGAAGATTTAATTAAAAGACCTAGCATTAATTCTAGACCATAATAAGGGCTCAACACTTCCTAGTTTCCCTTTAATCCCAGCTAGATCAATTTCTCACCAACTGTAAATGTCACTTTTCAAAATTGTTATTTTAGTATGCTTAACATATTAAAAACAGCCCATATTTAAGATCCTAATATTAAGTATTCCTGTTGAATAATTGTACACAATTAATTTTACTGAGCGACACTTTTATGTCTTCAGTTAATAAAAGTCCATGTTTAGTACCTGAGAGTCCTGTGAGTCTCTTTAACTGTGTTACGGGTAGTTGTGCAGGATTTCCAGAAATTATGAATGTCAGTGGAAATTTTTACTTCTCATTATTTAGTGCACAGTTCTGTAAGATCTGTAATTTAGTGGGTGCAGGTGAGAGTTTTTAGATCACACCATCTGTGAAAGGCCTTGTAAATGTGTAGTGGAATAAACCACTGTTGTATAACTATATTGCCAAGAAAGACTCTGCAGACATACTATCTTAGTATGTTAGAGTTTTTGAAAACTTAATGGCATTTTCAGCTTCTGTAAGGACTCCTGTTGTTCAGACTACTAAAAAACAAAACAAAACAAAACAAAAAAACACGAGTTATTCTAGCATAACTGGCCTTTATTGCAAATTGCCTTATTTTATCTTAAAGAGCAAATGTTTGGAGGAATAATTTGTACAACTCCACTTGTCCTTGGGAGGTAATGAGCTCTAATACTTCTCAGTGCTTAACTTTGGTGGATAGTTATGCACTGCCTGTCGGATTACTTACTAGATTACTTCCCTGATCGTTAGCAATTCTTGTCATTAAGTAGTCAAGGAAAATAAAAGACATGAGCCATTCTCTGTGTGTACATCTAGACAGTCATTTATGCATAGACACACACTCATCACAAATATCCCAAAAGATACTGCTTTTTAAAACTGATTCAACTAGGGAAACTTTCGTTTTCCTTTCATTCATTAAACAAATATGTCTAAGCACCTCCTGTGTGCCAGGCACAGAGCGTATTCGGTGGGAAGTTAGCACTTATCCCATTCCTGACTTCTTAGTTCCTCCAGGTCCCTCCACCCAACAAAGGCCACCATAATCCTGATTTCTTTTGTTTCATTTCAGAGATATTCTGCACATATAAAGGATATATTTGTGTGTGTATCTTCTCATTTTTGTTAATCCAAGTGATAGCATACTGTACATCTCCCATCTTGGAGAGTATTCCAGATCACCCTGATTCATTCTTTGTTTTTATTACTGCGTGGTATTACATTGTATGGTTGGATGATTATCTTATTAGCACCCTGTTGGTGGACACTTAAGTAATTACGAGGGTTTTTTCTCTTCTGTTTCTGTGGCCTTGCTGTCTTTCTCCTGCCTTGCATTTCTACTAACACATTGGTTTAGTTATTTATCCATAATGATTCTGAGAAATTGGATTCAACACCACCTTCATGGAGACCCTTAACCTTGTATGTACTTCCTGATAGATCCAGACAAGCATAAGTATGTTAAATGTACTCAACAAGACCTTATCTTTTCACCCCACAAACTCTTTGTGATTAGCTTGTGATATTGATCATGAACCACCTGATAAGACTTTCAACCCCAGCATCCACTTCTTTAAATCGCAGGGACCTTGAGGAGCACGGACTCAGTTTGGCAGACATCATACCAGTCGTCTGGGCCTCTGTCACTTCAGGTTGCCCACACTGCTCACACTGATCGGTGCTCTCGCAGCCAGGACAGAGCTCAGGAGTGTCCTGTTGTTCCCAGGCCACAGTGGCCTCCTTTTCCTTTGAATGCCCTTGCTCTTCCTATGTGATTTTATTTCCACTATAATGTGGAGACATTTGAAGATCCGTTGAAGCACATTTACTTCAAATATATCATAATTAGCTCACTCCCTTTTGGTATGGCTCTATGAAGTATATCTGGTTTCATTTCTGGAAACCTTAACTGTCAGAAGGTTGCTTTCTCACACTTGGTCATAAAAAATAGGAAGCCCCTTCCCAACTTAAGTCTTTAGAGACTTCGAGGTGACCTTGACCACTGTTGTTGCTTCAGCTGCATCTTTTGCTGTCTGTTATTTCTGCCTTTCTTCTTGTTGACATTACCATGCTCTGCCTCCGAGGTTCAGTTTCCCTTTCTATTGTTCCTCTGTCTTCGCTCTAATCCCCCCACTCTTCCTCTCTGTGTGTCTGTTTTCTGTAGAGCTTGCTTGTTTCGTTGACTATTTCAGTTTATGCCCCAGCAGCATAATTTACCATTCTCTTTTGTTATTTCCTCAGGTAGGTAGTTGATTATTAGCTCCTTATTCTGGCAATAAATAAAATTACATTTTAAGATGTCTCAGAGAAATATCCTCTGTTTCTTTTTTAATTTTCAAAATATGGAAATGTTAAAGGTCATTTTTAAATTGTGTTCTTTTTTTCCCCACTGTTTACAAAATTTCCAAGGCTCAACCTCTAAATTATTTATTTTTCTCATTGATCACTCTATTACCACTTTAAAAATTCAACAAATATTTAGTAAATCTCTGTCACGTACTGGACACTGTAGGCCCTGAAGACACAGACCAACTCCCTGTCCTCTAGGAATTCTAGGGAAGCCAGGCAGTATATGTGATACTTTATCTATTAATTTTTATTTTTTGAGATGGAGTCTCGCTCTGTCACCCAGGCTGCAGTGCAGTGGCGCTATTTCGGCTCACTGCAAACTCCCGGGTTCACGCCATTCTCCTTCCTCAGCCTCCCGAGTAGCTGGGACTACAGGCGCCCACCACCACGCCCAGCTAATTTTTTTGTATTTTTAGTAGAGACGGGGTTTCACCATGTTAGCCAGGATGGTCTCGATCTGCTGACCTTGTCATCCACCTGTCTCGGCCTCCCAAAGTGCTGGGATTACAGGCGTGAGCCACCGTGCCCGGCCTATATGTGATACTTTATTCATTTATTCATTCATTAATTCATTGGAGATGTAGTCTCACTGTGTTGCCCAGGCTGGAGTACAGTGGCATGATCTCAGCTCACTGCAACCTCCACCTCCCAGGTTTAAGCAGTTCCCCTGCCTCAGCCTCCCAAGTAGCTGGGATTACAGGCACTTGCCACCACACTCGGCTAATTTTTGTATTTTTAGTAGAAACGGTTTCACCATGTTGACCAGGCTGGTCTCAAACTCCTGACCTCAAGTGATCTGCCTGCCTTAGCCTCCCAAAGTGCTGGGATTACAGGCATATGCCACCATGCCTGGCCATAAATGGAGCATATGTTCTAGAGAAAATGAAACAGGAAGAGGGAGCAGGGAGTTCACAATGGGATATAGTTTTAAATAAGGTCATCAGAGGAGATGCTCGTTGAGAAGAAGCCATTTGTGCAAAACCTTGAAGGAAACGATGCAGCAAGTACTGGGGATTTACTGAGGGAAGAGTGTCTTGGGTGGGCGGGAGTAGCCAATGCTCCTCCCAGCCAGGAGCCTCCTCTCAGGAGGTGCATGCCCAGAACAGCAAAGAGGCCACCATGGCTGGAGTGGAGCAAGTAGAGGAAATATGTCAAAGAGGCTCCTGAGAACCTTTTTAAGCATGAGGCCTTTTAAGCCATTGCAGGGATTTTGGCTTTACTCTGAGATGAAGAGCCATTGGACAGATTTGAGATGAGGAAGTCATAGATCTTGTGCTATGATGTGTTATTGTCACATATTCTTTCAAGAGGGTGAATTACTAAGCCTTTGTTCTAGCTCATCTTGCGGTAAATATTTTCTGCCCAGTTAGGAGGAAGAACTAGTGATAAATGACCCAATATTTTCTCTTCTCTTCCTTCCACACCCCAGATCTGTTGTGTAAATGCAAAGAACATTATTACTGTTAATGTAATTATTTATTAAGCCACATCTCTAAGTAACCAAAAGCCATCAATAATTTTAGGCTTTCTGCAAAGTCTCTCAATCCTGATTTAAAGTGTTTATTTATGACTTATTTTGGTACTTCTTCCAAAAAAAAAAAGATGAGAAGGTGAGGTTTAAAATGAAAAACATTTAAATTTAAAGGCTATGAAAATAAAACTTAAAAATTAAAATTATGTAGGAAGAAGTAGCAATCCATACAGATGACTATTGTCAAGTGATTTACCACTCAATTTACCCATAAGCGGAATTCACGGTAACCAAACTCAGAAGGAAAACAACAAATAACATAATTATCTTTGTCTGATTTTTCCAGACAATAGCACTCACTAGTCCTTGTACTTCTTACTCTCGTGCAGGCTATCCTGTGAACTTATGTTTCATAATGTCCTTTTTCTTTGCAAAACAATTACTTTCTAAAAATAAACTGGTCAATATAAATTTCACCTTATTTCTACTAGGTTGCTTGTTTATTTAGGCGGTGTCATTTCTGCTGAAAGAATCAACTTCCTGCTAAAATTGTTAATTCACTCACTGTAGGCATTAAAATCAAGGTTGACGGGCCGGGCGCGGTGGCTCATGCCTGTAATCCCAGCACTTTGGGAGGCCGAGGCGGGCAGATCACCTGAGGTCGGGAGTTCGAGACCAGCCTGACCAACATGGAGAAACCCTGTCTCTACTAAAAATACAAAATTAGCTGGGTGTGGTGGCACATGCCTGTAATCCCAGTTACTTGGGAGGTTGAGGCAGGAGAATCACTTGAACCCAGGAGGCAGAGGTTGCTGTGAGCCGAGATCGCACCATTGCACTCACCTAAGCAATAAGAGCAAAACTCCGTCTCAAAAAAAAAAAAGAAAAAAGAAAATCAAGGTTGATGTTACATTTTCTTTTCTTTTTTTTTTGAGACGGAGTCTCGCTCAGACTGTTGCCCAGGCTGGAGTATAGTGGTGCGATCTCGGCTCACTACAACCTCTGCCTCCAGGGTTCAAGTGATTCTCCTGCCTCAGCCTCGCCAGTAGCTGAGATTACAGGCATCTGCCACCATGCCTGGCTAATTTTTTTTTTGTATTTTTAGTAGAGACAGAGTTTCATCACGTGGCCAGGTTGGTTTCAAGCTCCTGACCTCAAGTGATCCGCCCATCTCAGCCTCCCAAAGTGCTAGGATTATAGACGTGAGCCCCCGTGCCCAGCTGATTTTACATTTTCAATTGTCTGTTTCACTAGATTGTCTGCTACCTACCTTGTATCCTCTAACAGATAGTGTTCAGTCCCCTACCCCCAACTCTAAAATCTAAAAAACTCTGAAAACAGAAGTTTATGAAAAGTTGTTACAAACTCATTCAGAAGCAAAAACTTGAACTGAAATAAAGACAATTTAAAAATCTTCATTTGTCCAACTTGCGAATATTTGCATGTTTTGCTACAGAAGTGGTAATAGGTTCAATTATGGGTGCCCTGCAGATTCCGCTGGGAGTTATGTAACATTTAGTACACGCATCTTACTACTTTTCCAAAATTTGAAAATATAAATTCCAAACCACATCTTCCTCCAAAAATTTCAGAAAAGGGATTGTGGACTTGGCAATAGCCAATCCTGGGATAATGATTGGAATAATGTAGGTGCCTAGTAAATGTGAATTGAAGTTTGATTAATATGAGATACTTAGAAATTAGAAACATTTCTGCAGCCAGGTCTTGTGACCTTGAGACCTCAGAGAATAAAATAGATAATTCAGTCTTTAGAAGCAGGACACCAAAATGTTTCCTTAATTGTTCTCTTAAGGTAGTAGTAATTGATCTTAGGTCAGGCTAATAAATCCAGAAAGAATGAAGTGTTACCCTATCAGTCAAAATTGTTCCTATTAGTATCCTAGAAGGTGCTTTTTATGCCATTCACATATTTTGCATGTTGTCTCTGTATCTGTACTTATCACTTTGTATCTTTCTGTTTTTTGTTCAACATTTTTTAAAGGTGTCACATCAGCTTTTTTAATACTGGTGATTTAATTGCAAAAGCACACATAAACAGTTTGAAAGGTGTGAGAAGAAATTCGTAAGTCACATGGGGAAACAGCAACAAAGCTAGCATTCAGTCTGGAATGCATCCACTGTGCAAAACAAATTCAACTGCCAGTGGGTCAAATGGTGTATCCTGAGATTGAGTGAAAAATGAGTTTGATACAAGAAGCGCTTGTTTTATACAAAGGATACAGTGGGAAATATCAAGATGAGATGAATATAGGCTGTACCCTCACAAAGCTGAAGCTTAATAGGGAAAGCAGAACATGTATATAAAATAATAAACTACATAGCAGAACATACCAGACATCATGTGAAGATGAGTGGGGATAGGTTAAATGGAGAGGATGGACTTGCAGAATACATGGATGAGAAGGACGGAATTTTCGCTGTCAAGCAGTGTTGACTAGTAGAGATACACATAAACACATAAATTATTATGGAAAATGGTAAATAACATAATAGGAGCTAAGGAACCATAGATAAGTATAGAAATCCTTGGGGAAGGTAGGCAGGAATTGATCTTCAAGCTGGTCTTGAGGGACACAAGATTTTGCCCAGAAGGCTTGGAGGTAGGTCAAGGAATCTGTTCTGGGCAGAGTAAATAAGATGCTTGTTGTTTGAAGTATCACTAACAGAACAGTTACATACAGTAACTCTTTATATTTTATTGTCATTGCAGGTGAATCAAACATCCCTTCTGGAACAATACAGAGTAGGAAAGGTTTGCAGAATAAGAGTCAGTTTAGGACCATTGCACCAAAAATTGTGCCCAAAGTCCTAACGTCCAGAATGCTGCCATGTCATTCACCATCACGCTCTGATCAGGTGAATCTGGGACCCTCCATCAACTCCAAGCTGCTGGGGATGTCCACCCAGAACTATGCCCTGATGCAGGTTGCTGGCCAGGAGGGGACATTTTCTCTTGTTGCTCTGCCACATGTTGCCTCAGCTCAGCCAATTCAGAAACCCAGAATGTCCCTACCTGAAAACCTGAAACTTCCTATTCCTAGATATCAACCCCCTAGAAATAGCAAAGCATCAAGAAAGAAACCCATCCTGATCTTTCCTAAGAGTGGCTGTAGCAAAGCTCCTGCCCAAACCCAAATGTGTCCTCAGATGTCCCCTTCCCCACCTCACCACCCTGAACTCCTGTACAAACCCAGTCCATTTGAGGAAGTACCATCACTAGAGCAAGCCCCAGCCAGCATTAGCACAGCTGCGCTGACCAATGGAAGTGACCATGGGGACTTGAGACCACCAGTGACCAACACCCATGGCAGTCTGAACCCTCCTGCTACCCCAGCATCATCCACACCAGAGGAGCCTGCCAAGCAGGACCTCACAGCTCTTTCAGGGAAAGCACACTTTGTAAGCAAGATAACATCTAGTAAACCTTCTGCTGTTGCCAGTGAAAAATTTAAAGAACAAGTTGATCTTGCAAAAACCATGACCAATTTATCACCAACCATTCTTGGCAATGCAGTTCAGTTGATCTCTTCAGTCCCCAAAGGGAAACTGCCAATCCCACCCTACTCAAGAATGAAGACAATGGAGGTTTACAAAATCAAATCAGATGCTAACATTGCAGGTTTTTCTTTACCAGGACCTAAGGCCGACTGTGATAAGATACCCTCCACCACAGAAGGCTTTAATGCAGCCACCAAGGTGGCAAGCAGGCTACCTGTTCCACAAGTGTCACAGCAGAGTGCCTGTGAAAGTGCCTTTTGTCCACCCACCAAACTTGATCTTAACCACAAAACAAAACTGAACAGTGGAGCAGCAAAGAGAAAAGGAAGAAAACGGAAGGTACCAGATGAAATTTTGGCATTTCAGGGAAAAAGGAGGAAATATATCATTAATAAGTGTAGAGATGGTAAAGAAAGAGTAAAAAATGATCCCCAAGAATTCAGAGACCAAAAGCTGGGGACCCTGAAAAAATACCGTAGCATTATGCCCAAACCTATCATGGTCATACCCACTTTGGCCTCCCTGGCTTCTCCAACTACACTACAGTCCCAGATGCTTGGGGGCCTAGGACAGGATGTTTTGTTAAATAATTCACTCACTCCTAAATATCTTGGCTGTAAGCAAGACAACAGCTCTTCCCCTAAGCCCAGCTCCGTGTTCAGAAATGGATTCTCTGGCATTAAGAAGCCTTGGCACAGATGTCACGTCTGCAACCACCACTTCCAGTTCAAACAGCACCTTCGAGACCACATGAATACACACACCAACAGACGCCCTTACAGTTGTCGGATTTGTCGCAAGTCCTATGTACGTCCTGGCAGCCTGAGCACACACATGAAACTTCATCATGGTGAGAACCGTCTGAAGAAACTCATGTGTTGTGAGTTTTGTGCAAAAGTGTTTGGCCACATCCGAGTCTATTTTGGCCATCTGAAAGAAGTGCATAGGGTTGTGATCAGCACTGAGCCTGCGCCCAGTGAACTGCAGCCAGGAGACATACCAAAGAACAGAGACATGAGTGTGCGAGGCATGGAGGGATCATTGGAGAGGTGAGTGCCAATGTAATGGAGACCTGGCAAGAGAGTCTGTTTTGATTTGGGGAAGAGGGGAAGATTTCATATTCAGAAAGGAGAGTTTATAAAACATCTCTAGGATTAAGATTTCATAAAGTAGCTATGTATACCTCCTAGATCTGTGAAGAATGATCTTGTTTCTCTCTGGTTTCTGATCATCCATACTTGGAATTACCCTAACCAATCTAGTAAAGTACTGTATATAGTTCCAGTGGTCTTTACAAGTAATTTCCCCCAAAATCACATCCACAGAATTTGCGTTATTTTAAACAGCATCATTTGCCCCAAAATGCGGCATGACCCATGGTTGGGGACTCAGAGTGGGTGGGTCTGTCATGTTGACCCTACCTTAAGGTGCCCAGACCCCACCCTCTTCATTTGCCCTGTTTTTCCCATCAGTTCGGGTTCACTCTTTCTGGTGTCATTCCTTTTTGCAAGCACTGCTTCCTGGTATTATTGCTATGGGATCCTTGGGGTGTCATTTCACCAGCCGGAAACCTCTGTGGCCAGTGGCGCCTTGGCCTGAGTTTTGCTCTGGCCCATTAGGCTCGTTCCACCCACTTGGAACCTAGCAGGCTGCACTCAGCTCATGCTACCGGCCTAGATCCCATGCCTGCCAAGGGCGAGCCAGGCACAGAGTGGTGAGGGATGTGTGAGTGAGCGTGGGGTCTGGCCACTGCGCATAGGCAGGCACGCCGGCTGCTGCTGCAGGCCAGGCAGCTCCAGGTGCCACCTCCTTGCAAGGCTGTGGCTGGACCAGGCACATCACAAGCAGCTTCCACGGTTGGCACCAGGAACATGATGTTGCCCAGAAGCTTGGAGACTAGGGAGTCACTGCCCTGGCTCAGGGGGCTCCCAGGACAGAGCTCCCCAAAGGGCCGCAGCTCTTCTCTTCACCTGCTGTGTGGCAAGCAAGAGGCGTGTTTCAGCCTGTTTGTGTTACAGCTCTCTTAGCCCCACCATTTGGCAGGTCTCAAGTTCTTGTCCTGCGTTCAGGAAGAATGAGGTACACAGAGAAGTAGAGGGTGAGCAAGATGAAGAGGAGCTTTATTGAGTGATAGAACAGCTCAGAGTTGAACTGCAGGGGGCAGTTCCTCTCTGCAGGCAGGTTTTCCCCGTCATCTCTTGTGCTCTCAGCAGAGAGGGTAGCTCCTCTCTGCCACTGGTCGTCCCATTGTCTCTTCAAGTCTGGCTAAGTCCGGGGCTTTTATGTGCCTCAGAGGAGAGGAAATGCGTGCAGTTGGTCCATGGGCAGTCATGGACAGACCCAGAAAAGCACCACAAGTTCCCACTCCAGTCCACATGACTGGCAACCTGGCCCCCAGGCTTCAGGGCTTCTCTGGCTTGAAGGTGGGGCTTCACCGGGGACCTCCCCTTTTCTGCCCAGGAGCTTCTTTGCTCCCTGCTTCTGTTTATGGCACCCAGGCTGTTCATGCTGAGGGGGCACCTGCAGGCTGGCACCGAGCTGTCCTGAGCACCCCTTCCTCAGCCTCCCTTCCATGCTTATTGGCACCCAAAGTCTGGAGCAGGCCAATGGGGTAGGAGGTGGGCATATCAGCACTGCCTCAAGCGTGTGCACACCCAACCAGGTTACAGCAGAGCCCAGGCTCAGCCCCAGCCTTGCTTTGAGATTGGAGCAGGTGCTGACAGCAGGGAGAAGCCAGGCAGCAGGAGCAGGTGCTTCTTGAGCCCGTGGGGGGAAAGGGGCCTTCCTGGACCCCTGAGAGTGCAGAGATGCCTGGATCTGCAGCCACAGCAGGGTAGCTACAGTGATGCCTGGGAGGGCAGGAGCGCTCCTGCCTGCTCCCAGCTTCCAAGAGCACAGGGGTGCCTGGGTCACAGCTGCAGCTTGGGCAGCTGCAGGCAGTTGTGCCTGGTAAGCTCCCACACCGTCAACTTGGAAAGGGCAGGGCTCGTGCTTGTCCCCAGCTCCCACTGGCTCCATGAAGTGTGGCACCACCCCTGGCCCAGCTCTGCCTCAGGGCCCCTCTCTACCCACTCCTGCATGCCCTAGTGTGCTGTTTTCCCCTGCCAGCAGGTGACTCAGCCTGGCCCCATCGCAGTGGCTCTCATGGCGGCAGGTTTCAGGGACTGCCCACCTCCTCTCCATGTTTTCCCAGCAGCAACAGCAGGCAAGGTGCAGGTGGTGCAGTGGCCCTGGCCAACCCTGCACAAATGAACCTGACACTCTCAGGACTAGCCCCACAAGTCCCGGCTGCACCTTCAGCTGGGTGCTCACTGGCTCCTTTCTGAATATGAAATCTTCTCCTCTTCCCCAAATGAAAACAGACGCTCTTGCCAAATGTAGTTTGGACATTGTACCTAAAAATCAAAATCTAACTCTAGGAAAAGAAGGAAGAAGTGAGGTTTCATGGTTCATTAGTGAAAGGCACAGAGGTCTTAAAGGGGACAGAAATGTCTAAGAAAAAGGAGAAACTCTAGAAAAGCAAGGAAGAAATAGGGTAGGCACCCTTTATTTTTACTGAACATGACAGAGTGAGCCAAAATTGAATAGAAGGTATTGGTGCTCAAGGTTAGGGAGAGCCACAGTGGGTAGGGTGGGACCGTTACCTTCAACAGAACCGAGGGTGTTCCCGTGCCCTTCACGCGCTCTTACGTGACTCTTCCACGTGATTGCTCCTGTCCCTGTGGTAACCAAAGACGAGTTAGCTCGCCTGGGACAGATGCGTGAAGAGGACTGTTGACTAAATGAACCCTGGTAGCTGGAGAAATGTGTGGCCACAAGCAGGAGTGACAATTAGTATTCACCACGGTCCTTGCAGAAGGTCTTCCCAGGTGCTCTCTGTTTACCCCAGCCCTTGTCTTTCTCGTCAGTGTTATGTTTTAGATCCCTGAAGGCTGACAGCTGAGAGGAAAGATTCCAATTGCATTTTTCCATGAAATCTTATCTTCATTATTATTGGCCTTTTCAGGGAAAACAAGTCCAACCTGGAAGAAGACTTCCTTCTAAACCAGGCAGACGAAGTCAAATTACAAATCAAATGTGGTCGTTGTCAGATTACTGCTCAGTCTTTTGCGGAAATAAAATTTCATTTACTTGATGTTCATGGAGAGGAAATTGAGGGCAGGCTACAAGAAGGGACCTTCCCAGGAAGCAAGGGGACTCAGGAAGAGTTGGTGCAGCACGCTAGCCCCGACTGGAAAAGGCATCCTGAGAGAGGGAAGCCGGAGAAGGTTCATTCCTCCTCCGAGGAATCACATGCATGTCCAAGACTGAAAAGGCAGCTCCACCTTCATCAGAATGGCGTGGAAATGCTCATGGAAAATGAAGGACCCCAGTCAGGAACCAACAAGCCAAGGGAAACCTGCCAGGGCCCTGAGTGTCCTGGCCTCCACACGTTTCTCTTGTGGTCCCATTCAGGCTTTAACTGCCTGCTTTGTGCAGAGATGCTGGGACGGAAAGAGGACCTCCTCCACCACTGGAAGCACCAGCATAACTGTGAGGACCCTTCCAAACTGTGGGCTATTTTAAATACGGTCTCCAACCAGGGAGTGATCGAACTTTCCAGTGAAGCTGAGAAATGAGACCCCAAGGCAGCCTGGGGTTAAGGAGAGAGCTCTGCCGCCACCTTCCTTCAGAGCTTCGTGCTTTATGGTGGTGCTTAGTCACAAAGATCAAACAACAGGATTGGTGTGAGTGAACAGAAATGATTTTTGTACATGGTTTTATTTTCTTAACGAAATAAAATATAAGCTCTCGAAGCATATTTTTCTAACTATATGCAGTCTTATTTTAAAATACGTACTGATTCTTAATATCTTAGACTTTCAGAATAAATAAAAAGATCAAAATTTGAAGATTGAAATTTAGCAGAATATAGGCTGTTCTTCAAATACAGCTCTCAGTGAAAACATGCATGTGTCCTTCCTTTTGTTCAGATGTTTTCTGCTTATATAGATTGACAAATGTCAAAAATGTCCAGGCAGCAAAACCCTTTTAATCTCAACCATAGTATCAAGTTAGATGGTAAATGCTGATATTTATTAAATTCTCTGGTTTATTTGAATATGATATAGAGCAGTATTTTAATAAGATTGTCATCTACAATAATTTAAAATCCATGTTTTCAGGACTCAGATTTTTGTTTCTTGTAATTTTGCTATTTTCTTAAATGCACATTTCATTGAAGATTAGTTGTTGGCAAGTCTTATAGCTGTAGTGTTCCATATCAAAATAATTTTTTAAAAAATTTAGTACTTCAGCTAATAAAAAGTCTACTTGCTTGGTAAAAAGTTATTTTCAAGTAGTCTTTGGGACCAGAAAATTTACAACCTGGAAAATGAACTAGATAGTTCAGTCCAGATGTGTAGGGGTCTCAACTGCTTTCCCTCACTCCCAAGTAACTTCAGAGGGTTGTCGCTAGCTGATCAATTTTAGATGGAACTGTACTTTTCAAGCCCAGTTCTCTTTGAAAGTCAGAAGTAAATGATTGCCTCTTAAATTCCTGGGAAATTACCTCGAATCAGTAAAGTTGTCATTTGAAGCTTCTGGCCATCCTGGCTGCAAAATCATTTTCTTAGAAAAGTGGAGTTTCAGCACTCATCCTACTGATAATCTCAGTCTTGGATGAAAGCACCATACGTGTGGCCAGCCCTGTTTGCTGAAACTCAGCCCAGGTATGGTCATAATATTTTGTGCTCAAGGAAGTTACCTAAACAGAGAAAGAACTAAATTCTAATTGATAAGCTGATGGATCTTACATCTTTTTTTAATGTCTGATTTTAAAAGCCAGTGTTTGTAGACATGATTTGCCTCAAATAGTACAAGAGAAAACTTAATCTTTGTCTTTTTGCAAATAGTTTTGTAAATTTGGGAATAAGAGAGTAGGGATAGAAATATCTGAAAGATTGTGTTGTGGTTTGTCTGTTGATCACGCTTTACCCAGTTTCAAATAGGGAATATCAGACCTCCACTGTTTGATAGTTTTAGAACTTCTTGGTTAATAATGAAGTCGCTTTACCATTCAAACCAGTTCCCAGTTTGTTTTTTGAAATATTGGTCTCAAAGACATTACCAAATGACTTCTACAAAGAATACTACTTGAATTCAAACCATGAAACTTGAATTCAAACTATGAAATAATTCATAGACTGCTCAATCCTCAGATGCTAAGTCGTATTTTAGAAACACTGGCCGGTTGGCCAAAGCAGAGTGGAGTGTGTGGAGACAAAGGTGTGGGACAGAATACACCCACCCAGCACTCGGGGAAAGTCTCAAGTCCCCTAGATTGTGCAGGAGCCCACCTGTGGCCTTTATTTCCCCACATATTCTTACAGCAAGGCCATAGGCAGTCTCCAGAAAGGAGTACAGTGAGGAATGGGGAAAAGAGCAAAGGTATGGAGAAGATATGATTGGCTCATGATTCAGCACTCTGGCTGGATCCCCATTTCAGAGCAGCTGCATTTCCGAGCATTTCAGAGCAGCAGCTCCAATGTACTAACTAAATTTAGATGACTCAACAGAGCACTGATCCATAGGGAGAGGGAGGGCGCAGGTGGGGAGCCATGAAAAAGTGACACTCATCTTTAAGAAAATTCTTTTTGTTTTTTTGGAGTGCTGCTCAGGCTGGAGTGCAGTGGCACGATCTCGGCTCACTGCAAGCTCCACCTGCCGGGTTCACGCCATTCTCCTGCCTCAGCCTCCCGAGTAGCTGGGACTACAGGCACCCGCCACCATGCCCGGCTAATTTCCTTTTTGTGTGTGTGTGTGTGTGTATTTTTAGTAGAGACGGGGTTTCACCATGTTATCCAGGATGGTCTCGATCTCCTGACCTCGTGATCTGCCCGTCTCGGCCTCCCAAAGTGCTGGGATTACAGGCGTGAGCCACTGCACCCAGCCGAAAATTCTTTTTTTAAGATAAGGAAGGTTAGTGGGGCATAGGACCCTCCCCGGATGTCAGTGTGTATGGGTTCATTTGTGGTACAGTGTTACAGTTCTCAGCTTTTGAAAACTCCCCTGCCTTACAATGCAGACAGCCCCAGTGCCACCCAAAATAAGGAGTTTCTGGCCCTTACTGGTAGTGCTTCATTGAGAATGGTGGGAAGAGGGCCTCCTACTGGGGAGGCAGGAAGATGAGAGAGAGTATTTAGCTAAAGTTACTTTGGGAACAGCTCAGAGCCTTTCTTGGGTGTGGAGATGTTACTGGAACAGTCCCAACCTGTATACTTAGGCCAGAGGTGGTGTGGTGTGCAACAAAGTGCTCCAATACTTACTGTGTGTGGCCTCGAGAGAGTGTCCCCTCTTAGGCTCCATTCTCTCCTCTGTGAAATGGGGGTGACAATCCTATGTCAAGGCACTGTTGTGAAGAGTAAAAGAGACACACACGAAATGCCTGGCACCTGTGGGCCATGTGATAACTGGTGGCTGGTATTTATTAGGCTTTTGGCCAGACTTGGGAGAAGAGGTATTTTGTACCATATAAAAGATTGTAAAAAGCTTGAGTAGACAGATCTTAAGTGCCGAATTCAAGGATGGAAACTACTAGGAACCACAGAAGTTGGCATTTTTGCAGGAAATGCATTTTATTTTTATTTTATATATTTTTTTCGAGTTGGAGTCTTGCTCTGTCATCCAGGCTGGAGTGCAGTGGCATGATCTTGGCTCACTGCAACCTCCGCTTCCCGGGTTCAAGCAATTCTCCTGCCTCAGCCTCCCGAGCAGCTGGGATTACAGGCATGCGCCACCACACCTGGCTATTTTTTTTTTTTTTTTTTTTTTAGTAGAGATGGGGTTTCACCATGTTGGGCAGGCTGGTCTCGAACTCCTGACCTCATGATCTTCCTGTCTTGGCCTTCCAAAGTGCTGGGATTACAGGCGTGAGGCACCGCACCTGGCCATGAAATGCATTTTAATTTTTAAATAAAAACTAGGGTTTGGATTGCATGGAGGTTTGGTAAGTGTCTATTCAATCAGAATAGAAAGCAACATTCACTAAATTATTTCCATGCCAGGTTTCACTTTGGGGCCTGTATTCCTTAGGTCTCAGCCCATGCAGCACCTCATTCCTGCGGTTGTCCCTCTGCCCTTCCCTTGCCCCTGTTATAGCTGTCATCATAGCACCCACCTTGCTGTCCAGAAGCTGAGGGTGGACTTGTCCATCTCTCACACTAGATAATGAGCCTCATGAGGGCAGGAACTGTGCCTGTGAACAGAGGTTCAGCACAGAGCCCTAGGGTCCAGTGGCTGACATGGAATAGTGCACAGCAGATGTTTGTTGAAAAAAAAAAAAAAAGGATACATCAGCTAAATAAAAGCAAAGTTAACACTTTTTATGAATAAACCAGCCTTAGAAGAAACCAAACTTGTAGCTAGAAAGGCATGGAGGCAAACTTGGTCTTAAATTCAGCACATTCATTTTGCTTCATGTCTTTTGCTTCTTGGAAAATTGTCCCAACGCCAGCAAAACTAGATTTTTTTCCTCTTCTTTTGGCCCTAAATTATTTCTGAAAGTTACAGCATTTTTAGATTTGTATTGTTTTATTACCTGTCATTTTTATTCACGTCCGCTTTTGTTGCTCTCTCTCTCTCTCACTGGACCTCTTCCTAGTTTAACTTGACTATTCCTCTGTTAAGCTGTTCCTCATATGGAAAGTTGCCTCTTCATCAGCACACCATAAATAATCCAACCTGGGTGCGTTCCACTGCCTTCTCTGGCTACAGACTCCTCCCCTCCCCAGCTGTGCGGCTCCAGTTGTCTGTGGCCCCAGTGACATGGTTGTTGGCAGTAAATGTTCAACTTCATTTATTTCCTAGAATTCTCAGATCTGGACTGGTTTGCTCCATTCAAGCTGCTGACAAGCTTTGTTAGGTACATATTTTATAGCATCTCCCCTTTTCACTGGGCTCCTGAGAAAAAGTGTCCTGGTGAGTATGACCTGGAATTTAGCAGAACAGGTTTTTAGCTTCAACTTTATTCTGACTTCTCTGACGTTGGACAATCAGAAGCTTATCTAGGCTTGTGGTTTAACCTAATGTATATTTAAACAATATCCACCTCTTCAGGAATATTACTTCTAGAGGTGAACTGTTTATTGTGTCTTATATTTGGTCACGGTCATGGTTATTCCTATAATAAAACTATAGCCACAATTTTGGGGGCACATTTTAAATTTGTGTTTAGTATGCAGACGTTGGCTTAGGAATACATCACATTTTCCATGCTCTGAAGTGTGAATATATTTCAATGCATTGCTCAACTGTAGGAATGCCACCCATTGAAGGAAACCAAATGTGACAACTAAAAGGTGTACAGATTATTCCTTCTTATTTTAATGTGAAGCTAAATTTTCTTTTTCAATTACATTTGCTCCTGTCTTCAGAATTGCCCCACCCCCTTAGCTTAAGAAGAAACAATAGGATGGCAATTCTTGCCATTTTAAGTATGTTCCAAAAACAAAATCTCAAAATTATTAGAATTATAATAGATCATATTTTTTAATAAATAGCCACTGAGCACTCCTCAATGAAAAGATTGTGCCTTTGTTCATTAAATATGAATTTAATCTCCACCTAGGAGTTGCAAAGAGACCACCAGGCCTTTGCAGAGACAAAGCACCGAATTTAGTCTGATTGCTGCCTGAATTGTAATGCATATCTTACTACAAAAATTCACCTATGGAAGAGATCCAAGTAGCTCAAACACATGCACTGCACAGCCAGCCCTAGAGCTCTGGCTGTCTCTGAAAGATATTTAAGGTCTTGTGCTTAGGAACCTAACGTGCTATCTTCTCCCAGTCTAATGCAAATTAAAGCACAGTTCAGGTTTTCATAAGACATTCATTGAACCAAGCCTTTTTGACAATGGTTACACCCAAGGAAAGTTATTCTAAAATGTCCAAGAAAACTAAGTCTTTCAAATGGTCTTTTTTCCTTCTGGAAGTAAAGGGCGGGCAAAGAGAAGCAGGAGGACGGGAATAATGTGTCAAGATGTGGCATGAGGAGCTTTCTGATGATGGAAGGCCCAATGGGGCACTGTAAGGGGAAGGGGGGAACATGTCTCTAGTGTCCAGGTGCACAGTGCCATTAATATTTTGTTGTAACGGAAAGAAATTTGACAGTGCTTATCACAATCTAAAATGCACATTTTGACCCAGGATCTCTATTTCTAAGAATTTGTCCCATAGATAGTACCATACAAGGACACAGGTAGATGAGCAAGGATGTTCACTGCAGCATTGTTTATAGTTAGCAAAAGACTAGACCCAACTGAAATGTCTATCAGAGCTGGTAAAAAACATGACAGTACACCATATAATGGAGTAGCATGGTGTGGTCGAAAAGACTGAAGTGGCACTTTATGGGCTGGAATAAGTATTGTGTGAAGGAAGCAAGGTACAGAAGAAAGTATACCGTGTCCCCATTTGCTGTTTAAAAAGGGGGAAGAAAGAGGGAGAAAAAGGATATATGTGTGCTCATATATGCACAGAAAATTTACAGAAGGTGACTGCACTATTGGAATGTTTTGTTGCATTTTCCTTAAAAACTTTTCCTCATATTTCATATATATGCTTGGCATAGCAGAATTTAACATTATTTACAATCAAATCTGGCAGTATTTTCTTGCATGGCCTTTGCATTTGGTAATATGCTTAGAAACTCCAATGCTTACTCAAGTGTTCATAATTATTTTCGTCTAGTATCATTACAGGTTCCTGTTTTTTTTTCTTTTTTTTTTTGGCAGAGTGTTGCTGTGTCTCCCAGGCTGGAGCGCAGTGGCATGATCTCGGCTCACTCCAACTCCAGGGTTCAAGCGATTCTCGTACCTCAGCCTCTCAAGTAGCTGGGACTACAGGCATGCGCCACCACGCCCGGCTAATTTTTGAATTTTTAGTAGAGACGGGGTTTTGCCATGTTGGCCAGGCTGATCTCGAACTCCTGACCTCATGTGATCTGCCTGCCTTGGCATTCCCAAAGTGCTGGGATTACAGGTGTGAGCCACCGCGCCCAGCCCATTATGGTCTCCTTTATATATCACAGTGGTTAGAAACATGGGCTTTGTTGTCTTATGGTTTTAGATTTCATTCCTGATTCTACCAACTATTTAGCTCTGTAATTCTGGCAAGTTCCTTCATTTTTTTTAACCTTAAGTTCAGGGGTACATGTGCAGGTTTGTTATTTAAGTAAACTAGTGCCATGGGGATTTGTTGTACAGATTATTTCATCACCCAGGTATTAAGCCTATAGTACCCTTTAGTTATTTTTCCTGATCCTCTCCCTCCTTCCACCCTCCACCCCACCCTCCAGTAAACCCCAGTGTGTGTTGTTCCCCTCTATGTGTTCATGTGCTCTCATCATTTAGCTCCCACTTATAAGTGAGAACACGTGGTATTTGGTTTTCTGTTCCTGTGTTTGTTGGTTCCTGTGTTAGTATGCATGGCTGCATAGTATTCCATGGTATATGTATACCACATTTTCTTTATCCAGTCTACCATTGATGGGCATTTTAGGTTGATTCCATGTCTTTGCTGTTGTGACTAGTGCTGCAATGAATGTGTGCATGTGTCTCTATGATAGAACAATTTATATTCCCAGTGATGGGATTTCTGGGTCGAATGGTAGTTCTGTTTTTAGGTTTTTGAGGAATACCAAACTGTTTTCCACAATGGTTGAACTAATTCACACTACCACCAACAATGTATAAGCATTCCTTTTTCTTTGCAACTTGCCAGCACCTGTTTTTTTTTACTTTTTAATTATAGCCTTTCTGACTGGTGTGAGGTGGTATTTCATTGTGGTTTTCATAGGGCATTCATTTGATTTGCATTTCTCTAATGATCAGTGGTGTTAAGCTTTTTTTCATGTACTTACTGGTCACATGTATGTCTTTTGAAAAGTGTCTGTTCATGTCCTTTGCCCACTCTTTAATGGGGTTGTTTTTTTCTTGTAATTTGTTTAAGTTTCTTAGAAATGCTGGATATTAGACCTTTATTAGATGCATGGTTTGCAGATATTTTCTCCATTCTGTAGGTTGTCTGCTCTCTGTTGATGGTTTCTTCTGCTGTGCAGAAGCTCTTTAGTTTAATTGGATCCATTTGTCAACTTTTGCTTTTGTTGCAGTTGCTTTTGGCATCTTTGTCATGAAATCTTTGCCCATTCCTATGTCCAGAATGGTATTGCCTAGGTTTTCTTCCAGGATTTTTATAGTTTGGGGTTTTACATTTCAGTCTTTACTCCATCTTGGGTTGATTTTTGTATATGGTGTAAGAAAGAGGTCCAGTTTCAATCTTCGGCATGAGGCTAGCCAGTTATCCCAGCACCATTTATTGAATAGGGAGTCCTTTTCCCATTGCTTGTTTTTGTCAGCTTTGTCGAAGATCAGCAAGTTGTAGGTGTGTGGACTTGGCTTTACCAGATTAAGCTGAAGTTGTGCTGTTTTCATTAGGGTAGGCCTCAGTAGAATTGTGAAGGAGGGAACATCTGTCCTAATCCCTCAATTGTGGTGCCCCCGTGCATTTTCTCACTTGAGTCCCTACTGCCTAATAGTCCCAGGAAGATGACGACCCACAAATAAAAAAGATGTGTTTACAACCCAAGACACACATTAATACATACAAATACTATACACAGATAGATACCTATACAACTGAGACAAAAGGTTTTATTTTATAAAAATAATACAGTATACAAAATAATTTACATTGTATTTTGATATGTCCTGTTCTAATTCGTTTTTAAAGGCTGGATACCTTGCACTAAGTTGATTTCATGACCCACTAATGAGCAAATAAAATCTGAAATATTTGGCTACAGACTTTTGACTTTCTGACCCCTCCCCTACATCATGGCCTTTCTGGGCTGTCACCCAGTCTCTCAGATCCCTGCTATCAGAGGCTTGATGAATGACGCTCATCTCTTCCCACAAACTTAAATTTCTTAGTCCTTTTGAAGGATGACCTCATGCCAAAGGGATAACTAATGCTGGAACTTCAGACATCCCATGGCCGACCATAAGGTCTCTGGGGGATACTTCAATTAGTGCCCTGGGTGGCTCCCCTTTGCCCCTTTGGAAAAGGGACATTGCCACCCATCTAGGGACTCACCCCAGTAAGCTGCCAGGCCTTGAAATCCTTTTCAAAGTTTTACTTGACTAGAGTTGCCAACTCTTTGGGATTGGGCTGGGTTTGAAATTGTCTCTCATTTCTTTCTTTCTTTTTTTTTTTTTTTTGAGATAGAATCTCGCTCTGTCGCCCAGGCTGGAATGCAGTGGTGGGATCTCAGCTCACTGCAACCTCCACCTCCTAGGTTCAAGCGATTCTCCTGCATCAGCCTCCCATGTAGCTAGGACTACAGGCTCTTGCCACCATGCCCGGCTAATTATTGTTTTGTCTTTTTTTTAGTAGAGATGGGGTTTCACTATGTTGGCCAGACTGGTCTCGAACTCCTGACCTCAGGTGATCTGCCCGCCTCGGCCTCCCAAAGTGCTGGGATTACAGGTGTGAGGCACCGCGCCTGGCCTAAATTGTCTCTCATTTCTTATCCTAATTCAAACAAAATGGTTTGGCAGAAATTAAGTCCTCAGGAGATGCAAATTCAGGCAGCACTGGAGCCAGCAGCCTTCCTCTACTCTTCACCCTCTCCTCCTCCGCTTTCCTAGGAAGCCCACATCTGGGCAGTTTTTCTGGGTGTATGGATAGGACCCCTCCCTTCTCCTCCCCCGGCCTCACTTTCCTGTGGAATGTTCACCTGCTGTTCACCAGGCCTGCTGGGTCACAAAGGTAGAACGTGGTCAAAAAGGGCTCTTAGGCTTCAAGGTAATCTTTGTCTTTCCATCATCTCTCCGGAAACAGATTCTGAAATGAGTCTGAAACTTCCATTGAGGGAAACTAACGCTACTGTCTCCTCGCAGGTCAGATGCCCAGGGCCACTGAAGAGAAAACTCCGCTTTTCATTTAGCTGTCACTTGGCCCAAACCAGTCAAAGGTAACACCTAGTTAATTCACATTCTCCCCTGTGGATTCCTCCGAGGTCCCCCTTTTTCAATTTTAGTGTGTTGGCTTAAAGAAAGTGGGTCTGGTTTCCCTTTTAATAGCAACTTAAGTCCATCCCAAGTCGCCAAAAGACTGATGGAACGACTCCCAGGTCCTCCAGGGGTCTCCCCAAATCCACACGCAGGTCCCGGGTGCCCCGGTCATGTGGAAAACCAGGCACCCAGCGTGCCCACCTGGGGGTCGCAGGCGTGAAGAGCCAGCCTGGCACAGAGCCGGGCTGGCTTTGGGAGGGTCCTCAAGGCTTCCGGGCAGATGGCTTTACCTGGGAGCTGCTGCTGCTAAGCTGTACTTTTCCATTTGCACATCGATGGGAGAACAGAATCTGGCTCTTGCAATGATAATAAAAGGCACTAGGGGAGAAGGAAATTGGCAGGTATTAACGAATAATTGAATGTTTTCATTTTGCTTTGATTTTCATCAGTGTGCTGAAATACTACCTCAAACGTTCATCGTCTTATATGGGAAATAATAATTATAGTAATAATAATTGTTATAACTCCGAGGGCCTTTATTGCTGAAGAGAGCAAGCTTAGGCAATTATCACAAAGAACTCAAATGCTTTCCTGGGTCCTGTGGGATTAATTGGGGATTTCAGCCCAGTCACAATTGGGGAAATTTCCACATCACAAAATCCATTGCTATAATGGACACTAATTGGCCTCCTTGTTGACAGTCCCAGAAGAGAAAGCCCAGAGCCCTAAAACTGAGCGATTTGCTAAAGGGTTGAGACAGTAGATAGGAAATCATGCTGCTGCAACCTTAAGTTTGCTCTTTTCCAGGGATAAGGAGAGTGTGTTGGGCTGCAGGGCTGTCAGTGTCTCAGGTAATTGATTCAGAGATAGCAAAAGGCCTTCTAGTAGTACAAGGAACTTATAATATGTTCGGCAAGACCCTAAGCTACTCCAGCATTAATATTCTTTTAACTTAGGAAAGAAACCGCTGAATTTCAGTTGGTGGCAAAGTAGATAGAGGTGTAGATGAGAGAGCTCGTTCTCCTTATGTGAGAGTGTTTGACTACCTTTCAGGAAAACAGGCTGACTGCTCTCTTTCTACACGAAGTGGCTGGGAGGTGTGATTTGCAGGGACCGCATTAGTCCTAAGTAAAGAGAGCAGGCTCTGGCACATTGTGAGGTTGAATTAAACCTTTCACACTCTGAAGCACTGCATTCTGAATCACATCCAATCATTAGCTAATAATACCTGCCAATTTTCTACTAAGTGCAGTCTGACATTGGTGCTAGTACACCAGGAGCAAGCTCTTAGATCATCCCAATATTTTCTGTCAGATTCATCAACATCGTTGTGAAAATGTCTTAAATGGACAATTCTTCTAGAAGACAATTAAAATAAGACAGAAAAGATGGGCAACCGCTGAAAAGTAAGTTGTACCTGAAGCATGAAGAAAATCTCCCCCCACCCGCTCCAAGAGCTATCTTATTTCCCCCAATTTTAAACTAATATTTATGGTGCAACCATGGCCCTACCGGCCACACCATCCTGAATGTGAACTGCCCAGGGAATAGGGCTGAAAATGGCAGTCCTCTCATGCCAAGGTCTCACCTTGGAGCTGCCCGCTTTTGCGCTCCCAGCCCAGTCTTGCCAGCTTTCTCCTCTGGAGACGGGGCTACCCTGGCCCCACTTTGCCGCCTCACCTCTCCCATGTCCCCAGTTCATTTGCTTACTTGTGTTGTCACTTCCCATTCCCTAGAAGGCCCCAGGCCCTGGGAGGTCCCAGCTGTTCTCCACTTCAACCACATGGGGCTGAGTCCTCCCCTTCGAACAGGGACAGTTTTTTATTAGGCTCCAAACTTGGAGGTAGCCCTCAATTTCTTACAACAACCTTTGGTTCCTTGTTTACCCTCTTTTTCTGCCCAAAGTTAAGTTAAGCTCCACAGGAGCTTGGTGAGAAGGCCCTGTGACCACATTCCTCCCCCCAGCAGCCTGCAAGCTCCACGCAACCTTCATCACTTTGGGGTGAGCTCTCTGCTGCTGGATTCCCTGCCTGGGGCTGTCTCCTCCAGCTGGTGTCAGTTTCCCCCAGCCAAGGCCTGCTGTCATTCCCCAGAGCACCTCCCACCCTGCCTCCTGCTACGGAGTAATGTCTTCAAAGTACACAGTAACATGGTTTCCAGCAGAACATAGGCAAAGCAAAAGTTTACAGGATTCATCATTAGGAGAGAGGGAAGCTGAAGAAGGAAATTGTAAAAGGAAAACATTAAACATTCCCTGAGTGAAAGGTAGGGGAACCCCACTCACTTAGGGAACAGCTGCACCACCTCTCCAGACTCTGGCTCAGTCCAGAAAAATTCCATGAGTGAGGGGGGCATGAAGGCATGGCCCACAGTACTTTAACTGTGGTGGCTGTCCCTGGCTTGCCCACTCTCTTGCTGTCCAATCACATGCAGTTCAATTCTCCCGAGAAAACTGCAGGCGCGATGGTTCTCCACTGATTGTCTTTGTTGCAGTCCTTGAACTCTCAAGGTTGCAGAAGTTGCTAGGGTTCTAACTGTCGAAGTGAATCGTGCTCCTCAGTGTCGAGGGTCAGCGTGCACTGTTTCTTTCATGGAACACGATTAACAACTAAAACAAAGGAAAGATCAGACCGGGTGTGCGGCTCAGGTGACAACGGTGTTCCTGTTCAGGCCAGTTTCCTGCTCTTCCTACCAAACTGGTCAAAGCAATTAAATGTGTGAACTGTGTTATTTATGAGTTTCCAGGGCTGTAAAAGTCATGTCTGTGCTAAGAGACCAAAAATACATATGCCTTGAACACCACAGCAAACACCCTCTTCTGTCAAACAAACAGATATTCTCTTCTCCAAAATCAAAACCTCCACCAACTCAGAAAGTTAGCACAGGACGGATTTCTCGCAGAGAGTGCCTCTCTAGGCAGGTGAGCCGTGCATGGGGCCCAGCGACAGTTGCCGATTGTGATTTATTAGTGGAGGAAAATTTGGAATTGGACTTTACCGTTGGGATTTACTTGCATTTGAAAGCAATGCAGTTAGCAGTCCATCTTTCAACACTGAATGTATTTTCTCTGCTTTTATATCTTTCTGATGAATTAAGCACTTATGTGAGGTGAGGGATTGAAAACACTAGCAGCCTAATCTCTCAGTAGATCTGCTTGCCAGATAACAGCTGTATGGAAAAACACGGGGACCAATTTTACATTGTTTCTCCACCAATTCATACCAGCCGTGAACTGTGATGCTCCCCCCAATTCTACAATGGGCAGATAATGAGAGTTCCTTGCCCTCCAGTTCTCCAAGCCGTTTCGAAGAAGACCTGCTAATTGAATTCAGTTGTTTGCAGTTTTAAATGTTCATGCTTTCCACAAAACAAGAATATATTAAACTCATTTCATCTGTCATCCAAGAAGAATTGGAGCCTGCATTTTTATTACCAACTGACTTGTGTGTTCATCTTTATCCCAGATTTTTTTTGAAATGTTTACAATGTAATTAAAAACAATCAAGTCAAATGATGTATTTGAATTGTTCCCTTTGGGAGAAGATAAAGGAGAAAATATAGCTACAATTGCTTCATTTTTGCTGAGTATTTCTGCCTTCTCAACAGAAATACATCATGTATCTGCTCACCTAGAGCGTTTTGTAATGTCACTGGTGATTTAACAATTACAAAATATTGTAATTAAATGTTCAAATGCTCTCTTCTGTTTTCCCATTACAAATGTTCATGGAACTTGATTAATTTCAGCCAGGACCTGGCTTTGGTAATATTGTTTCCTGCAATGCACACCTCCAGGGAAAACTATGATCTGAATCCTGAAGTCAGAACCAATTAAACTCTTCCATTTTCCCCGCTGCAGCCTGAGGATGAGCCACATTTTTCAGGCACGGCTCAAACAGGCTTGTCAGGTCTCTGGGGCTCAGTGCCCCTGGGCACTGCCTGCCTGCTGCCAGCTGTGAAGAGCATTCTGTAGGTACAGGCGCATAATAGGGAAGAAAATGATAAATCCACAAAGGCAGGGGCCACAGTGGACAGTTCTCAGCTGCAACGCTTACTCAGCATCAGGGTGGCCTGGTCCCGGTCTGGAAGCCCTGCCTATGGGCACAAGAATCTGAGGCTGATGGTCAGAAAGAGGTGGACAGCTAGGAAGTTGTGGAGCAGAAAAATGAAACCATTGTATTCCTAAACGTCAGAAGGGGAGAAATGCTTCCAAGAAAATTAGCCTTTGGGCTGATGAAAAGCAGGAGCATATCCTTAGGTATTTTTTCCTTAGGTATTATAATGGAATTTTTATCCCGAAGCACCAAGATGACTTACCTAAGGCCTGAGAGCAAGCACCAGGGAGAATTTCAGTGTCCAGAGCTCCACGGGCCAGCGGGAATGTGATGGGAGGCACCAGAGGCTGTGAAAGAGAAAGAAAACTGGGTAGAGAAGATGGGGGGGTCTCTGGCTGGAAGAGAGCTGGGATGGCTTGAAAGGAAAAGACCAGTTTGGAAGGAGGGACCCTTCCCAAGCCCTGCAACGGGCTCAGCCCTAGGCGGGTTCAGGCAGAAGCCCTGATGGCCACAGCCAGAGGCCGCTGGGCCTGCAAATGCCCCTCCAGCCTCCTCCACCCAGGGAAGTAACAAAGGCAAATGCTGCTACACTCAGCACTGTTCTTGAATGTAAGGGATGCTTGACCTAACCAGATTCTCCATCTTGGTGCTTCGGGTAAAAATTCCATTATAACTTCTGAAGTCCCGTCAGATTTATGACTGGAGAGGGCTGCATGCGTGGGAATTGAGCTGTTTGTTATGCCTGCCCTGCCTCCCTCCCCCAGCCATCGCCCAGTAACGACAGGTTTACTCTCAAAACCCCTGAACTGGTCTGAAATGCACCTTGCTGTGAGACTGTGGAGATAAAACAGGATTTAAAGGCAATGCATTTTCAACTGGGCAACCTTATCTGGATTGACTGCTCTGGGTTTTCAGCTAAGTGTGAATGTGAAGGATAATTACCGTCGTGTGTTACCTGAGATTACAGGGTTGTGTTCCAACTAATGACACCACGAGAACCAAGCAGTTGTTAATATTTAATCAGTCTCTTGGCCTAACAATTGGATAAATGAGATGTGTAATTACACAATTATAAAAGACATTTCAGATAGGATTGGTACTATTATTAATACTGAAGGTGAAAGATGGGAGAAATAGACCACTGGGTCATTTCAGAAATGCCACCAAAGAAGACCCTTCGAGGGGGGCCTCCCTTATGGAATTTTAAGGGCAGACCTCAAATGCTTTTCCAATATGTACTTGTTCTGTTCCTTCTGGGACTCTCAACATCGAACATCAGGCCAGATGTTTTGTTGATCTCACAGATAACTACCATCAGAGTCTTCAAATGGGACACATTCCAGAGTTGCATTCTAAAGGTGAGTCATGTTTAGTAGCTCTGTGTGCTGGTGGATTTCTGCTTGCTCTCTTGTTTTTTTATTTTGGTTGATGACACTGAGCCAAATCCCAGGACAGTGAACCCCAATGTCACCTTCTGGGAGCGTTTTTTTTTTTGTGGCTGTTTCTCCTCATTAGTCACTCAGTCTGTAGCACCACTCCCTACCCTGGGTGACACTTGCCCACCAAAGGGAGCAGCTTGCACCATCCTTGCTAGAGGATGCTATTGGCAGGCAGTCACCCTGTGACCCACCTGGGTGTTCCATCTTCTCTCAGGTGCTGACAGCTTCTCATGGAAAAATGCCATTTTCTCATTCAGGGGATCAGACAACCAATTAGTTGAGTACTCCTCCATGGTCAAGGCCTGGAAAACACAGTCAAGAGCCATGAAAAGCACCTGGCACATTTCAGCACCCACACAAGCGATGTTGTCCACCAGGATGATGGCAGTTGCCTTATATGGATCAGAGTGATATGTGTGGAATTTATTATGCTCTGATCCGTATCCCTCAAGGATCATTTGTCAGAGCTGCAAGAAAGCCCTTATCCCTTTGCACACATTGTTGATCATTTTCAGAATCACTGGATTGACACATCTGCTGTGCCCAGAAATGCAGTCATGGCAACGAGGGTCGCCCCTCCTCATCTCCCCTGCCTAGCAGCCCAGCTACCAGCCACCAACCTCCTCCTCCAGGGATTGGGCCCAGGTTTCATGGCCTTTCCTTTCTTTCTGGGCTGAAGGGATGGATCTTTCAAGGAGCATCTCTTGCACCTCACCTGTCTAGCAGCATCCCTCAGTATCCAAGGCCAGGCCATTGGCGTGTGCTCCAGTGCCTTCTCCAGGGGTGACCCCTATGACATCAGGAGATGGGAAATGAGTGGAAAGGAATCTGGAGACAGGGAGTCAGTTCATGTTGCAGTTCAACCATCACCCTCTCTTTGTGGCTTTCCCCAGCTTCCCTAGATAGGGAGTCCGTCTCCCCTTGCTCTGGGAACCCTGACTCCTGTGCAAGGCTGACTAGCCCAGGAGACAGACGGATCTGGATTTGCATTCTGGCTCTGCCACTTACTATCCGTGTGAACTGGGGGTGATTCTGCTTCACACACCTCCATTTTTTCACGTAGGCTGGGGTGAGGCTGCACTAGTCAGAGTTTGTTGTGGGGGGAGATAAGAGAAACAGCCCTTGGCAGGCACCCAGCACTTGTTATGCCTTTTTATCTCCTTCCAGCACTCCTCATTCTGGCTGAAATTATTAATGCCACAGACTACAAGTTCCTTGAAGGCAAGGAACGAAGGCTGTTTCAGCTTTGGATTTCCAGCTCTTAACACCATTCAAGGCCACAGTCAGTACTCAGTGAACCCTGGCAATAATCCTAGGGTATTTTGTGTTTTTATGGGGCTCCTCTATCTTTCCTAAAAATTAAAGCTTCACATTTTACTATCTCTTCTTAAGAGCTGAGAGGAAATGCCCAACGTGAGCTCCACTAACTAACAGTTTGATGAATAATGAACTGGACTGAATGCTTGATGCAACCACACCCCTGTCACTTTAGCACCATCGAGGTTGCACCGTGGAGGCTCCCTGCAGGCCATCACATCTGCAGGGTCACTGATGTATAGGTGGTAGAGCCTGTACCGTGACAACTGTCCTTGGACTAGGCTCACGGAGACACACCGTGGGCAAGTCCATCCACGGCAGGCACGTTATCAAGTTTGCAGAAAGAATCGTCCGGTTCTGTATGTTTTGGCTTCAAATATGAAAAGAAGCACATTCAGCCTCTGGAAACTCAGGGATCTGGCACCAGAACATTTCTTAACACATTTGCACTTCAGTTGTTGGGGATGCAAGAGAAGTATTTAAATCATAATAATCACTATTAACTATTTGGAAAAAGTAAGCAGGTGGAAGCCTCTGCTGCCCAAGGGCGACATCGGTTGCTGATTATGTGCCTGATGAGGTGGTTCTTTCTTACAGAACACAAGTGAAGCCCCCCATCTCTCATACCCCAGTTAGAGGGCTGGCCGAGTAAGAGACCCCTCCGAGAACCTCACTATGGCTGTGCATTGCATCCATGTCGGCCCCCTCTCCTCCCCTGGTGCCTCCCCAGCGCTCAGCCTGGCTTCCTCACTGGCTAGTGTTGAAAGGCAGTTCTCAGCTGAGTAAATAATGTTGGTATGAAGCCAAGGCTCTTGAAAGTGAGTTAATCCTTTCTCCGTCAAAATCCCCAACAACAATCTGGGTTTGTTTAACCATTTGGTGTTGGTATTTCAGTGCTTTTTTACAAACATGAAGGGAATCACCCACTTTGGCCAGTGTCCAGAGTGGCCATCACAAATGCACATGTAGTGACTACTCTTGCTCACAATGGATGGCCACATCGCACCCTTCATACTAGAGGAAGGTGGCTGGACATGGATCACACCTGTAATCTCAGCACTTTGGGAGGCTAAGGTGGGAGATCGCTTGAAGTCAGGAGTTTGAGACCAGCCTGAGTAACATAGCATGAGCCTATCTCTACAAAAAAATAAAAAACTAGCCGGGTGTGGTGCCATGCACCCATAGTTGCAGCTACTAGGGAGGCTGAGGTAGGAGGATCACTTGAGCCTAGGAGTTTCAGGCTGCAGTGAGCTATGATTGAGCCACTGCAGCATGGGTAACATAGCAAGGCTCTGTCTCAAAAACAAACAACAACAACAACAACAAAAATAGAAGAGGGTGGTCATTACTCTGCACGGTCCAAGAGCGCCCAGGAGGTCATTATAGAGAACTTGGTTAGCGCTTCACATGTGCTAAGCACGGGACTAAGCTTTTTGCATATGGCAACTCCTTTAATCTCATTATGTCTCTTGGAGTTATAAGGAGGTAGGTATTATTATTATGTTCACTTTACAGATGAGGAAACTGAGGCACTGAGAGGTTACATAGTTGTTACTAGAGTCAAACCCAAGAGCCCATCATACAGATATGCCCATTATTACACTGAAGCCTCCCCAACAAAAACGCCCTCTCTTGATGCCACATACTTGCGGTCTGCAGCTGTTTCCAAAGTCTAAGTCTCCAAGCAGGCGGGGGCCCAGGGAGGGGATCTTGGGATGGAAAGCCTGACCAGGGTTTGAGAGGCCTCTCCCACTGTGTTCTTGCCACCTGGGGACATGCCCTCCTTGCCTTCTCCCACTGCCACCTGACCTGAGGTTACTCAACATCACAGACACACAACTCTAGACTGGCCTGCATGTCTGTCCCAGGTCATCATCCGTTCATCCATCTCTCTGCAGGGGCTTGCACCCTGCCGTGACCTGGTGTGAGGAGTGAGAAGGGGAGGCAGGTGTTTGCAAAGTGACCTACCAGCTTCCAGTTGCAATCTCAATGAACCTATGCTGATGCACTACAGCATAGGAAAAGCTCCTTGTTTGCATCACGGAGCTGGGAAATGGCCTCTTCCTGCTGGTTCTGCACAATGCTGAGCTTTCCTGAGTAATTTTCTAGAGTAGTGCAATTTGCATTTTTGATGACTACACTTTGAAGTAAGTTTTCTGTGTGTCTCTGTGTATTTATTTATTTTTGAGACAGAGTTTTGCTCTTGTTGTCCGGGCTGGAGTGCAGTGGCGTGATCTTGGCTCACTGCAACCTCCGCCTCCTGGGTTCAAGTGATTCTCCTGCCTCAGCCTCCCGAGTTGCTGGGATTACAGGTGTGCACCACCATGCCAGGCTAATTTTTGTATTTTTAGTAGAGATGGGGTTTCACCATATTGGCCAGGCTGGTCTCAACCTCCTCACCTCAGGTGATCCACCTGCCTCGGCCTCCCAAAGTGCTGGGATTACAGACATGAGTCACCACACTGGCTTGTGTATTTATTTAAACATCGACTTGTGCTTAGTTAGGGTCCTTTGTCATGGTTGCCATTTGTGTATTGATCTCTTCTGCAAGACAATGAGCTCCTTGGGAAAATGCATCTTTTGCACTTTGATGGCCTGGTTTTGAGGTTGGTACAGAGGAGGTGCTCAGAAAGTGCTTGTTAACCAGAAGATAAGGCTTTATGTGATACCTGAGATTAAAGTGGCAGAACGGGAGAGGAGAGAAAAGGGGTCACCAGCAGATATTTAGAAAAGGAAAATTATCTCTTATAATCATCCCCAGACCTAAACCATCAACCCAGGAGCCACAAGTAATGCACGATTTAAAAAGTCAGAATAAAGTATCTCTTTGCTACCTCTTTCAATGCTGCCATATTGCCTCTTTCAATGCCACCATATTGCCTCTTTCAATGCTGCCATATTGTCTCCACTCCATCATTCCTCACTCCAGTTAGACACCATCCCTCCTTTCCAGCTTTTCCATCTGCTCACTGATCCTAACTCCAGATTCTGTCTCATCCTGCACTGGCTGATGTAATGTACAGTTGTTTATCTCAACTCTCCTTCCCAGTGGCCTGTTTTGGCATCTTTTAAGGGATTGTCATCATTTGCCCATGGCTAGAAATAAAGGGATCTCTTGCTATGAGCTTCTTAAGAAGTATCAGTGTATCAGTCCACACAGGTTGTCAGTGACAACAAACCAATTCAGCCCACCTCAAGCCAAAAATAATGTGGGGGTGGGCAAGAGGTTGGTCTACCCCACCCAAAATGTTCAGGCAACTGCCTCTAGAGACTCAAACGACGTTATCAAGGTCCCATCTCTTGTTCCAAATGTCTTTGGGACAAAGTTTGGGCTGTGTTGGGTCTATTCTCCAAGCAGACCCTGCATGCAGAGATGGGATGGATGCTGGTGGCCCCAAACATGTCCTATATCTCACAACTGCACAGAAGGGGAGATGGCATCCCCAGTGGCCAGCAAAGTCCTAGGGAGGACATGGGGGGTGGTGATCATGGGTTTAGGTGGTGTGCCCGTTCTTGTCCAAGTCTAGTTCACAGGCCCACCCTGGGTTCACTCGAACTTTGTTCACTAGAACAAAGAAAGCCCCACCCGAAGCCAATGGGAACATACACACTATGGAGAGTGGGCTCAGGCCCCCTCAAGGAAGACATGCCAAACAGACAAAATCAGAGCTCCTTTCCAATAGCACAGTCCCCTACGTGTCCTCCTGCCTTCTTGGATCTAACACAGATTTCCTGCAAGAGGAGTTCATCTTTCCTGCCCTTGTTCACACAGCCAGGTCTAGAATGCAGGTTTCCTAACTGCAGGTGCGGTCCCCATTCCTCGTCCCACACCACTCCTTCACACATAAAGACACAAATGCACACAAACGTGCAGTGCACGTTCACCATCGATCCCTGGTCAAAAGCACCCACAGCACAATTTACCATTGTAAAGTTATGGAACCCACCTAAGTGCTCAATGGCCAATGGTGGATAAGGAAAATGTGGTGTATATACACCATGGAATACTACTCAGCCATTAAAATGAATGAAGTAATGTCTTTTGCAGCAACTTAGATGGAGCTGGAGGCCATTATTCTAAGTGAAGTAACTCAGGAATGGAAAACCAAATGCCGCATATTCTCACTTGTAAGTGGGAACTAAGCGATGGGTACACAGGGGCATACAGTGACATAATGAACATTGGAGACTCAGAAGAAGGAGGAGATGGAGGGGAGGGATAAAAAACTACATACTGGGTATGATGTACACTATTCAGGTGATAGCTGCACTAAAATCTCAGACTTCACCACTGTACAATTCATCCATGTAACCAAAACCCACCTGTACCCCAAAAGCTATTGAAATAAATGTAAATCAATCAATGAAATTAAACGCCCATGTCAGCAGCAGCTACGTACATGAGGTCCTGGGGGCTGGGTTAGCAGGCAGGCTCTGCTGACAGCTCCAAGCACAGGCCCTCAGCCTTGCTGCACACGGGGAGCTCTGGGGGAGCTTTCAAAACCCTGAGCCTGGTCCCACCTCAGAGACTTGGATCTACTTGGCCTGTGCTGCTGTGATTTTTGAAGTTTTCCAGGTAGTTCTGGGGTGTGGCCAGAGTTCATTAGCACTGCCTTGGGCGGAGTTGACTGGTCTGTAGAAATGAGATCTCAAGTTCAAAGGGGGCTTGGCATTCTCCATCTGGTCCTCCAGTCCCTCACTCAAGCTCCGCCCTTCATCCTTTCCATGCACCAGGCAAGGACTTTGCAGCCAGAAAGGGAAAGGCCAGGGTGAAACAGGGCTCTCAGGCATTTGAATAAGGTGTGTGGGAGAACAGAGGAAAGATGGATTAACTCTGCCCTGGAGACTTGGGGAGGGACTCCCAGAGGAGGTGGCATTCAAGGGGGACCTGGAGGCCTGTGCACAGAGTCAGCAGCACAGGTGATGGCACAGAGGTGGACCATGCTGATGACACGAGCTGTGGGGGCTCTGGGTGTGTGTGCAGGGGAGACAGGCTGAGCTGGGTCCCACCTTATCCTTGGGGTCATGGAGAGCATGGGGGATTTTTTTTTTTAAGTAGAATGTCAGGATTTGTTTGGTGTTTTGTTAATTTGTTTTATTATTATTATTATTATTATTATTATTATTATTATTATTATTTTATTATTATTATCTTAGAGACAGGGTCTTGCTGTGTAGCCCAGGCTGAAGTGCAATTGCATGATCACAGCTCACTGAAGCCTCCAACTCTTGGGCTCAAACCATGCTCCTACCTCAGCCTCCTAAATAGTTGAGACAACGGGCATAAGCCTGGTTTGTTTGGTTGGGTTTTTTTGTTTAGTTTAGTTAGTTTTGTTTTGCTTTTTTGCTTTTTTTTGTCAGCAGCAGCTAAGTACGTGAGGTCCTGGGGGCTGGGACAGCAGGCAGGCTGTGCTGACAGCTCCAAGCACAGGTCCTCAGCCTTGCCGCACACAGGGATCTCTGAGGGAGCTTTCAAAACCCCGCGCCTGCTTCCACTTCAGAGACTTGGATCTACTTGGCCTGCGCTGCTGTGATTTCTAAAGTTTTCCAGGTCCAAAATATATTTTGACCTCAAAATGTATTAATTTGTTTGTTTGTTTGCCCTTGACAATGTTAAGGTTGGATCATCAAAGGCAAGGAAAGCTTTTAGGAGGCAGCTACTTTAGTCCAAGCCAGAAATGACAGAGGCCTAAACTGGGAGGTGAATTAGACACATTGTCGATTGACAATTCCTGGGTGTGGGCCATGCACACCAAGAAGGACACACAGGTGGGAAGGGTTGAAGGTGGATGCAGCAGGGCCTGGGGACAGCTGGATTTCAGGAATTAAGGAGAGGAAGGAAAGGGGGCCCACTTCCCCACGTCCAGCCATGCTGATAGTGACACCATTAACAAAGACCAGCAATCCTAGAGGCTACTGGGCGAAGAGAAGGCTGACGAGAGTGCCTGTGACATGATGAGGTTGAGGTGCCTGTGGTCATCTGGGTGGAGAGATCATCTTTTTCCTTTGTGTTCTCTTTCCTTCCAGTACCCATCTGTCACCCTGTTGTCAATGCCACCCTTGGAGGGATTCAGAAGGGGCGATGGGTGTTCAGAGTGAGGGGGACACCATTCTCTGGCTTGGTATGGATGCCGCGGGCTCATCCCAGGACCCTCCTAGTGTGATGAGCGCCGCGGCCCCTTCTGCCCCCACTGTTTGCTCCTCCTGCCCCTGAGAAGCCCTGCACCCACACTGGCCAGCCCTGAGAGGCCAGCAGGACCAGAGGGTGGCTAAGGAGTCCCGCAGAGCAGGGAGGATGGCACAGAGGCCGCAGCAGATGGCCACAGTGGCACCCAACATGGGTTTATTTAAAAACGTGAATTGTTCCAAGGATGGGGCTTTATACCTTCAGCAGGGAGGGCACTGGAGCAGTTTATGGGCTGTGTCATTGTGCATGCATGATCTCCATAGAGATTTGCTTTTGTGTTCTGTTGAAACACGCACCGCTCTAGCTTCTGCATTAGGCCTGCTCCTCTGGAGGGAGACAGAACTCCTCCTGAGGAAGCCTGTGCTGCCACTGGGCAGGGACAGGGGAAAGAGCTCAGGGGATAGAACTGAAATAACCCGCGCCACCTCGAAGCTCAGCCATGGATTGCAGAGGGCGGGAGTGGCTCCTTCCCTCCCAGCCGACGCCTCTGACTCCCTCCTCTCTCCTCACCTGCTCCCCTCTCTCCTGGCCCCCTCTCTGAATCCCTCTTCCTCCTTCCCCTGTGGCTACCCATCTCTTCTCTTCTCTCCCTCAATCTTCTTTAGAGAATTTCTGACACGGAAAGTTGCTGGGGGTGACACCTCTCATGCACACTCCATTTCCTCATCTCAAAAGAAAGCCCTTGGACTAGATGATTTCTAAATTCCTCCCCAATTCCATCACCCAGCCCCTGCTGGAGCCCCGCCCCATCACTGGCCCCTAGCTCGAAAATTATGTTTTACAAGTGCTGTCCCCCAATAATTCTAGATTCGCAGTAAATCCCTAGTCCCCCTAAAATATCTAGAAAAGTTTCTTCAGCTTTTTGTTAGGAAAACTTTACTGCCATAGGCACACAATTTACTTGCTTGTCATTTTTCTTTCCTGGCTAGGCAAGAGCCAAGGAGGTAGCACTTTTCTTCTGCTTCACTCCTAGGTACCCACGTCACTCGTAACACTCCCAGAAAGTACCCAAGTCACTGGTAGCACTGAACACAAAGCCACCAATGCACAGAGGAACCTTATCTTGACTGGGGTCGCCTTATCTCTGGCCACACACTAAATGCTGTGTTGTGATCTTGCTTCTGAACTTGCCTGAACTTGAGAGACTCAAAAGGAAGCTATTTCTTTAATCTGTCACAAGCAAAAGGCATTTCACTCCGGTCGTTCTTTAGTGACATTGCTGTCGAAGGTCTCTTAGGAGAGAGACTTCCAACAGGAGTTAAGAAGCCACACTAGCAAGGTTAGTTCCAGGCCTTTTGCTTTGAAAGTGTCATGGGCTGGGCATGGTGGCTCACATCTGTAAACCCAGTGCTTTAGGAGGCTGAGACATGGGAGGATCACTTGAGCCCAGGAGTTCGAGACCAGCCTGGGCAATATAATGAGACCCCCATCTCTACAAAAAATTTTAAAAACTAGCCAGATGTAGTGGTGCACACCCATAGTCTCTGCTACTCAGGAGGCTGAGGTGGGGAAATCACTTGAGACCAGGAGTTCGAGGCTGCAGTGAGCTGTGATCACGCCACGGCACTACAGCCTAGGCAACAGAGTGAAATGCTGTCTCTATAAAAATAAAAAATAGAAATAAAGAAGATTCCCCAGGAGGAAGCAGATGCTAACATGGGATTCCTTCTGAAATTCTCCAGGAGCTAGTGAATGATAAACACAGCTATAGCAAGGAGTTGTTAGAGGGAGGGCTTTATCAGTCACACACGTTATCGGATTGAACATTTCTACTCTGGCCTGTTAGAGTCTGTTCCTAAAAAATACCTCAAAATATATTAAGAGAGGAATGTCTCTGAATAAAAAGTTCAATCCAAAATTGCATTTAATCAAACGCAGTCACTTTCGAGGCTGGAGGTTGAAGGCATACCCAGAGAAGGGGGAAATGGGAAAAGTGAACTCAGTTGGCAGGAACAAACCATGACTAAATCCATCTCATTTCAGTAAAAACAGGCATGAGAGCGAAAGCAAGTTTTAAAACCGAATTTTCCCAGCATGACTCAGGGATTGTCTTTCTTATGCCAGTTTTCAATTTGTTTTTACAGATGGAGGAATGGGGGCTCACAGCCTTATCTAATCTCCAAATGAAGAATGGGCCCATCTGACATATCCTATGAGCACAAAGCTTAGGGGACTCTTCACC
This sequence comes from Homo sapiens, assembly GCF_000001405.40. Taxonomy (NCBI): domain Eukaryota; kingdom Metazoa; phylum Chordata; class Mammalia; order Primates; family Hominidae; genus Homo; species Homo sapiens. The sequence continues at coordinate 30,820,346 of NC_000010.11, read as the reverse complement.
GAAACCTAGACAAATATTTGAATGCATTTTTTTTTTTTTTTTTTGGAAAGGGAGATAACGTCCAATGGGTCTGTTTTATAATGCATTTGTGTAAGGGGAACGGGAGGAAATGAGATTTAAAAATAAAACTGTTTACTTCAGAGGCTTGGGTTATAAAAGCATAGGTTTCTCTTTCAGGACTCTCTGAAGTTGGAAAGTATGAATTACATATACTCATTAAAATGTTTTATGTTAAATTCAAAGAGTAAAATTAGAAGCCATGTTAATGATTCAACCATGCAACAACTGGTCAACAGATGTTGGAACCTTATGGTTAAAAGATTACATGGTTTGAGCTGACAATTTACTGTATGTGTCCCTGGCAGAGACGAGGTATAACAAACATATTATCAGACACAGAAAGTATGCAGCCCCAGAAAGAGGGGACGTGCAAATCGGACTGCCTTCGATGCTTTCAAAGCAGCACATTTTCCCCCTAAACTGATATTGCAGAGAGCTGGGGTTTTTTTTCTTTCCTTAAGAATGAAGAGTTAATCTTATCTAAATTCACAGAGCCAGAAACCTGTCATATTAAATCCCAGGGAAGCCCAACATTCTTTCCAACTTGCTTGCTTGAAATGTAGTTGAGTTTTCCAGTGATCTGCTGGCTAACTAGCGTCATGCAAAATGGAGCCGTTCCTTACGGCTTTGCAGGTCTCTGGGATTCCAAGCTGGGGACTTCTCTCATTTTGGGGAAAAAGCCTGGGACCATGAAGGGAGGAAACTGGAGAGAAAGGCCAGGATGGACTCTGGGCGGCTGGGCAGAGACTGTGTGCAGGTTCGTACAGCTCCGGGCGGTTACAGTTCTGGTCCCCGGCAATGCCAAGCACCCTGTGGAAAAGTGGCCCAGGCTTCAAGCTTCAGAATCGGACTCCTACCCCTTAAAGCTGCAAGCTAGCAGAAAAAAAGAGAGCTGCAAGGGAGCTGTGAAGGGGAAGGGGTCTCCTCCGGAGGGAGAGACGACTGGGATAGCCTGTTTGGGACTGAGTGTGGGGAAATGTGACAAATTCAGCCTTTTCATCGTGCGCCCTGAGCCGAGCAGAAGCGGGGCGGTAGGAGATGATTCCGCTTGCTCCGAGTTTCCAAGCTCCTTGCTCCTTTCCAAATTGCTTGCGGCAATGTAATTCTTTCCTTCGGGGACAGGCAGAGCTCCACTGTTTTTCTGGTTTCCAGGGTGTGCCCATGAGTTACCCAGAGTGGGTGGAGCGGTGGGGCCACTCTGGAATAGCCTTGCGGCAGACGCGGCTGACTGCCCTCGAACAGAACTGGCGGATCCCAAGAAACCAACCACGCGGCAAGATTTGGGGAGCCCACAGCTTCTACTCAGACACCCCTGCAGAGTGTTTGCTCATTGCTAAAAACGTGCAGGCGTCGTAGGGAGTGTCCCCAGAGGCCATTGCCTAGCTTGCCTGCAAGCCCTTAGTGAGCACCTGCCCTGTGCGAGGTTCCGAGCTCCACTCACGCAGGTCCTGCCCTCAGGAGCTCACTGTATTGCAGAGACACAAGAGGACACCAGGGTGGCTGTCTGTTCTGTGCTGGGGGAGGCCAAGGGACTCCTCACCTGCCCATCTCTCAGGAGTTTCCAACCTTTCCCCGCCAGTCCAGTCTGTGACTGGCAAGTTACCAACTGCCCCTCTTCCTTGAAAACAGCCACCTTCCTAGGTGGGTCCTGGGTCTCTGAGCTTTCCTGAGATCTAGAGAGAGGAGGAAAAAGTGTCTCTGTCACAGCTGGGGCTTCCCTAGCTGACCCTCCTCCCCCGCCACCTCTGGAGCTGAGGTTAGCAAAGCCGTGCCTACATCAGCTGAGCTGGGGAGTTTGCCGGATGAGCAGGCCTGGTGGGGCAGTGACGTTTGAACATGTCAGGTGGACAGTTGTATGTCAGGAGGTGAGAGGAGAGGGGTTGGCTGGAGAGAGCAGGTTGGATTCACCAGCACTTGGAGCACCCAGAGGGAAGGGGACCCGCCAGAGAGGGCGAGGCCAGAGGAGGCCAGACGAGCCCGAGGGCAGTGAGGTCAGCCCCTCCACCCGCCAGCCTGCAGGGATGCCTCTGGGTCAAGGCTGCATGAGCAGGGTCCTGCTTGGCCACTTATCAGCCCCTACAGCCTTAGAAGCCAAGCCCCAGCCCACTTCCTCCTGTCGACAGCACTGGCTCCAGGCCAGTAGCTGTAGTCATGGCCTGTTGACCAAGGGCTACACGGGCCAGTGGCAGGAAGCTGCTGGTAACTCAATGAACAGACACGAGAGCTTGCAGAGTGGACTCCACAGCCTGCCTTGATTTCAGGTCCAAAGGACAGGTCCAAAACTGCACAGTACTGCAGTTCTGCACAAAATGGGTCCCTCTGCACCGTGGTTGGGTTGACTTTGAGGAGTGAGTTGAACCAGCTTCCCTCCAATACCCCAGTACCATGCATGGGGTTCCCTGGCAGCTCACGGGACAGAGCTTTGGACTGGTTCTCTCTCCAGCATCTAACCCTAGGATGAAGGTTGAAGAAGGGATTTCTCAACTCCTGAGCTCCCTTCTCCCTCTCTCCTGGCCCTCTCCCCAGTGGGGGGGCTCGGGGATCACAGACACATGCCTCAGTCTCGTTTTTTGAGGGCCATGGTCACATACCTAAAACCCAGCCACCTGGAGAGTCCTCTAGATGTTTAGATTCCCATGTTATTCTAGAGGAAACTTTGTTTGTTTGTTTGATTTTTGAGACAGAGTCTTGCTCTGTTGCCCAGGCTAGAGTGTAATGGCGCAATCTTGGCTCACTGCAACCTCCGCCTCCCGGGTTCAAGCAATTCTCTGCCTCAGTTTTCCAAGTAGCAGGGATTACAGGCACCCGCCACCATGTCCAGCTAATATTTTTGTATTTTTTAGTAGAGACGGGGTTTCACCATCTGGGCCAGGCTGGTCTTAAACTCCTGAACTCGTGATCCACCCACCTTGGCCTCCCAAAGTGCTGGGATTATAGGCATGAGCCACCGTGCCCGGCCTCTAGAGGAGACTTTTTGGTAACCTCAATCCATAAATCCATACTGAAAAATATTTGGCTGAAAATCCACACGTCTGGTGTTTTTTTTGTTTTTGTTTTGTTTTGTTTTGTTTTGTTTTCTGAGCATATGACCAGAAAGGATACAGGTCTTAAACCTTCTCCCCAAGGAGGCAGTGTAGTGAGTTAAAGACTTGAAACCCCAGCTCTACACCTTGCTGGCTGTGTGACCTTGGGTATGATTTAGCCTCTCTGTAAAATGGGAGTAGTAACAGTCCCTGGCTCACAGGGTGAAAGGAGTTAATACGTCAAGTTCTTAGAATAGTGCCTGACACATAATGAGCCCTCACCAAGTCCCAGGGACTATTATTACTCTCTGCAGGAGAGTGATAAATGTACACAGCCCTCTCGCCTAAACCAGATTGGAGCCATAGTCAGAAAATAGAACGTTTTACATTATTTAAGCCTGACCACTTGTGTATGCAGAGTCTTGTGTCAAACTGCAGCATTAAGGGGTCAAAGGGAGACCTATTTTGAGTTAACTGAAGGAGTTCTCTCTTACATTTTAGTTTAAATACAGCTTCTGCCAAAGGTGTACTTGGGAACAGGACGTATTAACATAATCTCATCCAGTGAATTAAATCCAGGCCTTGGAATGCAAAGAGAAAGAAGCCAGATGGGAAGGCTGGGTAGGGAGCTACGCACAGCCTATTTGCTCTTCATCCTTAGACTTTCTTACACGTCCGCAGGCCTGTCACTTCGGGGGACCATCAGCTCTGTCTCCCAGCCCCAGTGACCTGCTGTCTGGCAATTAGGAGGTGTACTTTCCAAGAATTCTGGATTTCCCTGAGTCTATAGCTTCAGTCCTCCTTTACCTGCTGATACAGTTTATATGTTTGTCCCCTCCAAATCTCATGTTGAAATGTGATCCCTGATGTTGGAGGCGGGGCCTGATGGGAGGTGTTTGGGTCACGGGGGCAGATGCCTCCCTCCCACGGTAATGAGTGAGTTCTCGCTCTATTAGTTCACATAAGAGCTGGTTGTTTAAGGGAAACTGACACCTCCTCTTTTATCTCTCTTGCTCCCTCTCCTGTCATGTGACATGCCTGTTCCCCCCCTTCCCCTTCTGCCATGAGTGGTAGAAGGTTCCTGAGGCCTCACCAGAAGCAAGTGCTGGTGCCATGCTTTTTTTTTTGAGGTAGGGTCTCACTCACTCTATCACCCAGGCTGGAGTGCAATGGCACCATCTCAGCCTCCTGGGTTCAAGTAATTCTCCTGCCTAAGCCTCCTGAGTAGCTGGGATTACAAGTGCCTGCCACCACGCCAGGCTAATTTTTGTATTTTGAGTAGTGATAGGGCTTCACCATGTTGGCCAGGCTGGTCTTGAGCTCCTGACCTCAAGTGATCCACTTGCCTCAGCCTCTCAAAGTGCTGGGATTACAGGCGTGAGCCAGTGCACCCAGCCCTGGCACCATGCTTCTTATACTCTTTGCTGAACCATGAGCTAAATAAACCTTTTTTCTGCCTAAATTACCCAGCCTCAGGTATGACTTGACAGCCACGCCAAGCAGACTAACACACCTGCTCACAGTTTTTGCCAGCTCTGCTCCTATCTGGGCATGATTCTGGAGCTGAACACAGCCAGGAGCTCCAGGTCCACCTGCATTAGCCTCCCTCAAAGCACAAACATCTGTGAAAGCAGAGGCTCGAGGGACCATTCACTTTTGTTTTCTTATAAATGGTAAAACAAGTACATAACCACTAAAATTAAAAAAAAGTGTGTGCACCTAGACTTCTAATGTGATGGCATCACACTTAGGACATGCTGTTCTAGCAGCTTTGACTGTCAGACCTGGAGTGTCCTTACAGCCACCTCACTACCTTGTTTGGGAAGTGGTAGACTGAGGCAGGAGAGAAGCTAAAGGGGACTAGATGCACGTCTAGGTCTTGCCTAGTCTGGGCCTGCATGGGACATCCATGCATTGCCTTTCCCCACGAGCTCTTCTTCCTCCCACACAAGCAGAGGGCTCCTGGGAGCTCTGCACACCCTCTAGCAGGGGCAACCCCTCCTTGCTGATTCCCCACATTCACCCAAACCCACGTATGTAGACGGCTCCCTGTGGGCCACTCTGGAGACACATGGGGAATGAAACTAAGTCCCCACTGTGCACTTGCAGGACTGTGGGATGATTCCTAAGTCTTGGCCACTGAGGTGACTCTGTAGCTCAGCCTCTGCACCAAACTCCCAGGGATGGTCCAAGTCTTAGCCAAAAACTTTCCAGAACTTTCTAGAATTTTCTAGAACTATAATTCCAGAGATGGAAGGTCTTGGTGTCTGATCATTTGGGGAACCAGCCCACAAGGAAGGTGTTTTCCCAGGTTTAGGGATTGAATCAGGCCTTCTAGTCTTTGGTCATTCCACCCTGAATGTGCCTGATCTCGTCTGAATCTGGTGCTCTAGAGCTGGGGTTTGATCAGCTGCTTGCAGAAGTCAGATTCCATGGACTTCTAGTGTTCCTCAAGATGTTCCATGAAAGTGGACTCTATTTAAGGAAGTTTGGGAAACATTGCAGACACTTATTGCCTCTGGGGGAGTTATAACCATATTATCTCATAAAAGGCTCTAAGAAATCCTATAGGAGAGAAGTTTGTTTAACACTGCATTTTCCTAACACGCTTGATCACAGAATTCTTTTCTTGCAGAACACATAGGGAGAACACAGGATTATATTCAGGACCTTCCCGTTCAATGCCCCAATATCTTGTTTTCTCTGGTCTGGTGGTGAGCTCTCACTCAATAGACCGATTTTTCATGATTGTAGTCATGGAAGCCTTCCTTACCCTTCGCTCCCATAAAAAACTTAAACACAGGGAAAAAAAATAAGTTTCTGGCCTCAATGGAAGTAAACAGCTGGAACTGATGAATTCCAGAAGCAAGTGTTCTTTTTTTTCTGCAAGAATCTATGAGAGAGAGAGAGACAGAGAGAGAGAGAGGGATTGGGGGGAGAGAACACAGAGGCTATGTAAATATAATTATTTCTAAGTAGAGTACCTTCAACATTTTCCATTAGGTAGCAGTGAGGTCACTGTAAGGCCAGCTGTCCAAATATGGGCACTGATTCCCCTGAGTCAGCAAAGCATATAAAAGAATTTCTCTTTGGGGACAGAAATTTCTTGCCACACATTAAAATAAGTACCTCCAAGTGCATGGGGTATTATATTTAGGGTTGTGGCTTTCAAACTTATTTTCAAAGCAGGATAAACCCTTTTTTCCAAGAGAGATGTGATTCAGAAACCCCATTGCACAGCCCCCCAGGCCAGCACCTGAGTCATCTTCAGGAAACCCAGGAATCTAGTCAGGAAACCTGTGGTCTAGGGCCCTGCTACTCAAAGTCTGGTCCACAGACCAGAAACTTCTGCATCACCCTGGTTAGCCATACAGAGCCTCAGCCCCACCCGGACCTGCTGAATCTGAATCTGCATTCCCACACCATTTCTAGGGGATTTGCATGTACATTAAAATTTAAGAAGCAGGTCTAGGGGATTTACTTCTGAATATTTCTTCTGCCATTGGCTCATCCTAAGTACTTGGATGAAGCTTCTTGAAAATTAGTCTGAAAATGTTAGGCTTCCAACCCATCTATGCCTCTAAGTAGGGTAATCCAGGATCGTCGTGTCATTGGCTCAGTGCTTCTCGCCTCTAAAATCTAATCCTTCCCTCTCCCTTCACAGACACAGTGGGAGAAGAAGCAAGGTGTGTTTGGGACGAGGCAGAGAGTAAAGCCAAGACTGTGAGCAGAGGCCCTGAGTTTGAGCCTCAACATTCCTGCCTCTCCTCTGCTGACCTTGCACAGGCTAACTAAAGTATCTGCCAGTTTATCCTCATAGGTCTACAGGGGTGGGAGATGACCATGATGATGATGGTGGTGGTGGTGATGATGATGATGATGATGATAGTGGTGGTGGTGGTGGCGATTATGGTACCAGTACCCATTAAATGCCTGGATGGGCCAGAAGCACTTAGAATCACAAGGTACCTGGTAAGAGCTTTTATTCCCGAGTCAGTGGGAGCTAGCTTCATCCAAGGGCTTCACTTCAAGGAATGCACAAAGGAAAATCTGGGTCTATCAAACAGATAAAATAGGAGTAATAGAGAGTCACCATAGGTGATTTGCAAATAATCCCACACTTAAAGTGTGATGGAAAGAAAGAATGCAACTTAAACTTTCTGATTTACATTGTCACGTTTTTTAGACTTAGAAAAATCTGTTTCTGCTTGGGCTGCTCTACTGATGAGCTCCACGACCCTGGACAAGTCCTTCAGAGCTTTGATCGCACTTTCCTCATCCAGGGTCGGGTAGGAATCCTGCCCTGTCTAGCTTGTGGGAATCTAGGAGGAGGGCCAAGGGAGAGAGTGGGTATGCAAGGGCTGGAAGTTTCTGAAGCTCACATTAGAAGTGAATAGAAGCGCAACCGGTGCCCTAGCCTTCCAGTCTCTGATTCAGCCTCTGCAGAACCGGAGAATGAGAACGTGCAGAGGTCCTTTCCTGCTGGGGCAGGGCAGTGGCAAGAAAGAAAGAGCTCAAAATAGGAACGTGCTCTCTGAAGAGCACAGTGCAGGCAGGAAGTCTTATCCTGCCAGTGTTTCTCCCACGAACACATTCTCTTTATTCTATGAGACACCAGCATAAGGTCACCTGCACGCTGAAACAAAAGGAACCCCCCCCGCCCATTGGAGCTGAGGCTGGGGAAGCAGCCAGGCCAGGGCATAGAGGGGTCCCTGGGGAGGCGGTTGTTGCCAACACTGAGCCAGGCGTCCTGTTGGGGCTGGGTGTATGCATGGGCCACCCTGTGCTGACCCCAGGGATCCCGTGTGCCAGCTCCAAAGGCAGCCCCTCAGCAGGGGCAGTTGGGGACGGTGCTGGCAAGCAGAAAGCTTTCTTCCATGGTGCTCTGAGCCTCTGCAGCCTCTCTGGTTTCTTGGCACCATAAACTGCTTGATCTCCGTCCAGTGATTTGCTCCTATAAACAACAGAGAAGAAGAAAAAAAATAGAAAAGTTGTGAAAAACAGATACAGGGAATTAGGTCACCCTAGAAATTCTAAAACATCAGCAAAGCTCTTGTTTAACATGATTCATTCAGCGACCTCTGACCACAGCCAGGCCTTGAATGTGGAGGCAGAATGTAACAGTGGAGACTGAATGGAGCAGACGGGAAGAAGGTTAAGGTGATCCTTGGCTCGGAGGTGGGGGAAGTGCTGCCGACAGCTTTTGTTCTGATGCATGGGTCTGCTGGAACCGGGGAGCAGAAGGTGGGGGGTGCTGGACGTTCTTTTGGATCCTGATGTAGTAACTGATGCAGGCTGGACCTCTTCATGCAATTCAGCGTCAAGCTCTCCAACTTACAGAGCACCAAGCCAAGATGTTTGCATGGGAACACACGCCACCCCCATCTTTGCGAACTTCATCATTGCACTTCCGTTTCCTTGATCTTGATGCCAATGTGGTGTTTACCGGAGACCAAGTAGTCGCCGGAGATTTATGCGGCAAGAACACCTCCACTGATGAAAGCAAGCCTTCCGCTTGGCTGCAGCCTGGAAGCCACTTAGAAGACTATTTATTCTCTATGCGTCTCTCCATAGACAATCACCCATCGTGGGGAGCACATTTACACCTTAGTCAATGGAATGCATTTTAATTGCGTTAATAAGAATTGAGATAGGACTAAAGACAAAAGGCTCACTCTGTACAAAATTAAAGACTGTTGCTTGTGCTCAAGATCCTGTGGCTAGAGGAGCTTAGACAACAGGACTGCCTGTCTCCTGGGAGCCAAAAGCAGCAAGGAAAGGGATCTTGTTTGCCTTGAGAGAAAATGCAGCTAGCGGCCTGTTGCCTGGCTGCTGAGGGTCTGGAAGGGGAGGGGGCTTATTGGTGGAAGTTAGATTTAACCTAAAGGGAAACGAAGGAAAAAAGAGTTGTAATGTTGTAGAATGGGCGCTCATCTTAAGATTAGCTTGTAGGCAAGCTATTTAACCATTCTATTTCCTCTTCTGTAAAATGGGTATAATGATATTTATCTACTAACATGAGGAAGGTGAAGTAAGAGAAGGGATGGAAATGCGTAATAGATCCATAAAGTAGAACATACAGATGATCCCCTTCTTCAGCGTCTACCGCATATCCTGCACTAGCTCCAAGATGGGCTCTATGCTCATGATTTTACAGCTCTTGCCTCTTTGCATGTTTACAGCAATGCTGAAAGGAAGGCAGGAATTGTCATCCGCATTTTGCAGATGAGGAAAGCAGGCAATTTAATTTCACATGCCCAGGGGCCCATGGCTGGTACATGAGAAGCTGAGCTTTGAATGTGGAGCTGCCTGGCTGCATTCTTCGCTTTAGGGAAGGATGGGTTCATTCTGTGCTTTTCTAGTGACTGTTGGGGATACTTGCCCACGTGCCACAGAAACAGTAGCAGAGTCTACGGAATGCTGTCCTCTTCTGCATAGCTCTTTGCCCTGCCTCCAGTGCCCTCCACCTGTGAGTGGTCAGAGGCTCTCATGTTGCTCCCTGTGCTAGCCCCCAGCCAGAGCAATGAGCTTGACTTGAAAAAGCCCTTCAAGAGCCGCCATTCCTGGCTCGGCTAGACTTCAGATGGGACCAGGGAGCTCAGACTTGGAAGGGCACTTCACTTGGTCCCTGCACAACCTTCCCCTGGCACAGAGCCAGCTTCCCTGGGGGGTCTGCATTTCCAGAGAGGAGATCGCAAGCCTCCCTCACATCCATTCCAGGGTCACTCACTCCCTTGGGCACAGTGACGATTCTTTAGTCATTCCCAAAAAGGTACTTAGCTTGAAGACAGCCTCGTCCCCATTTTCCATGTAAGGAGATGAGAAAGCCACCTCCATCCAGGCCCCTTTAAGCGAAACCTCCCTTTCCCTGTCTGTGGAGTTTAGGGGACCAAATTCTCCAAGAACAACCTCTGCAGCGGGAACATGAGGATGGCCTCCTGCATCCAGGGCTCCTCTTCTTGCCCTGTTTACCACCAGGCCTAGTCTCCATCCCTACCAGCCATGCCACTAGAGATGACCCAAACTCTCTAAGCCTCCACTGCCTCGCCTGAAGGGTAAGGATGCTCAGCGGCAGCGGGAAGCTGGGAGGGCGGGATGCTGCAGACACAGGAGCCGTCACCCCAGCAGGAAGATGGACTTTTCCATAGTTGTCACCTCATGTTGCTGATTCACCTGCATTTACAGACCACCCCACCAACCCCCTGCCCACCACTTCTCCAATTCCCAGGGAGCCTGGAAAATCTGAAATTCTTATCTGAAATTCTATCAACGCTTTTCCTTCCAGAGCCCATGAAAGCAGTGGGCAAAGCCACCAGCTAGGCCCCTGTGCTCCAAGGCTGTGCTCCACAACTATATAATTAACACACAATAAACTACATACTTTAAAAAAAATGTTAATTTTGTTTAGAAACAGCGTCTTGCTCCATCATCCAGGCTAGATTGCAGTGGTGCGATTGTAGCTCACTGCAGCCTCAAACTCCTGGACTCAAGCCTCAAACTCCTGCCTCAGCCTCCCGAGTAGCTGGGACTACAGCTGTGCACCAGGCCTGGATAATTGTTTAATTCTTTTTTGGTAGAGATGGGGTCTTACTGTGTTGCCCAGGATGTTTTCAAACTCCGGACCTCAAGCAATCCTCCCACCCCAGCCTCCCAAAGTGCTGGGATTACAAACATGAACCACTATGCCCAGCCAAACGACACCCATGTGAAGTGTTCAGTGTGCTGAGTTCAGGGACCCCTCCTGGCACATGAAGCTGGCAGACCTTGTCCTTGCCCTGCCCCTGCCTGCACAGAGCTTATAGTCCTGGTGGGGACCAAGAAGGACAAGGGATCTGGACAGGACTTTTTGAGACCAGACTTGGAGAACTCCCAGAAGAAACTGCACCCAAACTGAAGCCTGCAAGGAAAGGGTAAGAAGAGGAGAAAGCAGGCCAGGCACAGTGGCTCATGCCTATAATCCGAGCACTTTGGGAGACAGAATCAGATAGATCACCTGAGGTCAGGAGTTTGAGACCAGCCTGGCCAACATATCGAAACACCATCTCTACCAAAAGTACAAAAATTAGCTAGGTGTGGTGGCACGCGCCTGTAATCCCAACACTTCTGGAGGCTGAGACAGGAGAATCGCTTGAACCTGAGAGGTGGAGGTTGCACTGAGCCGAGATGGCGCCACCGCACTCCAGCCTGGGTGACAGAGTGAGACTGCATCTCAAAAAAAAAAAAAAAAAAAAGGAAGCAAAGGAAGCAAAGAAAGCAGAAACCAAGAGAAGGCTCATATAAAAAGAAGAAAGGCACACATCATGTGGATCCAATTAAACTAGAGCTTCTTTCATTTTGGTCAAATTGTAAGTTAATTCCTGCCTTCTGGAGTATTTAATTAAAGGCAAATCCCATAGGCCACCTGTTGTTTTAACCATTTTTTTTTCCTTTGGTGGAGTCACTAGGACCCTTTGGAACAGGGAACATTGAGCAGTAACCGACCATTGGATTCTCCTGGGGGAAATAGGGATTAACAGGAATGATCAACATCTTGTCTTCAGAACATCATAAATTCTTCAATACCAGACCCAAAAAGCATTAGATTTACATCCTTAATTGGAACTCAGGCTACTTGGTAGTCCAGCTTAGACTTCCCACGTGTGTTTTATTTTCTTTATGGAGTCCAAAAAGAAAAAAGCAGACAGACCTCTCCCCATCCTGCTTCCTTCTGCACAGTGCGGCTGTCGGCTGGTTTTCTTTGACTAAATCATTATCTCCTCTCTCTCAGCTTCTTTACTTGAGGGAGGGACATGGCTCGGGTTTCTGCGCTTGTATACCTGATATAACAATTAATTGTATTTCTCGACTGTTGTTGCAGCTTGTGCCTTGGGAGATAATTTGCCAACCCACGGTGTCCATGTGTGGCCCTGGGGCTGAAATTTCCAGCTAGAAGGTGGTCAGCCTGACAGCCACCCTGGGGACCAGGGACCAGGACAATTGGCTTCAACATTGGTGTTTGTATTACTTCACTTCATATTGTCAATATCATCCTATTATCAATCAGCAGCTACCACGACCCCAATAACTGATATAAATTCCAATTAAATGACATAGATTAGGTTCCTGATGCAGGCTGGTCATTATGCCAGGAGAACACAAAGGCCATGTTCCTGTTTCATTCTTACAGCGAACTTCCAGGCCCAGAGAAATCAGGCCTTCCGTGGGGGCTTTGCAGAAAAGAGCTGCACCAGGCCTTTTGGCTCCAGTTCCAGAACCTTCCTCCACCAGAGCTTTGCCAAACTTCACTCGTTCAGGGTCATTATTTGTGCTGTGTCCTCATTCTACCACATACAGTTTTAATGATTTTCGCCATGGCCACTACCACCTATAGTCTGTTGTTTATTCAACCTTTAAAAAAAATTGACTGACATTTTACTTAAATCGGTTTACTTAAAAGTTTCCTATGATACGCTAAATGTGAAAAGTAATGTCATTTGTCAGACCATTAAAAATACAACATAAATTCTAGAGATCTGCTGTTCAACATAGTGCCTAGAATTAATATATGCATTGTGCCCCTACAAAAATTGTTAAGAGAGTAGGCTGGGCATGGTGGCTCATGCTGTAATCCAAGAACATTGGGAGGCCGAGACAGCAGATCACTTGAGGTCAGGAGTTCAAGACCAGCCTGGCCAACATGATGAAACCCCATCTCTACTAAAAAATACAAAATTAGTTGGGCACGGTGGCAGGTGCCTATAGTCCCAGCTACTCAGGAAGCTGAGGCAGAAGAATCACTTGAACCTGGGAGGCAGTGGTTGCAGTTAACCGAGATCATGCCACTGCACTCCAACCTGGGTGACAGAGTGAGACTTGGTCAAAAAAAAAACCACAAAAAATTGTTAAGAGAGTACTCTCGTTAAATGTTCTTACTGCACAAACAGAACAAGACACAGCCCCCCAAAACGAGGAACCTTTTGGAGGTGATGGATGTTTATGACCTCGAGTGTGATGATCTTGCGGGTGTTTGTGTATGTCCAGACTCACCAAATTGCACATATTAAATAAGTGCAGTTCTTTCATATGTCAGTTACACCTCAGTCAAGCTTTTTTAAAAATGCAATGAAGACAAAACAATGTCATTCAAATGCAGCTGTTGCCGGCTGGAGCCTGGAGGCCCAGGATCTGCTCCTGCCAGTGATGAGGAAGGTTGGCCAGGGACACACTAGTGTGAGACAGAGGCTTTTCTCTGATGTCACCAGGGGGACTGGAAGAGAACCGATGAGGGAGCTGTGTCTCATCTGGAATCTTGGGTCCCTGGAGGCCCACTTTCTACTCCTAATGCTGGGGATACTGGTTTCCCCAGCATCCCAGTCCTTGCTGTCCTGGCCACTTGCTTCCCTGTGTTGGATGCAATGGTTGGCCAGGGTATAGGAGATGCCTGTTCACCATGAGGACGTGCTCCCCGAGTGATCCTCTACCCTCTCAGGGTGCAGCTGAGCCTGCACCCTCCTGGCAGGGCCCAAGGCCCCATAGAGGTTGTATCTGAACAGACAAAGTTGCTGTCCCCTCTCCTGCTCCCTCCCCACGGTGGGGAATTCTCTTCAGTCAAACACACCAGCTCTAAGGTTCTGTTGTCATGAGTCTTAGCATCCACACCTCCCACTGCCCTAATGTGTTTTTTTAACCAGGAGTGTTCTGGAAACAGCTCAAGAACTCCAAGGTGAGGCTTTCTACTTGCCCGGTGGGAGTGGGTGGTCAGGGGACAGGTCAGCCTGTCCCTCTGTGACCTGTCACACTCTTGAGGCAGCACCTCCTCTGCCCTCCATGTCTCTAGCTGGCTGAGCATAGGGGACCTCTGTCCTCGAATTCCCAGTGCCTCCCCTCCTACCCCACAGAGGCCCTGCAAGGCTGGGCTGCTGCCTGCCCCTGAGCACTTCCTGGGGTGAGGAGGCCCCTTTGCAAGCAAATGTTTTCAGTGTCCCAGGTGGTTTCATGCTCCATCAGGGACAACAAATGTGATGTCCCTACTTCACTTAGGCCCACTCCTAGGTGAGACCTCGTTGTGTCGTGCTTAAATTGGTGGGAAATCTAGAATCCACGTCCTGGGCCTTTCAGAGTGGGAGATGCACAGAAATGAAACAAAGGTCAGCTCTGGGGTGATGGTAGGACCTCAGACAAGTGTTTCCACAGCCCTTTACAGTGACCACCCCTCCTCGCTACTGAGGGGTGTGTGCCTCCCAGGGGCTTGTTGAGAGAATGAGGAGGTGACTCGCCAAATTGACAGAGTCAGGCCTCCACCCCAGCATTGGATTCCCAAGCCCCTGCTCTCTTACTGAGGGGCACACAAACTCACTCCACCTGCAGGTCATATTTTAGCTCTTAGTGAAATGCTAACACGATTCCCTTAGATTATGATGCCAAAAATGGAGATGAACTCCATTTTTCCTTGTCCAACAGGTGCTTTGCTAAGCTGATCTGGCCCATGGGTCCCAGGCTTGCCTCAGAAAAGAGAAGGAGCAAAGGCGAGGCCAAGAATCACAGTTCTTTTTGATTGAACTTGAGACTTTGAAAATAAATAATAATGCCCCCCTGCCTTTTTTTTCTGGAGATGGAGTGTTGCTCTGTCTCCCAGGCTGGAGTGCAGTGCTGTGATCATAGCTCACTGCAACCTTGAACTCCTGGGCTCAAGCCATCCTCCTGCCTTAGCCTCCTGAGTAGCTAGGACTACAGGTACACACCACCACACCTGTCTAATTTTTTTTTATTTTTAGTTTTTATAGAGATGAAGTCTTGTTTTGTTGCCCAGGCTGGTCTCCAACTCATGGCCTTAAGCAATCCTCCTACCTCAGCCTCCCAGAGTGCTGGGATCACAGACGCAAGCTACCGTGCCTGGCTCAAAAATGCCTTTTCCTGTCAGTCTTAGGTCAGTCGCACGCTGAGGGCTTGGTATGGGGGACTGGATGAATCTGGAAAATGTTGGTGTTGTGAAGTCTGCACCAAGCGCCGGGGCCCTGTAGAAAGCTCACCTTGATCCACTAGGGCCACACTCTGCTCCATGCCAACCACCCCAGCAGTGACAATGCAGGCCATGGGCTCAGCTGTCCAGCAGATACCGGGTGGACCCAGGGCAGCCTTCAGGACCCCTGGAATGACTTGTGCCGACGTGGGACATGGAGATGAGCAGGAAGCCCCAACATGCAACTGTTCTGATTTATAGTTCCAAGACTTTAATAACGCAGCTCTTTGACACAAAACATAGTAATGGCTACTTGGATCTGTTTCAATGTATCATGTCACCCTTTGCTTTGGAGATGTTACAAAGCTGTTATGGACACCATCCAGGGTCTGGTTTTACAAGTGTGTTGCTTAGAAGTGCAACTGTGTGTTGGCTCGGCTGATGTTCAAATCTTTGGAGGAGTTTAGTGGGGAGGAAGATTAAAGTGACTATAAAACCACAATCTATGTACAAAATGTATCATGGATTTTAATTTGAGAGCTGTTCTTTTTTTTTTTTTTTCCTCTTGCCTCATACAGCTTGAGGCAATGGTTTCTAGAAGAGTCTTTTGTTTGCATTTAAAGCTGCTCTGGAGAAACACTGTTTTCAACGTTTCTGTGGGTCATAAAACGGTTGGTCTGAGTCCTGGCTGGGTACCCTGGGTGACGCAGGCGTGGGTTGAGGACTGGAGAGCACATGTCCTTTGTGGAGGAGTCCTCACCACAGACAGGAGGCTGCCTGCTGGAGACAGGGCCCTGCCGGGGGTGGCCCAGAGGCTGCCAATCATGGAGCTCCAGCACCTCATATGTGCTGGGTGCATCTCCTTCCCTGGCTTCAAGTTAAAGAAATTTGGGTCCTAGGGTTTTGTTTTGTTTTGTTTCATCCTAAAACGTGAACCTTCCAGTGTGGCCTTTAGACATGAATTTCGTAAATGATTCTGACCTTCTGGGTCTCCAGTTGCTTCGAAGGGAGTTTGGAGCATGGAGGACAGTATCGGGAGGCCACAAGGGCAGGAGTGTCAGTTTCCTGTTGATGATGCCAACACATCATGCCTCTGCACGTCCCGTCCTCTTCCTGTTCTGTGGGAGGTGAGATTCCCATATGTGATGTATTGCTGTTGCATATCAGGCTGGGCGATGGGTCTTGCTTCACAGGCAGAAGGTCAGCTTTCCCAAGCCAGACACTGTCCCTTCCATCTCCTTTTCATGCCCAAATGGTAAGAGGACTCAATACACAATCTGGATTGAATTAAAAGTCCAGGACCCAGCGTTCCTGCCTGAGACATCTGGGCCTGGAGGAGGAATGCAAGCACAGCTGCCAAGTGCCTGGGAGAAGAGTGTGGTCAACACTTGCTGTTTCTGTCTTCATTAGAAAACCCTACACTGGAGGGCAACCTGCAGGCTTCAAAGGCCACATCCCACAGCCTCAGGGGCTGCCCTCCTGCTGCCTCTAACTCAGGTGAGAGGACCTTCAGCACCCATTTCCACCCTCATGGGTTAACCTGGCGATCTAAGCCCCGCGGGACCCTTCAATTCCAGTCCAAGTTCCGATCTCAGCTTGGCTTGGAGTTCAGAGTAAGTTCTGTCCTGAACATGAAAACCACAAAAATCTCCATCCGGAGAGGGTTCAAGAATTTATTTACTCAGGAAATGTCTACTAGACGTTGGAGTATGTTAAAAGACCTCCATGCTGGGCTGAGAGTCAGCTCACCTGAGTCCAGTTCTGCTTCCCACCTGTATTCATTTGCTAGGGCTGTCATGACAAAGCACCAGAGACCAGGATGTTAACCAACAGAAATTGATCGTCTCAGCATTCTGGAGTCCAGAAGTCCAAGATCAAGGTGTTGCATGGTGGGTTCCTCCTGAGAGCCATGAGGGACAATCTGTTTCATGCCACTGTCCTAGATTCTGGTACTTTGCTGGCAATCTTTGGTATTCCTTGGCTTGTAGAAGCATCAACCCAACCTCTGGCTTCGTGATCACATGTTCCCCCTGCAAGCATGTCTGTGTCTGTGTCCAAACTCTCCCTTCTTGTAAGAATACCAGTCATATTCAGCCAGTCAGTTGGATTCGGGCCTGTCCTAATGACCTCACCTTAATTAATTACATCCAACAGTGACCCTATTTCCAAATAAGGTCATGTTCTGAAGCACTGGAGGTTAGGACTTCAACACATGAACTTGGGGGATGCAATTACTTAACACCACCTTATCTCTGAGACCTTGGACGAGTGGGTGAATATTTCTTTTCTCCACCTGTGACATTTTTGATCTTTAAGATTCTTTTCTAGTTCTTAAGCACAGTCACTTTTAAAGTCTTTAGAGTATGATGGTCTATTTTTTTTTTTTTGAGACAGAGTCTCGCTCTGTTGCCCAGGCCGGAGTGCAGTGGCACGATCTCGGCTCACTGCAAGCTCCGCCTCCCAGGTTCACGCCATTCTCCTGCCTTGGCCTCCCAAATAGCTGGGACTACAGGTGCCCGCCACCACGCCCAGCTAATTTTTTGTATTTTTAGTAGAGACGGGGTTTCACCGTGTTAGCCGGGACGGTCTCGATCTCCTGACCTCGTGATCCGCCCACCTTGGCCTCCCAAAGTGCTGGGATTACAGGCGTGAGCCACCGCGCCTGGCCTGATGGTCTATTTCATTTTCACTGTCAGTGGTCTCCAAACAATTCTTTTCATGGAATGTCACTTTTAAAAACACTTTATCCAGGCTTTAAGAAATTTATCATTTCCTGCCTTTGACCGTAGTTATTTGCATGAGTGATATTAAATATATTTAATGATCTGTCAAGGGTCCAGCTAATCAAATGGCCACGGGTCATTTTGGCCACCCTGAGACATGATGGAGTCTCCTGGTGTGTACTGGCTGAATCCCAGTCCTGCTCACTTTTGTATTTGCCTTAGCTCTCCTTTTAGACTTCATATTCTTCCTCCAAAAATTAGTTTTTTCTGATTTTAAAATAAATATGGAATTATTATGTAAGGTTTTAAGGAATAAAATAAAAATCTAGGCTGGGCACAGTGGCTGACACCTGTAATCCAGCACTTAGGGAGGCCGAGGTGGGTACATGGCTTGAGCCCAGGAGTTGGAGACCAACCTGGGCAACATGGTAAAACCCCATCTCTACTAAAAACACAAAAATTAGCCGGGCGTGGTAATGGGCACCTGTAGTCCCAGCTACTTGGGAAGCTGAGGCAGGAGAATCACCTGAACCTGGGAGATGGAGACTGCAGTGATCCGAGATGGCGCTACTGCACTCCAGCCTGGGAAACAGAGCCAGACCCTGTCTCAAAAAACAAACAAGCAAACAAACAAAAAACTACAATAACACTTTACTGATACATTTGGTATCAAAGCATTGTAATATATATTCTGCTTTTTCTGTATTCTCTCCTAAATATTTTTGTAGACATTAAGTACTTTTCAAAAACATGATTTATATTTTTGCAAAATATTCTATTCTCTGGATGAACCATTTCCATATTTTTAGTATTGCAAATCAAGCTGTTGCTAACATTACTGTACTCAAGCTTTCTGCACATCTCTAATTGCTTACTGAGGTGAAGCTCTTTAGGGTGGAATTATTGAACCAAAGTTTACATAGTTTCATATGTTTTATCAAACTGCCCTCCAAGAAAGTGGGGAAAATGAATACTCATACCAGTGACATCTGAAATTGCTTTTGTTTTTTATAAGGATATTTTCTCTTTTCTTATTGATTTTTAAGAACTCTTGTTGTATATAGTTAGGATATTAAATCTCTTTCTAGCATACATGTTGAAAATATGAACTTCGAACTTCTTAAAGGGCCCATGCCTTCTCAAATGTGTCTCTCCCACAATACTGAGTTCTATGACTTGTGCATGTAACACCCAGCAAATATCCAAAGAATGTAAAGGAACAACTCTTGCCATTAAGAGGCGAGGCTGAAGCAGGAGAATGGCTTGAACCCGGGAGGCAGAGGTTGCAGGGAGGCGAGATCATGCCACTGCACTCCAGCCTGGGCGATAGAGGGAGACTGTCCCCCCCAAAAAAAAAAAAAAAGTTTTATTGCAATATAAACCACACTCCATACAATGTGCCTGGTTAAAGTACACAATTCAATGGCTTTTCGTATATTCACAGAGTCATGAGACCATCACCACTTCAATCAATTTTAGAACACTTTTGTTCCCCACAAAAGAAATCTTGCAAGCAGTAGCCATCACCCCTCCCCAGCCCCCCATCTCCTCCAGTCCTAGGTGACACCACTCCTCTTTCCATCTCTATGGATTCACCTATTCTGGACATTTCCTCTAAATGGAATCACACAACCGGTGGTCTTTTGTTTCTGGTTTCTTTCACTTCCCTAGTGTTTTCAAGATTTCTCCACACTGTAGCATGGATCAGCGCTTCGCTTCTGTCTATGGCTGTTTATTGCATTGCATGGATATGCCGCATTTTGCTTATCCATCAGTTGATGGACATTTGGGTTGTTTCCACTTTGGGGCTCCTCTGAATCACGCTGCTGTGAACATCAGAAACACTGTCTCCCATTGAGGCTTGATTTTTTATCCATCAACCAAATGTGGTCCTCCATTATGTGGCCCTGCAGTGTTCAGCCCCTGTCCCCCGAGAAGCTCCTGGCATAATCTGAGCACCTCCTGACTTGCACCACAGCTGTCAGGGGCTCCTCTTGTGATCCTTCTCAGGGCTCAGCCCCTGAGAAGCACCTGTCATACTCCCCTGTCTCTAACCCACTTTGGTGGTTTCTTGTGGATTCTTTGAAGAGGTGCTAGGAGAAGGCAGAGCCGTCTCTCTAAAATGCCAAAAACCTTTCTCCTTGAGACAGGCAAGTTGAGATGTCTGTATGGGAAAACCCAAAGCAAGCCTGGTTGTGAGTTACCCTACTTATTCTCTCCACATTCAAGAAAAAGAGAATCATTCAAATTAAAATCATTAGCCAATAAATGCTTGAGGTGACAGATACCCCATTTACCCTGATATGATTATTATAGGCTGTATAAATATTCCATATACGTCTGGGTGTGGTGGCTCACACCTGTAATCCCAGCACTTTGGGAGGCCAAGGCAGGTGTATCACCTGAGGTGAGCAGTTTGAGACCAGCCTGGCCAACATAGTGAAATCCCATCTCTACCAAAAATACAACAATTAGCTGGGCGTGGTGGCAAGCACCTGTAATCCCAGCTACTTGGGAGGCTGAGGCAGGAGAATCACTTGAGCCCAGGAGACGGAGTTTGCAGTGAGCCAAGATCGCACCACTGCACTCCAGCCTGAGCAACAGAGTGAGACTCCATCTAAAAAAAAAAAAAAAGAAGAAGAAGTTAAGATGCGCAGGGCCAGTGTGCAATGACCCTGCACTGTTGCCTTTTTTCTGGGGTCGGGAGCCCTTGTGGGAAGGAGGCTCTCACACTGCGTCTCTCAGATGTCTCCTCTTTGCTAGGAGCCATCTTATCTCCCTCCTTTATGTTGTGTGTCTCTGTCTTAAAATTATCTTCTTCCTCCTCTCTCCCCACTAGAGCATGGAGGGCAAGCAACAGGGAAGTAGATCCAAACTCAGACAACTGGGTTTGAATCTCCCATTTTCCAGCCATCGTGACCCTGAGCCAGTTATCAAATCTCTCAGGAGTGGCGCTTGTGAACCCTAACCCTAAATGAGAATGCTAATGCCGACCTCATTAGATCATGGCTAAACCCGAGGAGGGGCACACTGCAGGCACAGGGAGGCAGGTGTGTTGTGCATCCCCTCTTCTCTTTATTTCTCAGATACAGGTAATTAATTACCCTGTCATCTGAATTTCCAGAGGACATTACCTTTCAACTCTCTTTCATTATTGGCTATGGCCCCTGTGGGCAGAAACCCCTCCTGGTCTGACTTCTCTGTCTCCCCCAGCCCCCAGCACGGCCTGCACACCCTGAGGACAGACAGTGACCTCCTGCCACCAGGTGACAGATGACCTCCTTCTCCTCTATCCCAGGTGGCGGGGGGGGGGTGGGTCCCTGCTTAATGTCACCAAGGGCAGAGAGTACTCAGACATAATGACCAAGCCACTGTCTGAATCAATTATTTTAACAGGATTCTAGGGTATCTGCATTCTGTCCTGGCTTCCTTTTATAGTTAGGAGGGGAAAATTCTCAAATTCATCTGTGTGCCGTTTCACGCTGCTTTAAGGAGAATGAGAATGATGAACGCGCTGCAGTTCCTCTGGAATAAATAGTTCTTGTAAAGCCAAACTAAGTAAGGTGATTTGCAATATGGATTTTTTCCCTCCGAGTTATGAGAATATGTTCCATCAGCACATTCAGACTCTGCCTCCAGCGATCCATTCAATGCACAACGCTCACCTCCAGCCCCGTCTCAGGTTCAGAATGGGGCCCTGCATTTGTCTTGGCCGTTTGAGCTGGGAGAAGCGGGGCCGTGGAGAGGGGGTTTTGGATGTGGGTTTATTGGAGAGGGCCTCGGGGCTCATGCTCTTCTGAGTACACAGCCTGGCTGGGAGCAAATAAGGGGCAGCTGGATTCAGCAGCTGCCAGGCCCCGCAAGGCCTGCATCTCACCACAAGGCCTTGCACATATGTGGGTCTGAATTGTCCCATCTCCCTCGCTTGCCTGAGGGGGACCACAGCAGACTAAAGGACTGTGTGGGGGACACTCCAGACATGTCCACCCACCGTAATCAGCCTGGAGTCAAATCCAGTGGCCAAGTCTTCAACAAGAAGACCTGATGCATGAAAGTCCTGCTTGGCTCTAAAGTAAGGCCCTCGGGCAGGTGCTGTGGCTCACACCTGTAATCCTAGCACTTTGGGAGGCCGAGGCAGGAGGAGCTCTTGAGGCCAGGAGTTCCAGACCAGGCTAGGCCACGTAGCAAGACCCCATCTCTACAAAAAATAAAAATTTAAAAAGCAGCCAGGTGTGGTGGTGCACACCTGTATTCCCAATTAACTGGGAGGCTGAGGTGGGAGGACCACTTGAGCCTATGAGCTTGAGGCTGCAGTGAGCTATGATCATGCCCCTGCACTGCAGCCTAGATGACAGAGCAAAATCTTGCATCAGAAATAAATTAATACAGACATAAAGTAAGGCCCTTTGTAGCTACTTACGGAATCTGTGAGCTCTAGAGAGCCAAGTGCTGTAATGGGGGTGAGGGAGAGGCTGTGGGTGCCCCTCTCTTGGGGCTCACCCCCATCCATCTTTCCACCTCCTGTCTCTCTGAGCAGGGTGAGTTTGGGCTCCCACACAGTGCCAGTGCACTTACTTCTAGCATTACTGTATGCTGAGCTACATTTTTTGCTCCTGTCAGTCAGAGTGGCAGGTGCTTTTCTTTGCGTTCATGGAAATGATCCAATGGTATACACACAAGCGTCATCACTACAATTTTGGAAAAACCTGTGACTTGGAGGATTCGGGTTGGAGATGTCTCATTGACTAGATGATTTGGGAGGCTCATCTGCACCCATTGGGCCTGTGCAGGTCTTGCAATAATCCTGTTGTCACCATCCAAGGACGTGAGGGCACCCTGCAAGCTAGAATATTTTTGGTGTCTTTGAGTGGGGTCCCAGAGGCCTCTCCAGCGCTTGCACTGCATTCTCTGCTATCACAGACTGTTTGATCAGCTGTGGCCAGTAAATTGTCGCTCTGATCTTCAGAGATTTGTCAGAGGTTCCAGGCATACTGGGTGTCAACAGGGACTTGGTCTTGTCCTGTGGATAGGAGACCAAATTTATGGTCTGTCATTGGGTGTACCATTGACACCAGAAGACAGCTCTTGGTGGTTGGAGGTAGGGCTGGAATGGTAGATTCTGGTGGGGGTAAGGGAGTGGAATGGTGGATTCTAGGGAGGAAACAAATAAAGATATGTGAGAATAATGTGAAGACTGCCTTTCTCCAGAACCCTAGTGGTCCATGCTGTGACTTTCCTACTAGTGCTTGGGGGAGGTTCCAAACAGCATCTTTGCCCATCCCAGATACCTTGAACAGCATCACACCTGTTGGCTGCAAACCTGTGAGTGAGTTGTAGGGACAAATAGGATTTGCAAATGCAATATATACCTTCTCCAAAATCCAAAGCGGGCCACCAAATGCTTCATCAAGCAAGGAGCCCCCTCTTAGTGGCGAAGGGTGCAATGTGCCACCATTTGTCCTTTATCTTATGGGGAATGTTCTCGTGGGAGATACACCGGACTAAAGGACTATGAAAGCCTCACCAATGCAAAAGGATCCTGAATATTTGTTTCTCTGGCATCCTCTGGCACACCTGTGTTTTACTAGGGTGTTTGGAGTGCTTGTCACTTCCTGCTCACTGGATCCAATTAGCAGGATGTCATCAATATGGTGGAGCTGCAGGATGTTCTGTGGGATGTCAAGATGCTCAAGGTCCCCTTGGCCAGTGCTGTGTCAGAAAGATGGAGAGTTTGCATAGTTCCAATTTTGCTGTTCCTCACTGGTTATGACGGAAAAGAATGCAATTTGCCAGATGAAAGAGCAACATACAAAGGGCCAGAGGCTGTGACAACACATGCAGCTTTATTGCAGGAGGCACTTGGTTGGCACTTGTAATAGTTCACTGTCATCCTCTGTGACCCATCTGGTTTTTATATGGGCCGAAAAGGTGCACTGAATGGAGAAATGATGGGGACCAACAATTATGCATCTTTTAAGCTTTTTACCATGGTACTAACCACTGAAGTTCCTCTGAGACACTTCGGATTTACACAGGGTCAGAGGCTCCCATGTAGCCGCTCCTACCACTGCAAGGGTTCTGCCAACTATTGTGTGTAGCTGTCCCAGCTCTACTCAGGGCTGGGAAAGTAACTGTAGGATGGATAGTTGAGTGCACTGGATATGAGTCAGTCTGAGGCTGGGACTCCACTGACTGCCTGACCTCCATGACTCCCCTCCTTGGTTGGAGGAACTTGATGGCTCTCCTTTTTCCTTGGTATCAGCATCAGCCCAGCTCCTAGACCCAATATTCCAATAGTCCTTGAAAGACTGAGTCCCTTTCCCCAGTGCATGGTTACCTTGGTAAAAGCCCTTTTAGGAAAGGCTTAGGGGAATATTTATTGCTCATACTTGGGGTAGTGGTGCCATGACCTATTTCAAAAGTACCTGGCCTCAATTTTAATTATTGGGCTTTGGGTCTGGGAACCAACTCAGTCCAGAGACTTGGGAAGGGCTGGAATTTTTCCACTGTGATACCTGACGTAAATTTCCTGACTGCCACCTCTCAGGCAACCCCCTATGCATGTAGCTGACCTCAGAATACCAGGGCTTAATGGCTTGTAGGTCAAGTTACCCTGCCTGCCTCTGGCCTCACTGACTGTTAAGGGATTTATATTCACCTCGTTTCTGTCATCCCAGAATCCTATCATGCCCCACCTGATATGGTTTGGATTTGTGTCCCCGCCCAAATCTATTTCATGTCAAATTGTAATCCCCATTGTTGGAGGAGGAGTCTGGTGGGATGTGACTGGATCACGGGGGCGGACTTCCCCCTTGCTGTTCTCGTGATAGTGAGTGAGTTCTCATGAGATCTGGTTGTTTAAAACTGTGTAGCACCTCCCCCTTCACTCTCTCTTCTTCCTGCTCCCACCACGTAAGATGTGTGTACCTCCCCTTAGCCTTCCGCTATGATTGTAAGTTTCTTGAGGCCTCCCCAGCCATGCTACCTGTAAAGCCTGCAGAACTGTGAGCCAATTAAACCTCTTTTCTCTATAAATTACCCAGTCTCAGATAGTTCTTCATAGCAGTGTGAGGGCCGGGCATGGTGGCTCACGCCTGTAATCCCAGAACTTTGGGAGGCTAAGGCAGGCAAGTCACCTGAGGTCAGGAGTTCAAGACCAGCCTTGTCAAACATGGTGAAACCCCGTCTCTACTAAAAATACAAAATTAGCTGGGCATGGTGTTGCATGCCTGTAGTCCCAGGTACTTGGGAGACTGACAGGAGAATCATTTGAACTTGGGAGATGGAGGTTGCAGTGAGCTGAGATCACGCCATTGCACTCCAACCTGGGTAATAAGAGCAAATCTCTGTCTCAAAATAAATAAATAAATAAATAAATAAATAAATAAATAAATAAATAAAGCAGTTTGAGAATGGACAAATACACCAACCAGCCATCCTCACCCCGACCACCCATATATTCCTTATTGCTTTAGTGAAGGAAGTGTCCTTTGGGCCTTCACAGAGAAGATGACCAAATGAGGAATTAACTAGCTTAACTTAATAGTTGCATTCTCACCTTCCCACGTTCCTGTGCCTTCCAACTTTTTCCTCAATATTATGCAAGGGCAACTCCGGCATCTCCACCTCGTTTACTAAAGTCTACCATTACACCCAAACTTCAAGAAGTCTTCCCGGGCCAGGTGCAGTGGCTCACACCTTTAATTCCAGCACTTTGAGAGGCCAAAGCAGGAGGATCCCTTGAGCCTAAGAGTTTAAGACCTGCCTGGGCAACATAGGGAGACCCCATCTCTAGAAAAAAATTTTTTTTTGAGACGGAGTCTCACTCTGAAGCCCAGCTGGAGTACAGTGGCATGATCTTGGCTCACTGCAACCTCCGCCTCCAGGGCTCAGTGATTCTCCTGCCTCAGCCTCCCAAGTAGCTGGGACTACAGGCACGTGCCACCACGCCCAGCTAATTTTTTTATATATATATTTTTAGTAGAGATGGATTTTCACCATGTTGGGCTCATCTTGAACTCCTGACCTCAGGTGATCCACCCACCTCAGCCTCCCAAACTGCTGGGATTACAGGCGTGAGCCATTGCACCTGGTGAAAAAAAAATTTTTTAATTAGCTGGATGTGGTGGTGCACACCTGTAGTCCCAGCTACTCAAAAGGCTGAGTTAGGAGGATTGCTTGAGCCCATGAGGTTGAGGCTGCAGTAAGCTCTAATTGCACCAGTGCAATCTAGCCCAGGCCACAAAGAAAGACCCCGTCTCAAAAAATAAATAAATAAATAAATAAATAAATAAATAAATAAATAAAAATAAATAAAAGAAGAATAAGAAGTCTTCCTGGCAGTGTGAGGACTGGCTCAGGTGTCTTTACTAGGAATTGAACGCAAATCATGAATGACATCCCCAAGTCACTACATTCACTTCTTTTTTGACATTTACGCCACATACTCAGTCCAGTGTCATTAAGAGCTTCTCCTATACCTGTTCCTCATATTCCTGCTAGATTTTTAATTCCTTTGGCATATAAGCTATTTTCTCCCAAAGCACAGACTGCTTCCCCATTTGGGCTGGGCTGAGACTTAAGCATAATTATCCTGAAGAAAAAGAGTTGAGGTGAATCTTGAAAAGGATAAATGAATGTCATCTCATAAGCTACTTACTGCAAGTAAGGTCTTTCAAGTTTTCCAGGCAAGGAGAGGCTGTTTTCCTCTAGCAGATGAGAGCTTGGAACATTCAGGGGAGTTGGGTTCAAGATTTTTGGGGATTATCTATACAAATGTCCTCATTCCAAGCCTCAGAGTCCTACTATTTTCCCATCAGTGTTCCGAATTTGACATGGGAGACAAAGGATTGTGGTTTGGCCAGTCTCACAATTAGATCATGGATCTAATTTTCAGCACATTCTGCCCTGCAGACTGCAGGTGATAATCATTCCCTTAAATGCTGCCATAGAGGCTCTTTGGCTTCCACAGTGTACCTTGAGTTAATACAATCTGCAGTGCATAACATTTTGGTCAACACAGACCACATATACAATGTTGCTCCCATAACATTATAATATCATATTTTTACAGTACCTTTTCTTTGTTTAGATACATTTAGATACACAAACACCATTTTGTGACAACTGCCTACAGTATTTAGTACTGTAACATCAGATATATGTTTGTAGCCTAGGAGCAATAAGGCTATATCATAGAGCCTAGGTGTGTAGTAGGCCATACTATCTAGGTTTGCATACGTACACTGTATGGTGTTTGCACCACAAAATTGCCTAAGAATCCATTTGTCACACTGTATCCCTGTCATTAAGCGACATATGACTATAACTGCCTGTCCTAAACTTATCTGGTAACAACACCTGGCCAACTTTGCAATCCTTGCAATTACCATTGTCTCTACGCTGCTGAGATGCCACAGCTACCACATATCCCAATACTTTACCTTCCAGCTGCACCTCATCCCAATCCACTGCAGGTAACCATTTGAATAATTATGATGCTATTGCATATCAGATGTTATCACCACCCACTTACCATTTGGCAATCAATATAGACGACTGGTACTCCTTTCTAGGGTACCTTCCGAGGAACTTAGGAGTGGTTCTCCAAACTGCCTGCTAGGGGACAAAACGCAGAAGCCTTTATCCATCAATTTCTCTCCCCACTGGTTGAGAATGGACCCATGAGCATTAAGTCCCCACATTTCCAAGTTGCACATGTGTAAATGCCAAGCAGTTTTCTGTGTGCTAGTAAAAGTTCTGAGCCAGGAATGGAGAGGTGTAATGCAGGGGCCTGAGGTGGTGTTTTCAGGTGGCTCCTGGCAAAGCTAGTCAGAGTCTACCTGGAATTGGCCACTGCAGCAGGGCCAGGAGAATTTGAAGTATGCACAAGGGATGTCTGATACAACTCCATTAGCGTGAGCAAATACACCATCACAAACAATGTATTGTATTTGATTTGGGAATATCTTTAGTATTTTTCTATAACTTCTGCCTTTAAAATTCTGCTTAGCTCAGGTTAATATCAGAATGAGATTGCACTCCCTAAATACACCCAGACAGCCAGGATGGGTGTTGGAAGGAAAGTCCAGCCCACTATTTGAAATGCTCTGCACAGAAATCCATATGTGATTCATTCATTCATTCAACAGATAAGCACTATTTTAGACACTAGGATTACAGCAGTGAACAAAACAAAAAAATCTCTTGGGGAGCTTATAATATGGGTAATGGAGACAATATATAATACACAAGTAAATTAAATGGTATGCTAGAAAGTGAGAAATGCTATGGAGAGGTATTAAGGCAGGAAGAGGGTAGGAAGTAGAGGTGGGAGGGGACAATGTTGTAAACAGGATGCTCAGGCACGGTCTCCTGAGAAGGTGACATTTGAGAAAAGACTTGAAGGAGGGGAGAAAAACAGATATCTGGAGACAGAACATTCTGGGCACAGTGTGGCAGCCTGCCTAATGGTGGAAAAGTGGCATAATGGTTAGTGGCTGGAGTGGAGCAGGAGACTGAGCCAGAGGGTTGGCAGGGGCCACGGCATGTGGCACCTGAGAGCCATAGGAATGTCTCTGCTTTTACTTGGAGGGAGGGGGAAAGGTATACAATGGCGAGTTGGGAGCAAAGGAAAAGGTGATGTTCTCACTGTATTAGGTTGGTGCAAAAGTAATTGCGGTCTTTGCCATTAAAATGAATTAATTAAATTAGGTTGGTGCAAAAGTAATTGTGGTCTTTGATAGTTGGCAATAATATATGAATTGTGTACACACTCACACATCAGCGTGAACACACCCAGGTCTCCACATGGCTGAGTCTGATATTCTGCAGGTTTGACATCCGTGGATGAGTAAACAAACATGGCTACCACAGAATGCAATACTGAGGGTCATGATCTGGGTGCTTAGACAATGATGAGATTTTGGTCACAGATGAGACCTGGCTGATGGTGGAGAATTCAAGTCAAAGAGGACCTTCCAAACTGCAGATAGTCTATGAAGAGGGATCTAGATGTCCAGAGGCAGGCAGGGAGCCCTGGCCACCCCTGGTATTGGACGCAGGCATGGAGGTTCTTGTCCTGCCCATGCTCTCCTATCCTCAGCAGGAGGCTCCTCCACCCTCCAATGGCCCACAGTGTGTCTAGCACAGGCTTTTAACTTGTAAACTCCAAGCCATTGACAAGCATGGCAATAAAACTTCATTGTTCCCGATGGCAGTAGTCTGTTTTTCTAACCTTTGGCTTCCCTTTTTCCTGGTACATTTATACATCTGGTTCTGGTAAAATAAAAAGATTCACTCCGTTTACAACAGTACTTTTTGTTCAAGGCTAAGTTCTCTTCCCCACGCCCCCTCCCCAGCGGAGGCAGAAGTGACAGAGCCTATTCCTGGAATCAGCCTTCTCCAGGCAGGACAGTGCCCCGCAGTCTATCAAGGTTCTATCAGAGGTGACCCTTCCTGGGCCCTGGCCAGAAAGTCTTCTGAGAGTTACCATCCAGGAAGTGACATTCCAGGAGGCCAAGGGGTCCACAGGGTCCCCCTCCCCAGTTTTACCAGGACCCTAGGTGGGACTCAACATGGAGAGATATTCCGTGGGACGATGATGCGTCCTGAGAATGTGGGCTCATGATCATATGTGGCTTTCACTATTTTCTGTGTGTCTTAATCCCTTCTCTGCTGCTATGACGGAAGACCACAAGCTGGGTACTTTTTAAAGAAAAAAAGTGGGCCAGGAGTGGTGGCTCACACCTGTAATTCAAGCACTTTGGGAAGCCAAGGTGGGAGGATCACCTGTGGCCAGGAGTTCATTACCAGCCTGGGCAACATAGCAAGATCCTAGCTCTACAGAAAAATTTAAAAATTAGCTGGGCGTGGTGTAGTCAAAGCTACTTAGGAGGCTGGGGCAGGAGGATTGCTTGAGCCCAGGAGTTTGAGGATTCAGTGAGCTGTGACTGTGCCACTGCACTCCAGCCTGGGCAACAGAGTGAGACCTTGTTTCTAAAAAAAAATAAATAAATTAAAATTGAAAAAGAAAGAAAAGTAGAAACAACCTAAAGTTCCCACACCAGGAACTTAGTTAAAGACCAAACTGCCTGGTTGCTCAAATAAGAAACCTTGAGTCCTGGAGTGGTGGCTCATGCCTGTAATCACAGCATTTTGGGAGGCCAAGGTGGGCAGATCACCTGAGGTCAGAAGTTTGAGACCAGCCCTGCCAACATGGTAAAAACCCCATCTCTACTAAAAAGACAAAAAAAAAAAAAAAAATAGCCAGGCATGGTGGCGGGCACCTGTAATCCCAGCTACTTGGGAGGCTGAGGCAGAAGAATTGCTTGAACCCAGGAGGCAGAGGTTGCAGTGAGCCAAGATCGCGTCATTGCACTCCAGCCTGGGCGACAAGAGCGAAACTCCGTCTCAAAAAAAAAAAAAAAAAAAGAAAGAAAGAAACCTTGAAGTCATCCAGTGTTCCCCCCTCACATCCAAGTCTTGTTTCTACCTCCTCTGTCAGGAGTCAGACCGCTTTCTGCATTTATCCCTCAGGGCTCTGCTTCAGCATGCTTTCCTCTGAGAAGCCACCCGCGCACCCACTTCTGACTCTGCTACACGCTGGTGTGACACTCTTCGTGTTCCGCCCCACTCATCCCCCTTGTCATGACTGCTTCTCCACTTCCGCCCCTCTCTCCAGATTATAAGTCCCATGAGGGCTAGGGCGCTGGCTGTCTTGTTTACTATTGTGTCCCCCAAAATGTCCCTGAAACCTACAACAGTGCCTGGCACACCATATTCCCTGACTGAAGAATAAGCACATGAAAGAATGGATGTGATCCAGTCTTAAACCATATTCTCTAAGAATCCATATGGCAAAATGCTCACAACCCAACATTAAATGAGAAAAAGTCTGCAAAATTGTATACACAGCATGACATTAACATGACTATACACAAATACATGTAAAAACCCAGACCAGAGGCACTAAATTGTTAGCAGTGGTTGGTCCTGGCCATTTTAGTTTTTTTCTTTATACACATATATATTTTCCAGATATTTACAATAAACTTCTATTTCCTTCATAATTGTGAAAACAGTGAGTTAAGAGAGTTGGAAACAGCAAAGGATCCAGGACTTCTGGAATGAACAATGATTTAAGTCCAAGGTCTAGATGGTCGGGCCATCCTGTGAAATATCCACATTTGAACTTGGCCACAATGGATATCTATTATAGCCATCATTTCCAGACCGTCTCTACACAATCGCCAGTGATTCCTTTGATAAGAGCTCCCTTCCTTTGTCATGGGGACCCGTTAGGCTGAGCACAGCAGAGATGACAGGTAGGATTTCATGAAGAGACATAAATTTCCTTCTTTTTTCTAACAGAAAAATTCAGGGTAAACAACCCTTTCCCCACTGTCACCACACTCACCTTCAGAGCAACAACTTAGAGGCTCTTACAAGAGGACTTGTTTACCTCTGTCCCACCTGAAGCATCTGTAACTGTTTGCAGTAACTGTTGAAGGTGTCAATGTGAAGCTCCCCAGGCTTGGGACCCAGCACAGGGATAGGTGGTGCATTAAATGGGCCCAGGGAGGACAGATCTCATGGGAGTGGCGTCCGCAGAAACTCGAGGACAGTGGTTCCAAGTCTTGATCTGGACCCTGGATTTCTTCTCTTGCTTTGATTTCTCCATTTTCCCATCAATCACATTGGGATGTGTATGCACCCCTCTGAGACTGTTTCAGGGAGTGGTGAAATTTACAGCACTGCCATTTGGGGATCTGTCCCTCTACCCTCTGCCCATGGGTCTCTCTTAAGAGATCACCATGTGAGGAACAGAGTGTAGAGAAGAAGGGATGTTCAGCCTCAAGAAGATGAGAAAAACCACAGAAGAGTGGAACATTAAAATTGTCATACACATGAAAAGCAGATTCGTTCTGTGTGGCTTCCCAGGACAGAACTCAGGCCAGAGGTAGAGGTTCTAGAAAGCCAGGTTTCTGCTTCACCTAAAAAAAGAAACTCCTAAGAACAAAAAGTGATCCACGAGGCTGCCTTGTAAGGCAGTGCTGAGTCACCCATCCCGGTGAATGTTTCAGTGGGGCTGACCCATCATAGGGCACTTTTGGTAGACAGGATGCCTGTGTGAAGTTGGGAACTGGACTGATAACCTTTGACTTTTCCTCCTGACTCCAAGGACCTATGTTTCTGCCACTTGGCCTTTTGCTTGTGCAAGCTTGGACATAGTTTATAACTCATCCTCAACACCATTTTACCTAGGCCCAGCCAGAGCTGCAATAGCCAGGGGCCTCCCTCTTTGCTCACCTCCAATGGGGGACATTTGTCTTGCTCATAGATGCCATCTATTACCTGACTACAGGACAAGCTCACAATATGAGTCCCACCTTCCCAGAGTAAAAGTGAGAACTCAAAATCCCAGGATCCCTTGCAGGAAAGAAGAAGTCTTGTGACCTAAGTCTATCTTTCATATGCTCCTGTGCAAGACTTCAATTTGGAAATTAATAACCTGAAGGGAAAAAAGGTGCAGGAGGGAATCTGCCTGGTGCATTAATTTTCTGTTTTGAGCCACGGCAGAGACATTGGCTTTTATGCTGTTTCCCAGACAGTGCAAGGTCATGTCCCATTAGATCTAGCAGATGTGGCATTTGTGATGAAGCAGATTTGTGGCATTTTGTGCTTATGAGTGGCAGAAACCACTGCTGTTTCCTCAGCAAGTTCTGTGGCGGGATTTAGGGATCGCTCCCGGACGTTTAGCTTCAACTCTGACTCCTGGCTGCCCATGACTCTGTGAGCTTGCTCTGATCTCCCAAGAGAATGGCTCAGGGCTCACCAGTCCCATTTTGTCCCCGTTGTCAGGCACACACAGAGCTGAACTGCCTTTCCCAGCCTTCCTTGCCCTTAGGCGTGGCCACACGACTGAGTCCCAACTAATGGAGCGTGGAGAGAAGCGACAGACATCCATGCCTGGTCCCTAAAGCCTCTCACAATCACCCACACTCTTATCGCCTAGCAAGGCGCAGAGGATCCGCTGGGAGATGACAAGAGCCCTGGAGCCATGAGAAGACAGGAGCCTGGGCTCTTGGATCACTAGCCTGCATGGCGACATGAACAAGGAATAAACCTCTTATTGTCTTAAGCCACTCTGAGTTTGCAGTTGTTGTAGGGTTAGCGCATCTTGACTAGTACACTGAAATCCGTTTTCTGATGGACTAGCTAAAGCAGATTTCCTTTTTTTAGGATTAAGAACTCTGAGTATTTCACTTCCCGACTCGGTCTAATGTGTTGATTTGGTAGTTGCATCTGCAGGTAGGCCATGGTTCCCCCAGAATGGGCGGCACAGGGCTTGCCTTAGACCTCTCATCTTAGTGCAGGATGGAGGGGACCCAGCAGGAGCCCTAGTGTGGCAATCCCATCACCATAGGCAGGCCCAGCCACAGAAGTGTCTCTGATGGAGAGTGGGCTCTCTGTCTGCTTCTCTGGTCATGGTGGGCCTCTGACTTCATCCCTGGCTCCCTGCTAAGAAGTACAGGGAGGTCAGGTATGTTCTTCCTGGTGCCCCTGAATTCTGCACTGGGAATTCTGTCCCCTCCTCTTTCTTATTAGGTGAAGCCATGGTCAGGTGTGGTGGCTTACACTTGTAATCCCAGCATTTTGGGAGGCCAAGGTGGGAGGATCGCTTGAGGACAGGCATTCAAGACCAGCCTGGACAACACAGCGAGACCCCACTGCTAAAAGAATTGTTTTAAATTAGCCATGTGTGGTTAGTGCCCAACTGTAGCCCCAGCTACTCAGGAGGCTGAGGCTGGAGAATCACTTGAGCTCAGAAGTTTGAGGCTGCAGTGAGCTCTGATCACATTACTGCACTCCAGCCTGGCAACAATGTAAGACCTCATCTCCACAAAAAATGAAAATAAAAAATAGCTGAATGTGGTGGCACGCATCTGTAGTCCCAGCTACTCTGCAGGCTGAGGCTGCAGGATCCCTTGAGCCCAGGAGTTTGAGGCTGTGGATTGCACTACTGCACTCCAGCCTGGGCGACAGAGTGAGAGCCCATCTCTGAAAAGAAACAAAAGAAATAAAAAAGGTGAAGCCAACTCTGGGTCAGGAGCCCAGAGAGCTATCTGTCTCTGAAAGAAATTACCTTGCACCCACTTGAAATCAGGCTTGAGTTCATGCAGAAGATGCTCTTAGCCATTTCTGGCCAGCTCACCCCTGATTCATCCCCTACCCACAGGGCAGTCCCATGGTGGCAGTGAGTACCATGTGGCTGGCCCTCTGCTCTCAATTGGCTGGACCAGAGCTGGGCATGTGATCTAAGCTGGGCCAGCCCCATATTTTGTGCCTGAATTCTGGAGATGCAGTTTCAGGCTGGGCTCCCCTGTTGAATAGAGCAGATGTAAACTGAATTTTGTGCCTGAATTCTGGAGATGCAGTTTCAGGCTGGACTCCCCTGTTGAATAGAGCAGATGTAAACTGATAAACAGTGGCAGGACCATCTTCTGTCCTATGTGGACTGAGAAACAGGCCTTGAGGCAGTCAGTCGGCCAATAAAAACAAAGCAGCAGGAATATAGAAGAAAAGGTGAAAGAAGGAGGAAGAACTTTCTGAGCCTGGAGGTATCTCAGGCCCATGGGTCCATGAGCAAAGTCTCTATCCACAAAACAGAATTTTCTAGTTTGCTTAAACTAGTTCAAGTCCGTTTGTAAAATCTAAAATGTAAGGACCTTGATGGATACAGGAAGAAGTAGAAAAGGTTACCCTACAAGTTGCCACCCCTTGGGAACCTCAGAACCTGCTGGCTCCTGCAGAACTGGGAAACCTAAAAATTCTCATGCAGAGCTGGGGAAATAAGGCCGCAGGAGAGACCTCTTGGGACGTTTCACTAAGTGGAAAGGAGTTTCTCCAGCCTAACAGCCTCTTGTCATCTCAGAGCAAACGCAAAGAGCCCAGAGAGGTGGAGTGACTTCCCCGCGCGCCCCCACAGTCCATTGGCTTGGGGCTATAACCTAGGTCCCAGGGCCGCCCATCTGCAAGGCTGCCTGAAACCCCAAGCATGAACTCTCACTTGGAATTAGCATCCCTTTCCCACATTCGGCCCCTGGGAGCAGCGGCCAGGAGGGAGCTATCGGGAGAAGTAAGCTCGAGTTGCTAGGATGGCGACAAATGACGCAGCTAATTCTCCTCGCCTGACTGGTCCCCGCGCCCTGGGACCCCGTGTCCCCGCGCACAAGTGCGTGCTCGGGAGTCCGGCCCAGGAGCAGCTGCGGAGGCCGGGCGGCCCTGGGAAGATGCCTGGCGGGTTGTCGGGGGAGGGAGGAGAGGGTACTGGGCTCGGGGCCCCCACTCACCCACCCCTGCACCGCGGGGGGCGGCGCTGGGCGGCCCGGGGAGGGCCAGCCCCGCCGAGCCTTTCAGAGTTAATTAGCCTTCATGAATATGGATGCCACCGCCGATTGAAGACGGTTGAGAGGTCGTAACCTGACCTCGGCGAGGCGTGCATAAAGAAAAGCCTACTTTTCTCAGCTTGGCTCCTAATTGAAAGCCCGAGTGGTCGGGCGCAGCGCGGAGGGTGTGATCGCGCGCCCCGCTCCCTGCGCGCTCTGGGGACGGTGGCGGGGGCGCCCGGGCGAGCTCGGGGACCCGCAGGTGTGTGCGGGCGGCCCAGCGCAGCTTCGCCGCGGCGGGATCCGAAGTGGGGATTTATTCTGAAAGCTTTCCTTTTCCATGATGGTTTTCATTTCCTGTAATTTAGAGCTGGAAGCATTTATGGAATATCACATGGTTTTCGTTTACACAGGAAATCAGCTGCAGTTGTGAGAAGATACTGACTTACTTTTTTTTGTTTTTGAAATCCTCCTCCCCACATCCAAAAAAAAAAAAAAAAAAGAAAAATTTTTGAAAAGACGAGCTGGCAGCATGTTTTGAAATAGTTCTCCTTTTTGATCCAACCTCACTGTTCTCCAAAGGGGACTGCAGTTTATTTCTGACACGTGGTAATCACTTTATGTGAAGAAACCCCAGCATCGAGAGATGCTTTTGGTTTTTTTCAGAGCAAAGCGGGGAGCTCAGAGGGGGTGGGGGCAGGCGGGGGGAGAGGGGGGCGCTCACAGCTGCGCCCCAGCTTCCTTTCTGGGATGGGAACGATTTCTAAAGGATCTTAGGGAAAGGAGCCTGCGAACCAGGCCGCCTTTGGAGCTGAACTCCCTCCCTCCCCGAGAAAGACAGCACTTACTGCCCCAGTTAACCTGCTGGGATCACTGCTTAAAACCTTAGAGTCGTAGCGCCGTCCCCCAACCCAGGAATCACAGTATAAGTCTCTTCTTAACCCAGCCCCACCCCATCACCCCAGAAATCATCAGAGAACCGCAGGGTTTTATCACAGAGATTGAGGCCGAGGTGGAAGAATTTGCAATTTGTTTTTTTCATCTATGCCCCCTGGTTGCCACTGAGTTGAAGTCAGCACTCTCTTCTCTCTTTGCTGGGGATGGTTCTAACCACTTCCCACCCTCCACCCCCAGTTCGGAGGCCAACTAGACCGCCGTGGGCAATAGCACCACCGTGTGGCCAGCCTCCCTCTCCAAGCCCCTTCCCCTGCCTTTTCTGGGATCCTCCCGGGCGGTAGCGTGGATTTAGTGGGGCTGGGATGGTCTCTGCCCACTTTCTTCTCCTCCCTGCAATGAGGTTAACACACAGGGCACCAGACGCTCTCCCTTCATGCCATCTACTAAGTAAGACATTCTGCAATGACGGATCCGTTTCTTTGATTCAAGGCTTAGCTCCCAATTAAACAGAAGATACCCTTGAAGAGATAAAATTTAGGCACCGATTTTAGGGTGAAACAGTGTATTATTGTTTCCCAAGGATTGAGTGGGCTCCTAGAGAAAGGAAGGAGGCCCAGCCTGAGACCCAGAGGGACAGGAACCAGCGCTGTGGCCATCCTTCAAGCCCGGGCCCTAGTCATTCATTTGGTGGGACTGGGAGGAGGTAGGGTGGTGGCTCTGGGAGGTGGGTAGTGACAGAGTCCTGTACACATTTCAGGGGTGTGGAGGGAGCCTTCTGAGAATGTCCAGACCTCATGGGGCCTCTAGGACCCAGGTGGCCCTCGATGGTCACTGTGTCCCCAGCAGTTGAGACCCATTTGACAGAGTCTCAGGCAGCTGCACCGTGACCATCTTCTGCTCCTCTCCCCAAGTCGATAAAACCAACAGCCATCTGTGTGAACATAAGCCCCGTGTTTTTATGGGCTGTCTACTGGCTGCTGCAGACAAGCCAGGATGGAGGCTTACGGCCGCAGCTCTCTCAGCCTCCAAATATGAAACTGTGTAATCCGACTCATTCTCTGAAACCAAATATTTGCAGGGACAGCCAGCAGCCACCTGGCTACCACATCTTTTGACCATGCAGGTCATTGGTGCTGTGAAAACGCCACCTGGGGATTTTTCTCAGCTTCTGAGGGGTCCGCAGGCAAACCTCCCCTCCACGACACAGGGCAGCCCACCCTGGCCTCTCCTGCTGCCCCCCAATTGGGGTGTGCAGATGAAATCTCAGTCGGGCCTGTGAGCGGAATGAAAGAAACTCTGTTCATTTCTGCAGGGGCTCTGGTGTCTGTCTGAGGCCCTGGTTTCC
This sequence comes from Homo sapiens, assembly GCF_000001405.40. Classification (NCBI taxonomy): domain Eukaryota; kingdom Metazoa; phylum Chordata; class Mammalia; order Primates; family Hominidae; genus Homo; species Homo sapiens. The sequence continues at coordinate 30,782,970 of NC_000010.11, read as the reverse complement.
TCCCAGGAAACTGCACTTACCTTCTGTTGCTTATTACCTAATTGATGAACTATTTGAGTCTGCATGGTGCTACTTTGAGCTTCCTTAGCTTGGCCACTAGCTGAGCATTAAGGAAGTTGTGGAGAGCAGTACCTTCATGCCCCGCGCAATGATTTGGTACATTTCCAGAACGATCTTCTCCTTGTCAGGCTTCCCTCCCTCCTGCTCAGCAGCCCTTATTTTTTCTCCTCTCTCTTTCTCTGGAAATGTGGAGTTTATTGGTCTCTGCAGGGGGGAAATGATCAAAAACGTAATTATTATAAGCTGCAACCCCTGGCCAGCTGTTTGGGTTTCAGGGTGGTTCCCAGTGAGTCACTAGGGCACACCCTCTCTCTGCCTGGCTCCTCTGGGTCCCCCTGGCTTGGCCATCTGGAAAATGGGAGGATTTTTTAAGGGAGGAGGACGTTTGGGGAAGAAAACAGGCGCCTGGGAGCCTCTCTCTCTCTCTCTCTGTCTCTGTCTCTCTCGCTCTCTCTCTTTCCTAACCCCACAAACTTCTGAGAAGCCCCATGTTCCTGGCCAAACATGGAACTGTCTGGAGGGACCTGGGCGGGCTGCAGGCCTAGGCCCCCACCCAGATGGCCGCTGTGCTGCCTCTCCTAGCAAAAGCCTTTGCTGGAAGGGTGAGCAACCAGGGCCTTCTGTACAGATGACTTTACCATCCCGGACACCATTTTAAATAGATCGACATTTCAATATGTATTTATTCTTGTTGTATATACAAAAAAATTAATACAAAATAAAAAAAGCCCTGCTGGTGATATGCCAGGCTGAGATATATAATGATATTTAGCAGCAACTGTGTCATTCTGTGTTGTTGACAGTAAAATAAATTAACATAATAAACATAATTTGCTCAAAAACAGCTAAGGAAAAGCAGATGGTTAGCACATTTCAGCAGGACCTGTTGGTCCAAGTTTGCACGGATGTTTAGACGTTTGTGCAGTCTGCAACAGATGCTTGCCTGGGTTCCCAGGCGCTCCCACGTGATAGGCACGGGAGGGCTCCACGCCTCTGGCCTGGGACAGGGCCACCGCACTGCAAAGAAATGGGGTCCCCAGGAAAGGGAGCTGCCATGTGCATTGCAGCCCCAGGCCAGGGCTGGCTCAGCGTGAAGAGTGGCAGAGGCACCAGGCTGGCTTTCCCGCCAGGCAGAGCTGGAGCCTGCAAGCGCCTGGGCCATTAGCATTCATGGCCTGTCGCCTGCCCAGCGCACATCCTTTGTGTGCCTGGAACAAGGGAGCTTTCTTCCAGGGAGGATGGCGCCGAGGCACTCCGGATCCTGCAGGCGAGCTTCCCAGTGGCAATGGGGACCAGTGGGCCTTGGCCCTCCCTTTGGTTCATGCACCCATAGCTCTGGAAAGAGAAGAAAATGTTATTTTTGCAGAAGATGCCTCAGTGCCTGGGAAGAAGAAGAGGGCTGTGGATTTATTTTATTCTGCAGATTGGAGGGGATAGGGCCTGCAGATCCCCAACATCAGGACCCCGGGGTCCCTGGCTCTACCAGGCAAATAGTCCATGTTAGTAGCCTCCTGGGAAGGAGCATTTTTCCTGAGGGCAGAGGTGAAGGCTGAGGCCCCCAGCGATGGGCGATGGCATTTCAACCTGTCCTTCTCAAACAGGGCAGAAAGAGGGACTCATGAGAAAGATGATGTTGGGATTTCTGCTCAGAAACCTCACTACCCCACCGAAGGAGGGCTGAGGGCTCCCTCCCACCCAGCACTGGGATGCCAGGGCAGGTCACTGAAAAGGGCAGCCCTTCCTGGAGTTTGGATGCAGCTCCAAAAGCTCCTGGGAATTCCCGTGCTGCCTGAGCAGTGCTGTAGGCAAAGCCCCCATGGTCCATACTTGAGAGTTCAGATATAGGCTAGACATGGTTTCTGGTAGAAAGGAGCTTATTATTATTATTATTATTATTATTTTTAGAGATGAAGTCTCAGTCTGTCTGTCACCCGGGATGGAGTGTAGTGGTGCCATCATAGCTTGCTGCAGCCTCCCACGTCTGGGCTCAAGCAGCCTTCCCCACCTCAGCCTCCCAAGTAGCTGGGACCCCAGAAACCCTGGGACCCCACACCTGGCTAATTTTGCTGTGTGGTTTGTGCTTGCACCGGTGCCTCGGCCTCCCTTTGTAGGTCTCCTTGCCACGTTGGGACCCTCCCCGCGGGGCTCACCCGCCAGAGGGGCTAGAAGCAGGGACCCCAGAAACCCCAGGACCCCACACCTGGCTAATTTCAAAAAAAGTTTTTTTAGAGATGGGGGTCTCACTGTGTTGCCTGGGCTGGTCTCCAGCTCCTGGCTTCAAGAGATCCTCCCACTTCAGCCTCCTGAGTTTCTGGGATTACTGATGCACACTACCATGCCCCACCTGCTAGAAAAGAGTTTAGAGTAGGAGACCCAACTGGATATAAAATAGCTGGAAAGACAGATGCCCTGTTGTAGGACAGGTTAAGCATCTGTAGCTCCACCACAGAGCTGTTAGCATGGCACAGTTGCCCGGTCTGAGTCTGGGATCCTGGCAATAGGTGTGCTTAGCACCACGCCTGGTATGTGCCACGTGCCCACTAAATGGTAGCGGTTGTTAACCCTGACTGCTGCGTCGAAGACAGTTTCATGGGAAGAACAGCTTGCCCCCTGCGTCCAGAGGACAATTAGACCTTTTCCAAGTGTCTAACAGGCCCCTCAAACATGGCCAAGACTTGAGGATCTGGCCCCAGTTCATCCCTTATGGAGTCATCCCACCTCTGGAAATACCCCTGCCATCTATCCTGATGTTCAGCCAAAAACTGGAGGCCATTTTTTCCTTCTCTCTTTTGCCAACCCCCACATCAGATCTCATCAGCAAGCCTTGTCAACTCTACATCCAAAAAGCATGCTGCATCCCCCAACTCACCATCTTCCCCTTGCTCTACCACAGCCGTGGTTCAAGCCACCTTACTCTCTCCAGTTCCTGAGCAGCTGCTGATGGATTTGCTCCACTCGAAGCCCTATAATCAGAGCGTGCTGATTAAAACCCCACTCTGTCAGGCCAGGCTCTCTGGGAAGCAGAAGGCAGGATGCAGTTGGAAAGGAAAGGAGTTTACCAGGGGAGACCTGCAGAGTATGCAGAAGAGAGGAAGCACAAGGAGGCAGGGAGAGCCTTCAGACCAGCATGTGGGTCTGACCCCCGGAGAAGAGAGAGCTGAAGGAAAGAAGAGAGGGTAGGAAGAGCTTCAGGCCACACTGCAGCTCTGAGAAAGCCCAGCCAGACCAGCAAGGAGCTTCCCAACGGAGTCCGGGCTCATGCACCCCCGTAGAGATTGGTCTTTGGGCGGAGTATGGCCGCAGGTCGAACACTGCAGGAGGATCTTGGTGGCACTGCACTTGGAGGCTGTCCACTGCCTGCTCTGGTCCCAGCAGGTCCTCTCTTGAAGTGGGAGCTGAGCAGTGCCCCCATGGCTCCCACATTCACCATTGGGTTCCCCTTGCCCTTGGGGCAATATAACCTGGCTCACAGAACTCCTACCTACCTTAGTGCCCTCACCTTCCCCGCCCTGCAGTGGGGAAGTGCTCCAACCCCAGATCCTCAAACAAGCCAAACTTCTCCCAATGTTATGGCTTTTCTGTCTGTGTAGATCATTGATCTCCTTATTCCTCCAATGGCTGGCTTCTTCCTGCAATTCAGATCTCAGTTCAGTGTCAGCAGAGCCTTCCCTGGATCTTCCACTCTTATGCACCACCCAATCATTCTCTTTCATAGCATCTTATTTCAGTCTTGCAGAGCCTTTATCATTGTCTGATTTTCTTCCTCCTCCTTCTCTTCTTCTTCCTCCTCCTCCCTTCCCCTCCTCCCCTTCCTCCTCCCCTCCTGCTCTTCCTCCTCCTTCTTCTTCTTATCCTTCTCATTCTCCTCCTCCCCTTCCTCCTTCCCTCCTCTTCTTCCTCCTACTCCTTCTTCTTCTTATCCTTCTCCTTTTTCTCCTTCTCCCTCTCTTTCTCCTCCTTCCTCTTCTTCCTCTTCCTCCTCCTCCTCTTCTTCTTCCTCCTCTCCTTCTTCCTCTCCTTCTTATTCGCCTTCCTTTCCTCTTCTTCCCCTTCTCCTCCCTCTCCCTCTTCTTTTCTTTCTCCTTCTCATTCTTTCTTTCTCCTCCTCCTCTTCTTCTTCATCTTCTCCTTCCTCTTCCTCCTCCTCTTGTTCTTCCCCTTCCCCCCTCCTTATCCTTCTTCTTCTCCTTCTCCCCTTTCTCCTCTTCCTCCTCGTCCTTCTCCCCCCATCCTCCCACTCCTCATTCTTTTCATATGTGTGTATTCAATGTCACTTTTGAGATCAGAGGCCTTCTCCGACTTGTTATCACTGTGATCCTAAAACAGTACTTAATACACAGCAGGCACACAAACACAGGAATACACAGGTGCAAATGCAAGACCTGCAAAAGCTGGAGCACCAGGATTTAGTAGTTGAGTGTTCTGGGCAAGGTTCTGGCAACTTTTCAGATACAAAGAATTGGGTGCTGAAGGTTTGCAGGCTTCTACTCTGCTCTCCTGGGTGCCTTAGGCAAATCTAATAGGAAAACACAGGGTGCCACACACTGAAGGTATCTAAACCTTTATCAGTTCTTTTTCTGTTGATTATACCAGACTACCTGAAACTGCATAATTTACAGAGAAAAATATTATTACTTCTGAGAAGTCCAAAGTCAAGGGACCACATCCCGTGGGGGTCTTCGAGCTGGTGGGGACTCTGCAGAGTCCCAAGGCAGCACAGGGCATCCCATGGTGTGCTCATTATATGGCTGGTGTCCTAACATGCTATACTCAAGTCTTTCTGCCTCTTCTTATAAAGCCTCCAGGTCCACTCCCATAATAACCCATTAATCCATCAATCCTTTAATCCATTATGAAAGCAGATCCCTTATGATTCCATTACCCCTCAATACCGCCAAATTAGGGATTAGGTATCAACATGAGTTTTGGAGGGGCTGTTCAAACCATAGCAATCTTTTAGGGCTGTTAGCCTAACAACTAATGGGATGTGTAGACATGCTAAGGAGGGATGGATCAGAACTTCTTTCCTCAACAGCCCTTCTCTCACAGTAGCTTTTGAAAATCCTTTAGCATAAAAGGTTTGCTTTTGTTGTCTAACTCAAGAGATAGTTTCACCTGTTGGTAATTTAGTTATCAGTGGATTTGGTTCTAGAACATTCTAGTATTGCTTATGGTCTAAATGTTAGTGTCCCCCCAAAATTCATATATTGGAACCTAATGCTCAATGTAATAGTATTGAGAGGCAGGGCCTTTTGGGAAGTGATCACATCATGAGGGTTCCGCCTGCATGAATGGGATTAGTTCCCTGATACAAGAGGTTGAAGGGAGCTTCCTGGCTCTTCTGCCATGTGAGGACACAGCAAAAGGCACCATCTATGAAGTGGAGAGCAAGCCCTCTCCAGACACCAGATCTGCTGGTGCCTTGATCTTGGACTTCCCAGCCTCCAGAACTGTTACCAATAAATTTCCGTTGTTTATAAATTACCCAGTTGAAGGTATTTTTTTACAGCCGCCCAAACAGACTAGAACAAGTAATTTGCCCTGTGGACTTGAGCAAGTCACTGAATCTCTCTCTAAGCTTGTTTCTCCAGCGGCAAACTAAAGGAATGTTTATTTCATTTTTTCTATGTCTTCATGGATAAAGGGAAGATGTGTGAACATTTTATGGGATGCTACTTTTGGGAAGCAGGATCTCATGTATTCTCCCAATCTCATTGCCCTATTGAGGTGGCTGCCATTCTGCCTCTATCTTAATCCTTTCCTAGGGCAGTGGTGGAGATGGGGTAAGAGCTGGACAATAGAGACGGGGAAGAACAAGTCCCCTCCCATGCCAGACTTAAGTTGCTGCAGAGAGAGATACACTCTTCTTTCTTTATTTTTCTTTTCTTTTTTGTTTTTTGTTTTTTGTTTGATTTTTAGAGATAGAGTCATGCTCTATTGCCCAGGATGGAGTGCAGTGGTCTGACCCTAGCTCATTGTAACCTTGAACTCCTGGGTTCAAGCGATCCTCCTATCTCAGCCTTCCAAGTAGCTAGGATTACAAGTCATACAACTAATGCTCGTTATTGCTTTTATTTTTTAATTTTTTGGTAGAGGCAAGGTCTCACTATGTTGCCAAGGCTGATCTCGAACACCTGGCCTCAAACAATCCTCTTGCATCAGCCTCTCAAAGCACTGGGATTATAGGTGTGAGCCACTGCCCCCAGCCTTGAGCTATACTTTTCCAGCATAATTCTTATTTTGTGGGGGCAGTGGGAGGGTCATTCTCTACAAAGTCTTCTTTCTGATATTTACAAATAAATGTTTCCAATTAATATTTATATACCTAAACAAGTAAAACCTCCCCACTGGAACCAAACCCAGCAACAGCCTTAAAAACCCTGAAATTTCCAATTATCCCAAATCCTCTTGACTAGCAGAACACAGCCCTCTCAGCACTGTATGTGCTGTACTAGCGAATCATCCCAAAACTATTACAAAAATCTCAGCCGGGCCGTGGCAGCTGCAGCACAGATGTTCTGCATAGTGGCAGGAGCATTGTTCAGTATCAATAAACACCACCTCTGAGACATAAAACGTGAGAGTTGAGCTAGAAATGGTGATAACAAGAGCCATGAAGACCATTTGCAGGGAAATGGAGTGAGACCCAGGGCTGAGAGGGAACCCCTCCCTCTCCGTGCAGGATGCCCAATTTCAGAGCATGCTGTGATGGGAGCACTAAGGGCTGCCTGGCCCAGTCTCGGATCTGAGTGCTTAATGGCCAGTTTGCTCTTTGAGAGGGGTACCCAGAGCCCAGTGCTATACCTATACCCCACAATTTGTGGTTCCCAAGCCCTGAGCCCACCCTCTGGTGTTTGTCCGCCTAAAGATGTAACTCTGCAAGTGCTGGTTTCTGAAGCGGCTCACGCTGTCCTCAGCTCCAGATGTTGTGGGCTGGCTGTAGCCAGTTTAAAAGCAGTAACTCCTGGCCAGGCATAGTGGCTGACACCTGTAATCATAGCAGTTTAGGAGGCCGAGGCAGGCAGATCACTTGAGGTCAGGAATTCCAGACCAGCCTGGCCAACATGGTGAAATGCTGTCTGTACTAAAAATACAAAGACAACAAAGCTGGGCACAGTGGAAGCCTGTAGTCCCAGCTACTTGGGAGGCTGAGGCACAAGAATCGCTTAAACCTAGGAGGTGGAGGTTGCAGTAAGCTGAGATTGTGCCACTGCACTCCAGCCTCTTCTTCTGGGCCACTCAGGAGAAAATAGGGGATCGGGGCAGAGGTGTTGGCCTGGGCTTCTTGTCCCTCTGATCTTTGACCAGATTCCCATATGTGCGTGTGCCTGCCTGTTTTCTTAGCACTCGTTGAGATATTTCCAGGCCTTATAGAGTTCTCAAGGTGTCACCTCCATTCTCAGAAGACAGGTGCAGCACCTGGAGCCCTGCCCCCTCGTCTGGGCAGGTGTGCTAAGCAGGTGGTGCATCCCCAAGACAGCACCTATTCCTCCCTTCTGAGCACCTCTGCCTCAGGTGAGGCATGCACTGGGGATTCCAGGCTTTCAGGCTTATTAGATTAAATGAGATTGAATTATTAGTGAGACTGGAGGCCGAGGCTGGGCTTGAGGGGAGATCAAGGTTTTGGTGCTGGGCATGGATTGGCTTAAGCCAGAAGCTTCCTCTCCTGGCTCCTGCTAACTGCTCTGAGAATACACATAGGTATTGGAGCCACCCTCCTGGCCCCTGGCCTCACCCCGGGGCCTCACCTTGGGCCTAGAGCTGCGGTGCCCCTTCTTGATCTGTTGCCAAACACCAGCCTTAACCAGGGCTCCGTCAGCCTCTCGGCGTGTGTCCTTTGGGCAGCTGAGGGAACACACCATAACACAAGCGTTTTCCCGAGCCTTTTCAGATTAATAACTGCCATTTAAAAACAATTAGAAGTGATTGATAATTAATTTCAGAAATAGCCCTTGCCAAATAACTCATTAAATGGAATCTCCCTGGTGCCAGTTCTGCTCACTGTCAGGCTTTCAGCCCTCGGGAAAAGGATGCTGAGTTTGATCAAAGTTTCCAGTCGGAATCGTTGCCATCGCCGGCTGCTTTTGTGATCCCTGGGCCATCTGATGTCCCAGCAGAGTCTGGACTCTGCAGGGAACCTGCAGGCTGGGATTGTGGGTCAAGGTAGGGGAGGGTTCCCGCAAGGAGTTGTGGGGAGGGTTTGTGTCTCTCCTTCAGGGACTCAAAGCAAAGCTGAGAAATTCTCCTTTCTATGCGTGTGTCTTCCTGGTCTCTGCTTCCAATTGCTGGGCAAAATGCTGATATGAGAATAAAAATCCAAGCGGCCGGGGCATCTTTCCAATCGTTCAGCATCAGCCCATGGGTAAAGTGGCAGCTGATGCTCCCTGGGGTCTGTGGTTCGCCTGGCAGGATGGGCTATGGGCTTCTGTCCTCTGGAAATTTCTGGCAGGACAGTGATCCTCTGAAGATGGACTTACACCACCAAGTGTCTGCTGACTGGGCGGGTGAGAGTGTGAAATGGGGCTCCACGGAGCTCTGTGGGAGACAGAAAGGAGTGGCGTGGCGGACAACCATTTTCTTCCTTCTCTTTCCAGCTTGGCCAGCGGTTGGCTCTGTTTGTGCCAGATACTGCTTTGCTGTGCCTCCTGGAAGCAAGGCCCCTGTCACTAGCGAGACCCCAGAGACACAAAGAGCTGTGACACAGGCCCCCCGCTTGGGCAGCTCCTGGTCCAGCTGGAGAAATAAGATGTATGCATACGTGAGGAATCAAAACAACAAATGCCCTCCATTGAGGACACCCATTGTGATGTCCCTTGAGGGGTTTGGGTTCTGCTAAAAGTTCAAGAGAGGAAGAAAGCCCGTACTTTGTGATCCTGGAAATTCTTCACACAGGAAATCAGATTTGAGCTTTGTCCTAAAAGCATGGTAGGATTTGGAAGAAGGTGTGTGTGTGTGTCTCTCTGTGTGTCTCTGTGTGTGTATATGTGTATGTGTGTGTGTCTGTGTTTGTATATGTCTATATCTGTGTGTGTATGCATGTGTCTGTATGTGTGTGTATCTGTGTATGCCTGTGGGTATCTGTGTATGCCTGTGTGTATATGTGTTTGCCTGTATGTCTATGTGTGTATGTGTGTGTGCCTGTGTGTCTGTGTGTATGTGAGTCTGTGTGTGTATGTGTTTCTGTTTATGTGTGTATGTGTCTGTGTGCATGTGTGTCTGTGTGTATACATATGAGTGTCTGTGTGTATGTGTGTGTGTCTGTGTGTATGTGTGTGTATGTGTATGTGTGTGTAAGTGTGTATGTGTGTGTGCATGTGTGTATGCGTATGAGTGTGTGTATGTGTGTGTCTGTGTGTATGTGTATATGTGTGTGTATGTGTGTGTGTCTGTGTGTATGTGTGTGTATCTGTGTGTCTGTATGCATGTGTGTGTCTGTGTGTATGTGTATGAGTGTCTCTGTGTGTGTCTGTGTATATAAGTGTGTGTCTGTCTATGTGTGTCTGTATGTGTCTGTGTGCATGTGTGTGTCTCTGTGTGTGTATGTGTATGAGTGTGTGTATATGTGTTTATGTGTGTCTGTGTATATACGTGTGTGTCTGTGTGTATATGTGTGTGTGTTTATATGTGTGTATGTGTGACAGGGATAGAGAAGTATAAGTGCCCATGGGGACAGCACAGGGTGCGTCAGGGTTGTGGGTTCACCTGTTGGGGGGGTGTGAGGAATGGTGGGAATCCGGCTGGAGAGGTGGGTCAGGGTCAGCCCATGGAGGGCCTTGGAAGGTGGACTTTAATCTGACAGAAACCTTGTTTGGAAGGAAGTGATGAGATCAGGATGTGATTCCAGGGCTCTTTCACTGGAAGGGACCATAGAGAAGCGTCTGCCAGCCTGATGTGTGATGCATCAGGGCACTCTGGCTATGGGGCGCAGGATGGATTATTGACATGCACAACAGTCTCCTCAATCTGCAACTCTGAGCTACTGAAGGACACACTGCACCCCCAAAAGCTACTGTTCAGTATTACGCTACAAATGACATAAAAACCTAAAATAATAATGCCTTAAGGTTTATTTGTTCTCACATTCTGAAAGTTCAGGGGTTGGCAGTTTAGAGATGATATGGTATTCTGTGGCCCTGGCGATCCATATGCTTCCAGCTTGTGGATCTGCAGTGCATGCCTTTTATTCCCAACAGCTTCTCATGGTCCACGATGGCTGCTGCAACTCCAGCCTTCACGTTCCCATTCCAGGCAACAGGAAGGAGGAAGGGATGAAGCAGGAAGAGAATGGAAGACTAAACAGGGTCATCAATTCCTTCACACTTTTTCCATTGACAAGTGGAGTCTATGTCTCCTCATCTTGAATCTGTCTGTGACTACTTGGTTCACTGGAAGGTGGCAGAAGTGATGTTACACCAGTTTCCAAGTTCATGTCTTAAGAAAATGGCAGCTTCCACACTCTTTAGGAACATTCTCTCTGGAAACCGTGAGGTGCCATGTGATGCACCTGACCACCCTTCCAGCCATCCCCATTAAAGTGCCAGGGATGTGCATGAAGCCATCTTGGCCCCTGTAGACCAGCCCATCCATCATCTATCACCAAGTGACCTCAGTAGAGGAAAAAATCATATCACCTCTTTGAGTCCTAGCCAAGTTTCTGACCCAGAAAATTGTGAAAAACAGTAACAATGACTGGCATTTTAAACCACTAAGTAATGGAATTTTGAACGTTAAGTTTTGCAGCAATAGATAACCTGAAGAGAATTTGCTAGATGGAAGTGGATTGCTGCTATAACAGAAACCTAACACATGGCCTTGGTTTTGAGATGAGGCACTGGGCAAAAGCTGAGGGGACCTCATGAAGATAGTTTTTTGTTGTTTTGTTTTGAGACAGGGTCTCATTCTGTTGCCCAGACTGGCATGCAGTGGTGCAATACTGGTTCAGTGCAACCTCCATCTCCCAGGCTCAAGCAATTCTCCTGCCTCAGCCTCCCAAGTAGCTGGGATTACAGGCATGTGCCACTACCACCTGGCTAATTTTTTTTTTTTTGTACTTTTAGTACAGATGGGGTTTCACCATGTTGCCCAGGCTGGTCTGAAACTCCTGACTTCAAGTGATCCAGCCGCCTCGGTCTCCCAAAGTGCTGGGATTACAGGTGTGAACCACCATGCCCGGCCAAAGATTGTTAATAAAAGCTGGAAGGACTCCAAAGATTCTGTTCACAAGAGCTTAGAGGAGAGTGAGGAAAACATCACTGGAGGCTGAACAGAAAGCTTGGACACACTGTCACCTGTGGTAAACTGGAAAATAGGAAAGTACCTGATGAACTCAGAGGTCTTCAGAGAAGAATCCAGGCAGAGATAGAAGACACTGCTGGCTTCTCATACCTGCCTATGATAAGCTATAGGAAGAAAGAGTGAACTAAGGAAAGAACTACCAGGGTGCAGAGCAGAGCTCAGAGCGAGTGCAAAGGAGCCAGGACCTTCCGGGTGTGATAACAAACCTGTTTCTCATCTCCATCCTGTCTCAGCAAAAGTGTCACAGTAAGAAATGGCTTCAGGACAAAGATCAAATCTTTGTACAGAATGACCTTGGAGTGAAGATTTCATTGAGTATGACTGTAAGACTTTAATAACTGCCAAAATATTTAAGGATATGATATGCCTGGATACTGGAAGGTGGGGGCTTCTAAGAGTCTTAAAGGCATGCTTTACAGACTTTCTCAGACAATACAGCTTTAAAGAATTTAAATGCTATTAGCATTGCTCACAATAGCTTTGCCTATTGCTAAAGGTGGAGAAAGATCTGACATGGAAAGAAATGTGACTTTTCTTTAATGGAATTGACCACTGATTGGTATATGGGTAACCCACGAAGTTTTTAAGGGAATTGTATCAGCTTGGACTAAAAGGATAAATGTAGTACAAAATGAATTTTATCCTGCTGGAATGTTGAGCCTTTTATTTCCAACAGCTTCTCATGGTCCAAGATGGCTGCTGCAACTCCAGTCTTCACATTTCCATTTCAGGCAACAAGAAGGAAGAAGGGATGAAGCAGAAGAAGTATGGAAGACTAAAGAGAACCATCAATTCCTTGACACTATTTCTATTGACAAGTGGAGTCTATGTTCCCTCCTCCTGAATCTGTGACTACTTTGTCCACTGGAAGATGGCAGAAGTGATGTTATACCAGTTTCCAAGCTCAAGTCTTAAGAAAATGGCAGCTTCCACACTCTTTAGGAACATTCTCTCTGGAAGCCATGACCTGCCATGTGATGCACCTGACCACACAGCTAACAACATTCCAGCAGGAATCCAGCTCAGCTGGGAACAGTCTGAGAAGAATACTTCTCTGTGAAGACTTCTTATTTCTTATTTCTTTTTTCAGCTGCCATTTCTTATGAAGAAACTGTCAGGAGCCACTGGGAGTCACTCCCAGAAAGCAAGATTTTGCTTTAATCAAGGAACTGGAGACATGGGCTTGACTGGATTTCCAAATTGCTATGTACCAATCATGGCTAATGCCTCCTTTCCCTGTCTCTTTTGAATAAACAGTGTTAATTGGAGTTTCCCTATCCAGCTATTACCATTGTCGTTAAATGGAGTGTGGGGTGGTAGGGACATGTCATTATTTCTCTACCTCGCAGGTCTTCAGAACAGGCAGAACCAGACTTGTGGAGCTGCTCCTGAAGAAACACACCCAGATGGACCTGGACCTGCTCTAGGAAATAAGATCCTGGACCTTGAACCTGAGCCTGAAGCTGTAATGGGAAGAGACTTGGAAAGGGGAGAGAGTCTTTGTATTTCATATATGGAAATAATGTAAATAATTTTCCATTATTGACAGAGGGCAGCCTTGGTGGATTAAACAGAAGAGTGAGTTCTTTGACACCCACTATGCTTGGGATGTGGATCCCAAACTAACTGGATTTGATGGTGAGAGGTGACAAAGTGCTAGCAGCCCTTGCTCACTCTCGGCACCTCCTCAGGCCACAGTGTCCACTGTGGCCACGCTTGAGGAGCCCTTCAGCCTGCTGCTGCACTGCGGGAGCCCCTCTCTGGGCTGGCCAAGGCCGGAGCCAGCTCCCTCTGCTTGCAGGGAGGTGTGAAGAAAAAGACATGGGTGGGAACTGGGGCTGTGCGCAGCACTCGCAGGCCAGCATGAGTTCCGGATGGGTGCGGGCTCAGTGGGCCCTGCACTCGGAGCGGCTGGCCGGCACTGCCAACCCCGGGCAGTGAGGGGCTTAGCACCTGGGCCAGCAGCTGCAGAGGGTGCGCCGGGTCCCCCAGCACTGCCGACCTGCCCACACCACACTTGAATTCTCACTGGGCCTCAGCTGCCTCCCCAAGGGGTAGGGCTCTGGACCTGCAGCCCGCCATGCCTGAGACCCCTCATGGTGGGCTCCCACGTGGCCTGAGCCTCCCCAACAGGCACTGCCCCCTGCTCCATGGAGCCCGGTCCCATCAACCACCTAAGGGCTGAGGAGTGCAGGCGCTGTGGCGCAGGACTGGTGGGCAGCTCCGCCCGTGGCCCTGGCATGGGATCCACTAGGGGAAGCCAGCTGGGCTCCTGAGTCGGGTGGGGACTTGGTGAACTTTTATGTCTAGCCGGAGGATTGTATATGCATCAATCAGCACTCTGTGTCTAGCTCAGGGTTCGTGGATGCACCAATCAGCACTCTGTATCTAGCTAATCTGGTGGGGACTTGGAGAACTTTTATGTCTAGCTAAAGGATTGTAAATGCACCAATCAGCACTCTGTGTCTAGCTCAAGGTTTGTAAACGCACCAATCAGCACCCTGTGTCTAGCTCAAGGTTTGTAAGCTCACCAATCAGTGCTCTGTGTCTAGCTAATCTAGTGGGGACTTGGAGAACTTTTACATCTAGCTAGAGGATTGTAAATACTCCAATCAGCATTCTGTGTCTAGCTCAGGGATTGTAAACGCACCAATCAGCACCCTGTCAAAATGGACCAATCAGCTCTCTGTAAAACGGACTAATCAGCTCTCCATAAAATGGACCAATCAGCTCTCTGTAAAATGGGCTAATCAGCAGGATGTGGGTGGGGTCAGATAAGGGAATAAAAGCAGGCTGCCCGAGCCAGCAGCGGCAACCTGCTCGGGTCCCCTTCCACACTGTGGAAGCTTTTTTCTTTTGCCCTCTACCATGACTCTTGCTTCTGCTCACTCTTTGGGTCCACACTGCCTTAAAGAACTGTAACGCTCACCGTGAAGGTCTGCAGCTTCACTCCTGAAGCCAGCGACACCACGAACTCAGCAGGAGGAATGAACAACTCTGGACGGGAGGAACGAACAACTCCAGACGATCCGCCTTAAGAGCTGTAACACTCACCGCGAAAGTCTGCAGCTTCACTCCTGAAGCCAGTGAGACCACGAACCCACCAGAAGGAAGAAACTCTGAACACATCGGAACATCAGAAAGAACAAACTCCGGACACACCATCTTTAAGAACTGTAACACTCACCGCGAGGGTCTGCAGCTTCATTCTTGAAGTCAGCAAGACCAAGAACCCACCAATTCCGGACACAATGGGGTTGCATTTGAGGCAACTTTATAGCCCAGTTTAAATGTAAATGAAAGCATTATAGGTTAATCCTTGAGGTCTATCAATAATATAGATCTTCAGTTCTAGAAAATCCAAGCTGGGCTCTGAGAGTCGTAAGTCAACAACATTGCATACAGAAGAAACAGAGAGAGAGAGAGAGAATCACCAAACCGAAGAATGACGGATGGACTTCACTGTGGTATGAAGGTAAAATATAAAACGAAATTAAAAAAAAAAGAGTGACCAAGCCCCAGGTCTGCGTGTGCCCAGCTCAGCTTTCCACTGGGGCTCCAGGGGGTGCCCCTCACTGGGGAAGGTGACTCAACCTAATAGACCCTGCTTTGATCGTTGAGGAACCGCATACATGGAAGTCCAGCAGCAGGGGTTTGAGAGCTGCAGGCAGGAAGCAGAGAGCTAGGGAGCAGGTAATGAGATGGGGTTCCTGCTATGGGCTGGGGTTTCCAGCCCCCCTGAGCTGTTCCCACGGGAGGCCCCATGTGAAGCACCACATGGAGGTTGCCCCGGGGCTGGGGACCTTTGTGTAACCCTGCCACGAAGTCCTCTTCTGTTCCATCACTCTGTACTCTCACCTTATGTTTTTCTTGTAGCTCTCTGGCTGCACCAATTTTTTTTTGAGACAGGGTCTTGCTGTCACCCAGGCTGGAGTGCAGTGACACAATCATAGCTCACTGCAGCCTCAAACTTCTGGGCTCAAGTGATCCTCGTGCCTCAGCCTCTCGAATAGCTAGGACCACAGCAGGCACGCCCCTCTCCCTGCTAATTGTGTGTGTGGTGTGTCTGTGTTTGTAGAGATGGGAGCCTTGCTATGTTGTCTATACTAGTCTGGAACTCCTGGCCTCAAGCGTTCCTTCTGCCTTGGTCTCTCAAAGTGCTGGGATTACAGGTGTGAGCCACCATGCCCAGTCCTGCACCCAATTTTATCTGCTCTTCTGTTCTTCTAAATTAATGCTAATCTCGGTGTCCAAGCCACTGTTTAGAAATGATGATTACACCAAGATTCCAAGTCACGGCCTATGTGAATTCCACTGTGGAGGAGGGTGATCACATGCAGGAGACAATCCCTGAATGCTGTTTTAGCCACTTTGGCCCAGAAATTCCCTGTTGCACACTCTCCATTTGCCAGAAATTTGGTTACTTGTTTAAACTCTTAAGTAACTGAACTAAATGGATTCTATTACATACAATCATAATTGCTTCAAATTAAACAATAAAAACGTTTTACTGTTTTTCTACACCCTAGGTATTATAAAGAAAGTGTAAAGCAAAGGGTGCCAGTTTAAGCGCCTGGAGCTAAGGTTCCTTTTGGGGAGAAAAGCTGGAGTTGTCAAATATGCAGATGCGAGTGGTGGTTGTTTTTCCCTATTGTGGAAGTGTGACAACCCAGGACTGTGGCCACAAAGGAAAGATGGAGGAGAACGAGGAGGCGGGAGAGCTGTTCCTGCTAGCAAGCGGTCGCGTTAAGAATTGGCCCACAAGTCTGGTCTTTATTTTGCCTTCATAATTTTTTCCTAAAATGAACAAATGCCCTGCTATAGAAATGCCAAGCATTTTCCAAATGACATTTCAGGTGGAGTCCATTGAACTGCATTTCTGAAAAAGTACTTAAAACCGAACTTCAGAAGCAGATGTCAGCATTTTGGACCCTCCTGACATGATTAAAGGTGCAGGTGGCAGCTGGCGCTGGGGAGGGGACAGGGCGGGAGCTGGCACAGGCCAGGAGGCAACACGGTTCATCATTCTCCCTAAAACAACCAGCACAGTTAAGGAAGTTGGGGAAAGAAGGGCCATAAACTTGAAAACACACATTTTTACTTAAAATTAGGTGTGAGCTCCCATTATAACAGGTAAACAAATGATCCCAGGCTGCCACTGCTGAAGAAACTCCCCTCCCTCTGCCAGCTCTGTGCTGATGCAGTGACCCTCTTGGGCTGCAGCAGATGAGCCCATGTCTCTCACTCTCCCTTGGGTTGGTCTCCCAAATCTGGATTATGTCCAGGGATCTCAAGCTCCGATCATTCTCTCTGGATCTCTGGGTCTCAGACAGAGTGTGCAGTGGAGCCCCAAAGCAGTCACATGTCACCTTGGGTTGGGGAAGACCAAGGGTCCCAGCCTCCTGGTGTCTCTGCTCACATTTTCACCCTGGCTGCCTCCATGGGCTGTCCTATCCCCTGACAGTGCTACCGGCAGGGTCCTGCCTGGAACAAGGGGCCTCTCTGTAGATCCCATTTCAGGAAGAAACGTGGCCTCTCCCCTAATTGTAGGGGTGGAAGCAGAAAGGCAACCACAGGCCTTTTGTTGGCCAACAGAAAGGCTGAAGTTTGGTTCTCCCTGGTTGCATTTCAAAGAAGTCTAAAAAAAAACCCCCTCATTTTGCCTAAGTGCTGCCTTCACATCGTGAACATGGACACTTTTATTTGTCTCTGCCCACTGGTTTCTCCACCCCACCTGCTTCTGAGGTGGTCGAATGGGAAAATTACTCATGTCCTGCTAATCAGTTCCAGGGTCAGGCACAGGACGGTGAACGGGGCCAGTTACCGCAAGAGCTGATGAGCGCTTTATGACATGCTCCTCCAGAGGGCCGTGAACCTGGGGCCGCTCTCAGCTTCCAGTTAGGGCCTGGGCTGCAGCTGAGTGCCTTCTGGGGAGCTCTGATTCTGGGCTCACCTGGGGCTCATTTGAATGAGAACCACTAGAATAGCTTTCTACTTAGACCTGCAATTGGTGGCCAGGGTCTAATCTGGGGTAGGAAGAAGCTGTTTCTCACCACCCCCATCAGATGCTGGTGAGCCCGGCAGGACCATGGGGTGGTACATGACTCAGCTGGATTATGTGTTCAAAGGAGTATTTGATTTATTAAAGTTTGAAAATGTAAAAACCTAGTCTTTCTTATGCTTTTAAGTCCAGCTGACAATAAATCTAGGAAGTGACAGCATTCGTTTTCAGCTTCAACTCTTTGATCCCATTTTGAGCTGTCATCTCACCCAGATGGTCCATTTAAAGGCTTGGAAGCCTTCGTGGGTCCTACCTACTATTCTTAGCTTTCTCTGCAATTTGGTCCAGGCGGCAATTCGCATCTCTATCTCCCTTTCCGGCCAAATGCCTCATCATCGTAGAGGAAGATAAATGGCTTAGGAAACACTCAGGGTTCAAACGTGAAGTTACCTCAATTGTAAATATTGAGGCTTGGTTCTCAGTAATTTCCAGTTGCCATGTGTGCTTTGACTACGTGGCAGATGAGTCCAGGGAAAGGTGTGTCTTTCACCACGCCTGGCAGAACATTTCGGGGAGAGTGCCTCTCTGTCTCTCTGTGTCTCTCCTCTTGGCTCACTCTTCATCTGGAAGGCAGGTTAACGTGGACCACAGACACCACACACCTTGTCCTTAGGAGCCCCACAGTCCATCCAGGCACCCATGTCTGTCCATGGCAGAGCTGACCTCAGGGTCCGGTGGCCCCAGTCTCATCTCAGGCCTGGGCTCAAAGTGAGTTGACTCACTCACCTGGTGCTCCCCTGTCTTCTACTCAGCCATGCCATCGGAGCCTCCCCATCTTGACCTTGACTCGAGCTGTCATTTAGAACTTATCATCAGCACATAGCTAGACTTTTAGGATTCCTCCAGTCACATATTATATATATTTTTTATTGACGGATACTTCCATGAAAAGTGCTTTTTCAGGTATGACTTGGAAGAGAAATTTATTGCAGGAAAGTTAGGAAACCTTCCAACTTTAAACACACGTGCACACACACACACACACACGCTTCATGAACTTTTTCAATAATAGATGATTAAAGAAGTCTGTGGAGAGTTCTTAATGAGCTCCTTCTATGTTGTCTAGGAGCAATGATCGTTAAAATGATCGGGGGGAATTGAATTATAAATTAAAGGTGTCCAGGGTGTCCCTGATCATTTACGGGCCTGAACCCCACTAATAACACGGGGCTGGGGCTGAGTGGCCTTCATCCGGCTTGTTGAAAACCAGTAGTTGTGTAAGACTCTGACTAGTTAATTTGAAAGCTCCCCTTTGGGATCGATATATTTAATTTCAAGACCTTAATTCATGAGAAAGTTTATTCAATGAGAAACAGGCACGGGGCATTGAGCAGAGCAAAGAGAAGTGTCCACCAGGCCCGCTGCACCAACGCTGCGTCTTTAACAGCTCTGGGGCTGGGCGCGTCATGGCTACGAGAAAGCGCATGACCACTTCCCTGTTTGGTTTGGTTTGTGTTGTGTGTCAGGGCGCAGGGGTTTCTGCTTTCACTCAAGTTAATTTATTTTCCTTTTCCTTGGTAATTGTGAAAAAACAAAATAAAACCTCCTGTGAGCCTTTTGGAACTTCTGGAAAAGTCCCTTTGCTGTGAACCGCTGACTCTGAGAAGAGCTTTGAGCAGGGCTGGAAACCATTTTTCTGCAACCTTTTCTTTCCTGGGGTATGTCTGGGTGCACACAGGCTCCCCACAAGGCAAAGGCTGTCCCTGGATGGTTGGCAAAATGCGCCACACCAGAGTGGGTTTGTGTTGGCAGGAGGCATGAGAAAACCTTGCTGATGGCAGGGGAGGACGGCGACACCACGATGGGAACAAAATCCTCCTCCTTACCTCTAATTACAAAGAGGAAAAAGTCACTGAAAAAAAAAGTTTAAAATGTCTTAATATAAGAGTCATATATAATCCAAAGCTACCAAAGGCCAAGTGTTTAGGGGGAAGTTTCTGGTGGTTAACCCCACTTCAGGGGGATTTAAAGTGGTTGTGGTGAGGATTTGGTTCCAGGTATGCGTCCTGCCAACCTGGGTGGGTGTTCCCTTTGGTGGAGCCTCTTGAAAAATGAGGGAGTGGCTGGGTGCAGTGGCTCATACCTGTAATCCCAGCACTTTGGGAGGCCGAGGCGGCCAGATCACCTGAGGCCAGGAGTTCAAAACCAGCCTGGCCAACATGGTGAAACTTCAGCTCTACAAATATACAAAAATTAGCTAGGCATGATGGCAGGCTCCTGTAATCCCAGCTACTTGGGACGCTGAAGCAGGAGAATCTCTTGAACCCAGGAGTAGGAGGTTGCAGTGAGCTGAGATTGTGCCACTGCATTCCCGTCTGGGCGACAGAGCAAGACTCCATCTCAAAAAAAAAAAAAAAAAAAAGAGGGAGTGGCTGGGTGCAGTGGCTCATGCCTGTAATCCCAGCATATTGGGAGGCCAAGGAGGGAGGATTGCTTGAGCCCAGGAGTTCCAGATCAGCCTGGGCAATGTGGCAAAACCCGGGCTGTACAAAATCCATAAAAATTAGCGGGGCATGGTGGTGCGCGCCTGTAGTTCCAGCTACTTGGGAGGCTAAGGTGGGAGAGTTACTTGAGCCTAGGAGGTTGAGGCTGCAGTTAGCCATGATTGTACCTCTGTACGCCAGCCTGGGTGACAAAGCAAGAGCCTGTCTCAAAACCAAAACCAAAACAAAAAACAAAACAAAACAAAAAAACAAATGATGGAGAGTTTTTACTAGGATTGGTCTGATCAGGGTAGACACTGTGCCTTCAGCCTCCCTCTCTGGCTCACTGCCAGCATGTTCTTGGCTCTCTGGTCTGACTCCATCAGTGGCCCCCATGGATACCCAGTCTCCTTCTGGGGCTCAAATCCTAATGCCTGTCAGACGTTGGATGCTGCCCTAGTGGGATGGCCTTGCAGACTCATTCTCTCTGCAGAGCTCTCTGGGTCTGCTTGGGCCATGGAAGGCATGCAAAGTCCTTGTGATGTGAGGCCGATTATGGCTCAGAATCTTCCAGACACTGAACTCTGCATGGCTCCCCGAGTGCAGAAACTTACCATATCTTTAGAATTCCTGTCTTTTGTTTTTCTACATTAGTACAGTTGCACAGCCCTCAGCCAGACCTTGAGAAGGTGGGAGGTGATGGAAGAAAGCTCTTCCATGGAAGCTGTGTGTACTACAGGAGGACCTTGAGGTTAATAAATGTCACTCCACATCAGCATGGACCTCTTAGACAGGTAGGAGAGATCTAAGTGGTCCCTTGGCCCTCTCATTTCAATATCTACGACATCACCTTGACCACCCCAGAACTCTCATCTTCTGAAGTCCTGCCTTGTCTGTTGCCATAGCTAGCTGTCTTAGTGGGCTCCTATAACAAAATGCCATAGGCTGGATGGCTTGCAAACAACACAGCTGGCCTGCACGGTGGCTCATGCCAGTAATCCCAGCACTTTGGGAGGCTGAGGTGGGAGGATCACTTGAGGTCAGGAGTTTGAGACCAGCCTGACCAACATGGACAAACCCCATCTCTACCAAAAAATACAAAAATTAGCTGGGCATGGTGGTGTGCACCTGTAGTCCTAGCTACTGGGGAAGCTGAGGTGGGAGGATAGCTTGAACCTGGGAGGTGGAGGTTATAGTGAGCTGAGGTTGCACCGCTGTACTCCAGCCTGGGTAACAGCGTGAGATCCTGTCTCAAAAACAAAACAAAACACACACACACACACACACACACACACACACAATTTATTTCTCGTGATTCTGGAGCCTGGGAAGTCCCAATCGAGGCCCCAGCAGATTCTGTGTCTGGCGAGAGTTTGCTCTCTAGTTCACTGACAGCCACCACCTTCTTGTTGGGTCCTTACATGGTGTAAAGGATGAGGTAACACTCTTTTTATAAGAGAACTGATATAGTTTGTTTCTCCAAACCTCACATTGAAATGTGATCCCCAGTGTTGAAGGTGGGGCCTGGTGGGAAGTGGTAGGTCCTGGGAGCAGATCCCTCATGAATCACTTAGTGCCCTCCCTGTAGTAATGAGTGAGTTATCGTTCTATTGGTTCATGCAAGAGCTGGCTGTTTAAAAGAGTCTGGCACCTCCTCCCCACTGTCTTGCCATGTGACACACAGGCTCCTCCTGCACCTTTCAGTATGATTGGAAGCTTCCTGAGGCCTCACCAGAAGCAGATGCCAGCACAATGCTTCTCATACAGCCTGCAAAACTATGGGCCCAAATCAACCTCTTTTTTTTTTTTTTTTGGAGGTGGAGTCTTGCTCTGTTGCTCAGGCTGGAGTGCAGGGGTGTGATCTAGGTTCAGTGCAACCTCCGCCTCCCGGGTTCAAGTGATTCTCCTGCCTCAGCTTCCCGAGCAGCTGGGATTACAGGCATGTGCCACCACGCCTGGTGAATTTTTGTATTTTTAGTTGAGACAGGGTTTCACCATATTGGTCAGGCTGGTCTGGAACTCCTGACCTCAGGTGATCTACCACTTTATAAATTACCTAGCCTCAGGTATTCCGTTATACCAATGCATATAGATGTATACAGACCAAATCCCTTTCACGAGGTTTCTGTTCTCATGACTCAATCCCCTCCCAAAGGCTCCCCTTCCTAATACCATCCCCTTGGGGGTTGAATGTCAGCATTTGAAGTTTGGGGAGCATTCAGACCATGGTGCTACCCATGGGACTGTTTTCTCATGGGATCTGGCACTGTCTGGGGACTGTCATATCTTTCTATGAGACCATGTCCTGCCCATTTTTTTGTTGTTCCCTCACCTTCTCCTCTCAACCTCATAAGACCTGGTCCAGTCTTCTGCATACCCACTTCTAGAAAGCATTTAAGGTGATTCCTAAGATAAAGAAAATAGAGTGAGATGAGAGAAATAATTTTCAGATTAAATAAATTCTAGTTCTTTCTAGATCTGAGAACCTAAAAGTTGATGCCTACAAGATGCCTTCCACATAGAAATACACACATGAGGCTGGGCACAGGGGCTTACGCCTGTAACCCCAAAATTTTGGGAGACTGAGGCAGGTGGATCACTTTAGGTCAGCAGTTCGAGACCAACTTGGCCAACATGGTGAAACCCTGTCTCTGCCAAAAAAATACAAGAATTACCTGGTTGTGGTGGCGAGCACCTGTAGTCCCAGCTATTCAGGAGCCTGAGGCAGGAGAATCACTTGAACCTGGGAGGCGGAGGCTGCAGTGAGCCGAGATCGTGCCACTGTACTCCAGCCTGGGCGACAGAGCAAGACTTTCCATCTAAAAAAAAAAAAAAAAAACAACCAAGAAAGAAATACACACGAGTGCATCAAAAGCTCAGAAATCACCACTAAATAACTTTTCTATGTAGCCCCAAACCACCTGTTCACCAAAAACTATTGAAAAAAAATTTTAAAAATGAAATTAACAGAACAGTGTCAGGGTTTGAGATGTTTGACTCTGATGTTGAAAGAAGCTCTACCATGGGTAAAATGCTATCAGACAGCATCACCTGCTACAGGGAGATCTTTCACGAAAGGAAGAGTCAGTCGATGTGGCAAACTTCATTATTGTCTGATTTTAAGAAATTGCCACAGCCACCCCAAACTTCAGCAGCCACCACCCTGATTACTCAGCAGCCATCAACATCGAGACAAGACACCCCCACCAGAAAGAAGATTGCATCTTGCTGAAGGATCTGATGACTGTGAGCATTTTTAGCAATAAAGAAGGTCCAGGGTCTGGCACTGCACACTTGGTTATATGGAGATGCTTGTTTTTCTCCAGTTTCATACATGCAAATCTTTTTTCACTCGCTGGATTATTTATACAGCACTTAGAGAGAGGTGTCCCGAGCTACATTTGCATCCATCATAAGGCATACCAAAACTTGGGCCTACAGGAGGTGTGCAATCCAACCTTTGGCCTGATGGAAGCCCTGCCTTGAAACTGAAAGTTGCCCAGAAAGGTTACGGGAAATGCTATAATGTTTTCATTACTCATTCCCTTGCTGCATGCCCTTAAGTCTTTTAGAATGTTTGTATTATTTTATGGAATATCCAATTTCTGCACCAGTTAGGGATCTAGATTACAAGTGCAGAAACTAACTCTGGTGAGTTTATAAAGAAAGACATTTAATGGGAAGATGTGAGGTGCCTGACAGCATCTGTGGGAGGTGTTGAGAGCCACACTCTGGAAATAAGCAGCAATGAGGGGCTAGGGGAGCAAGTTCACTCTGCAGGGACTTGGTCCCGTTGTGGGTGTTTATTTCCATAATCGGGTCCTTGTCGTAGCCATCCTGGAGTCACAAAACTGCCATTTCCACAGCACTCTCTCAACCAGCTCAGTGGTGGGGCTCACCCCTTCAAGAGTTAAACCTGGGGTTTCAGTCAATGCCTTAAGAAGCAAACTTAGTGGCCAGGCACGGTGGCTCACGCGTGTAATCCCAGCACTTTGAAAGGCAGAGGCAGGCAGATCACTTGAAGTCAGGAGTTCGAGATCAGCCTGGCCAACATGGTGAAAACGTGTCACTACTAAAAAAAAAACAAACAAAAAACAAAAAAATTAGCCGGGCATGGTGGGGGGGCACCTGTAATCCCAGCTATTCAGGAGGCTAAGGCAGGAGAATCGCTTGAACCCAGGAGGCAGAGGTTGTAGTGGGCCAAGATCGTGCCATTGCACTCCAGCCTGGGCCATAAGAGCAAGACTCTGTCTCACACACATGCACACACACAAAAAGAAGCAAAGTTAGTGATTTAACTTTGTTTTCCTCTCACATAAACTGTCCAATTCTATTATAGGCAGCCACCTCATCCTAGAATCCCTGAAATCCTTCGTGTCCTGCACATCATTCTGTGGCAGACTCAGCCCAGTCCCCCAAGCCCTGCCCTCAATAAGCACTTCAATCAGATGACCTCAGGTCATAATTTAGCTAGCTATTTCCCCACTGGGCTTTAGATTCCCATCTCAGTGTAAGGGAATTTTTCTGTCCTCAGCCAGATAACAGTCCAGCTTTCCCCTGGAGTTGGTTATGGGCAGCCCACTCACAGTTAGCAATGTCTCTTCTGCTAGATTGTAAACTTCGTGGGGGCAGGAGCTTCATCAGTCTTATTCATTAGTGTGGGTGGTGCCATTGGCTAGAATATTGTGAGACATGCAATAGGTATTTGATCAATGTGTTGAATAAATGATTTGAATAGCATTCTGCATCACAGAACTATACTTAGGAAATTATTTACTGGAATTCTAAAATCCTCTATGTATAGCCAAATCAAAGAGCACATATATAGTTTATATTTTTTCTTTCTTTCTTTCTTTTTTTTTTTTTTTTGAGACAGATTCTCACTCTGTCACCCAGGTTGTAGTGCAGTGGTGCGATCTCAGCTCACTGCAATCTCTGCCTCCTGGGTTCAAGTGATTCTTGTACCTCAGCCTCCTGAGTAGCTTAGACTACAGGTATGTGCCACCATACCCTGCTAATTTTTGTACTTTTAGTAGAGTAGAGACAGAGTTTCACCATGTTGGCCAGGTTGGTCTTGAACTCCTGACCTCAAGTGATCCACTCACCTCAGCATCCCAAAGTGCTGGGATTACAGTCATGAGCCACTGAGCCCAACCTCAAAGCACACAGATATAGTTTCTTTTCTTTTCTTTTTTTTTTTTTTTTTTGAGATGAAGTCTCACTGTGTCACCCAGTGTGGGGTGCATTGGCATGATCTCAGCCCACTGCAACCTCCGCCTCTCTGGCTCAAGCCTCAGCCTCCTGAGTAGCTAGGACTACAGGTGCTTGCCACCATGCCTGGCTAATTTTTATATTTTCAGTAGAGATGGGGTTTCACCATGTTGGCCATGCTGGTCTCAAACTCCTGATCTCAAGTAGTCTGCCTGCCTCGGCCTCCCAAAGTGCTGAGATTACAGACATGAGCCATCGCACCTGGCATAGATATCGTTTCTAAGGGAGCAGTAGCATCATAGGCAAGCAGGACACATGGTTCTCTGTTAAAGGCCGGAGAGCCGCCATCCCTGGCTGTAATGTCTGGACCCACCACTGCTTCAAATCGGTGATTAAG
Source organism: Homo sapiens (assembly GCF_000001405.40). NCBI lineage: Eukaryota > Metazoa > Chordata > Mammalia > Primates > Hominidae > Homo > Homo sapiens. The sequence goes on along the minus strand of NC_000010.11, from coordinate 30,757,523 downwards.
GAAAAGGTGGGTTTGATTGCTTGAACCCATCCATGCTAACTTGGGCAAAAAGGTCCCAAGATCTGGGTTTCTTGGTCATCAGTGAAGTGGATTCAGACACAGCCTGGACCTGTTCACTCAGGTAGAAACTCTTCATGCTGAGTTATGTCCACTGAATGACCAACTGGAATCCCCAAAAGATACAAGTCTGTGAGTATTTGATACAGCAATTACCTGCATGGCATTGCTTAGAAATTTTTGTAGATAAATGATGGATTGAAGCGTTTTGTTGAGTCTTTGCTGAATGTTTATTTACAAGGTATTTCTTAGAAATTATCCTAACAAAACTCCACCAGTTCTGAAGACACATTTATTTATCTACTACTAAGTACTAACAATACAAATAATGTTCACAGTAGTTTATTTGTTGTTACGCAACTTCTTCATTTCTGGGGAAATAGTGAGACAAGTACTTCCCAAGGGCAAGTTAGTATATGTTAACGCATCTCCATAGAAAGATGCTTATTGGTCAAATGGATCACAACCAAATTTAGAGAGTCTCAGACAAAATTGACCTGAAAGGGAATGATATACTTAGGCTTTGTGTCCCCACCCAAATCTTATCTTGAATTATAATCTCCATAATCTTGGTAATCCCCACATGTCCAGGGAGAGACCGGGTGGAGGTAACTGGGTCATGGGGACAGTTTCCCCCATGCTGTTCTCGTGATAGTGAGTGAGTTCCCATGAGGTCTGATAGTTTTATAAGGGGCTCCTCCCCATTTGCTTGGCACTTCTTCTTCCTGCCACCTTGTGAAGAATGTACCTTGCTTCCCCTTCGCTTTCTGCCATGATTGTAAGTTTCCTGAGGCCTCCCCAGCCATGCTGAACTGTGAGTCAATTAAACCTTTTCCTTTTTAAATTGCTCAGTCTCAAGCAGTTCTTTATGGCAGTATGAAAATGGATTAATACAGGGACCTTAGAGATCATCCACTCCAATGTCTTCATTTAACAGGAAACTGAGTGGCTCACACCCATAATCCTGGCACTTTGGGAGTGCAAAGTGGGAAGACCAGTTGACACCAGGAGTTTGAGAGCAGCCTAGTCAACATAGTGAGACACCATCTCTACAAAAACAAAAAAATTTTAAAAATTAGCCAAGTATGGTGATGTGCACATGTGGTGCCAGCTACTCGGGTGGCTGAAGCAAGACGATCACTTGAGCCCAGGAGGTCAAGGCTGCAGTGAGCTGTGGTCACACCACTGCACTCCAGCTGGGCAATGGAGCAAGACCCTGTCTCAAAAAAAAAAAAAAGATAAAAAGAAGAAATTGAGGTAACACTATTTACTGGCCTATGCTGGACTGGAACTTAGATTCATCACTTCTTAGAACTCTGACTGTTGGTGTAGGTTCTGGCCAAGGTAACTGGGAAATTAATAACATGAGCGGCCTCTTTGAAGCTTAGAGCCTGGAGAGTTCTCAAGCCTTTCTGACGGCTCCATCATTTCTTCCCTTTAGACTTGCTGTTTGCTTTACCGATTGCCTTCTTCCATAACATGCTAATGCTGCCTTCATTTTGAGGAGTCCCACAAGGCTCTCTAGACTTGGCTGGGCCCTCTTGGTGTACAGTCAGATTTCTGCATCTGGCTAAAACCCACCTGCTGTCTGTGCCTGGTTCCCAAATGCCCTAGCATTAAGTAGGGAGGAGTTCTTCCCCCAAAGTGGGCTAGAGGCAGTCAGTGGCCAGCCCTGCACAGCTGGGATTCATTCAGCAGGAGCCTGAGGCAGGCGGGCCCCACCCTAAGTGGAAACTTGTTCTCTGTCAAATACAAGCCAATGGCATCTGCCCCACACCTTCTTTACACGAAATGTTCTCTCGGCTTCTTTGGAAAGTAACTTTACACTAGCCCATCCAAGCTGAGGCAAGGAGTTGAAATCTTAGGATAGGCCCACTGGGAAGCAGGAACAAAAATTAAACAGCTCAAGATATTATCCTTTTTACCCATTCCAACGCTGATTACACGGCCTCCAGCTGGAATGTGGAGCATGAACCGTGTAGCACAGACTCAACAGCTGGAATTTATAAATGGACCCCATATTAACCCATCGATTCCAGGAGCTGGGATTTCCTGAACCCAAAGCAGTAATTTTGCAATTTTTTTACCTTTCCTTTCCATCCTTTAAGGAAGCAGGGAATGTGTGTGGGCAGAGAGGTCAATCTGGGTAGCAACAGATTACCTTTCCATGTGCTTTGTGCAGTGAACTTAGGAGCTCGGAGAGAAAGGAAAATGAAATTAGAACAGCCCACTTGTGTATTGTTCCTGGCTCGCAGAAGGAGGCCTCTGTGGTCCTAACTTTGCTTCTAGCCTTTGGAAAACAAAACCCTGACTAACATTGACCCTCATCACCCCTCCTTGAAGGGATGAAATAAACAGGGGGATCTTGGCCTGGAGAGGTGGTATTCTCCATCTCCCAGGAGGAGCACAGGGATGGAGGCACCAGGAGAGCGAAGTTCTCCTTTCAGATGGGCCCAGCACAGGCCACCGCAGAGGAACAAGAGTCAGTGGGTACATGGGCTGGGGGTGGGCTGTGGGGCTGGGTGTTAGAATAGTCCGGAACATAGCAGGTGGACTTCTCACCCCCTGTCTCTGTCAGCCTAATGTTCCTCTTGCCCCTTCTTCAGAGAGCTGCGTGGAGCTCACCCCAGGAACTGGCTGATGGTGAGAATATTAAATGAAACCAAACTTCAGCAAGGTGGAAGGTGAATTCCCACCCTCACCAGTTAATCTGCTTCCACATCTGCTAAACAGCTGCATCACCCCTGGCTCACGGGATCCCGGGGAGGGTAGGTGAGGGAACACACCAGACACTCCCAACCCAGGGTGGGCACAGGGTCCAGGCCATGGCAGCACCTAGAGCCAGGAAGGAACATGTGCATCTCCAGCTGAAATTTCCCTACTAAAGCTCCCACCGGGTACATACAGGTTAGTTAAATGGCTGGTGAACAATCCCACGGGCATTTCTCAGTAAGTTGCGAATGTGGCTCGAAGCTCCGTGGGCAGAGCCCTGTGCACACAGGCACTTGTATTTTGCCTCCTTTGACTTCCCTGTGGCTTTCCTGGCCACTCTACCTCGCCTCCTGTGGATCCCTGTCCTGGTCCAGGAGGTGTGAGGCCTCTGTTTTCAGCAAGCTCACCAGTTAAAAGGGACTGCCCGTGAGACACTGGTGACTCCCCTCCAAAGCCCAGAAGAGCAGGTGAGGCACCCAGGATTTGAGAGTTTACAGTAGGGGCCACAGTACTGGCCTTGTGGAGTAAGAGGGTCGGGGAGGAGTGGTTCTCTCGCAATGGATGGGGCCTTTCTAGACATTTAACTGGGGTCTTAGGGTTGCCGTACCCACATGTGTGAGAGGTCACAGCTATCTGGAGATAAGGACAAAGGGGAGTGTGGTGAACCCCATCTTCTGGCTGCAAGCCTGGAATAAGGAGGAGGGAGAACTGTAAATTCCCTGGGGAGGGTGTGCGATCAGGGCCAATGATTTTAAAGAACATATCCTCTGAAACAGGAGCCCCGGGGTGCTGATACAGAGAGGAGAAAGAAGAGTGTGCTGCCATATTTTATCTTCTGTACATTATGCCCTTGGCAGCCCAGGGAGCAAATGGGAAACCTGTCTTAAAAAAAATGTGAATAAGAAAAGGAAGGCAGGAAATCTAATGCTCTTTCCCTTAGATCTGTCTTTCATTTGCTTATAAGCACCTTAAAGACAACCCAGATTTATTTAGAAGACCAGGATGATATATAAAGAGGTAGAAAAGCAGGTAGGAAACTAGCAGGCTTGCCAATGACACAGAGGAAATCAGAGGTTGTCGCCGCTGCTGGGGGCTTTGCTTCAGGCCTGCAGGGATGGACTCCATCTCTCTGTGGGGACACGAGACAGCAGAGGAGACTCCCCAGAAGATGGAAGGCCGGCCACAGCATCGACACCCAAATGTCGATAAATCAGACACCGGGGCCCGCACCCTCATCACCAGGCTTAGCACACGGCTGCAGGTAAAGCCCGTGAACTTGACATCGGCACTGTTAGGAGAGCTGCTCTGATCGTGAATACAAAGGAAAGGTAGAGAATATTGAATTTCTGATTAAGCCACTGCTAGATGCTTACCAGGCCCGCTCTGATTTCTCCTGGGCCACGGATCATTTTTATGACTGGTGAAAAAATGATTATTCTCTCCATCACATTGCTTCTGCAAAAAAGGGCTCAGCCTGCAGCGAGTCTAGCCCCATCCTGCAGTGAGCGGGAGGTGGGAGGTGGGCTGGGTGACTGCAGGTGCTTTGTGCTCCGTGGTGGCTCCAGGGCTTCCCAACAAAGCCAGACCAGGGAACGCTGTGGATGCAGGCAGCCAGGGCCTTGGCTTCTCTCTGGCCTGGCTGGGGTGGGCAGGGTCTGGCTGAACAGGTAGAGGGGTGATGACCACTGTGCCACTCTGTGTGGTCTGTAATTGGCATTGAGCCTGCCCATCAGGGACAGCTCTGCCCACGCCGCCCAGTCCCACAGAGGAAGGCGCAGCCACCCAACCTGTTCTGGGAGGAGGAAATAAAAAGCCCTAGTCTGTACCAAGGAATCACCCATTTTTTCCTTAGCAGAAGCCAGGCTCTCTTCCTAGCAAGCGTCCAATCAATCTCTGAGGCTGCCTGCAGGCTAAGAGGCAGGGCCTCATTTGAGCTGTGTTTGGAGTGATAAGGGGCTGCTTGCTGTTTGATAAGCGGATGGGCAGGCACCTTCCTAAATGGGCGTCTGTCAGAGCATATTCCAGTCCTGCTGTCCCTCTGGCGCTGCCACTAGACCCAAGGGCAGTAGAAGCCGCCGGCTGCCCGCTGGGGCCAGATAATGCCGGCACTGTGCTGCAGTCACATTTAATTTTCGTGAGCTGTCACATCTCATGGGTCCTCAGCCTTGGGAAGGCTCTGCTGCCTGGAGAAGATCTCAGCCTGGCCTCCACAGTCCCCCTTCTGGGCAACAAATGGGTCCAGCTCCTGACTCCTTCTTGGAGCCAACAGCTCGCTGAGGGAAGTCAGAGGGACTGCCAGCCCACAGGCTCACTGCGCCTTCCTCAGTCTACAATTTCATCTGCAGAATGACCAAGGGGCAGCCTGAAACGAAGAAAAGACCTAGGAAGGGGCTTTTAAAAGCCGACACAAGCTCCATGGGCCTTGGCACTGTCTCCCAGAAAGCAGAGCTTCCTGGTACCTGCTCCCCCTTCCCGCCCTGCAGTTTTCTTCCTCTGGTTTTGTAATCTCTGTTAATTGCCAAGGCACTTTTTGTTGGATGTGACTTCATTGTGGACATAAGGCTCTGTCAATTCGTCAAGTGGGGTCCAAGCCAAATAGTTTTCTGATCAACTGCATCCTCCAGCGAGCTCTGGCCCAGCTTGACACAAACAGGCATTTCTTTCCCCTCGCACAGCCCCAGCTCTCTGTCCGAGCCTGCGGCCTCCTCTGCTGGTGGCCTGTCTCTATGGCATGCAGGAAGTGCGTGCCCATTGGGCCATATGTACCTATAGGAGATGTAATCTCAGAGGTTTTAATGCACATTTTTTTCTTGGCACTCCGAAATAACTGATGATGGAAAATAAATTCAGAGAATTCGTCCAGCTGGTCCTACTTCACTTCCTAACACTTGCTTTCCTAAGCTGAGCTACCAAAATTTGAGCAGCCTGGGTCTGCGAGCCACTTCTGTGCACCGGTGGTTTGGAGGCATCCTCAGCAAAGAGGAGCCGCTCGCCTCTGCTTTGCATGGGGCACAACTTCCCAAGATCTGTGAATGTGCTTTGTCCTTTTAGGTCGATTTTCTCTGCTTGTTTCTTTTGCTCAGGGCTCTTCCGGAGATGGTGCCTTGAGCATGGAGCCTGGTACCCAGCAACTGTAAATACTTCTGGAAAAATGTGTTCACAACTCAGCCAATGGTTTGCGGCCACGTGGGAGAAAGATCTAGTCTACTGAAATATTGCAAAAACAAAAAGGACATGCTTCTGTCTTACAGCGCACTGGCAGAATCACCAGTTTCTCTCAAAAGTTGTCCAATCTGGGACCTCACACACAGATGGCTTATTACTTTCTGAACTCTGCCAGCAACTCACTGGCATGTCCACACTGGAAATGCTGAGAACATCTTCCCAAACACACGTTGGGTTGAAATTCTCACAGGTGAACAATGGGACCGACACATGTGCACCAAGCAACGACATGTAGAATAAAAATAGACCAATGACCTGCACACGGCGAGGGTTTTTTCAGTTTTCTCTCAGGCTGGATTTCCTGAGGAGTAGGAGTGTAAAAGCTGTGGGTATTTGCTGCCTGCCTCAGGAAGTCCTGACTCCCCAAATAGTGGTTACAGCAAACACCTCTGCACTCTCATTCTCAGAACCCAGAAGAAGCCGAATCCAGGACTCATTTGCTTGTTGTCTTTGGAGGGCTTGTGGGAAAAGAACAATGGCTTCTGTGATACTTGGCCAGGCTTAAGGAGAAGTCATTGGCCACAGCTTCTGAGCAGAGCTGGACTCAGAGATGGACCTGGGGCAGGGCTTTGCATGCAACTGCCTCACTGAGCCCTTAATTGCCACCAAGCTTTGCATACATAGCACCTTTCCTTGGTGACTTAGTTTGTTGTCCCACCAGAAGTACTGGTGGAAAGCAGAGAAGGCACCTTCTTCAGGTCACAGGAGAACTGTATTGTTCTAGATGAATTTCTCACACCAGGATTCCTGCACATCTACCAGGCAGGTCTCCAACACCCCCACACCCCCAGGACCCTGTGAGGACCAGCCCTGCTGAGCCTTCAGAGCCTGACTTTGTCTTGCATAAGATTCAGGCTCCTCTGACGGCTCCCCAAGTTCTGAGTCCCCTGTCCCCACGCCCATCCAGCTTCATTTCCCCTCTTCCACAGCAGACCCCTCTGTCCTCATCGCGCCCCTCTGTCCATCTTCATTGCACATTGTTCCTTCAGCTGCAACACCTTACATGGTCTTCCCTCTGTTGTATCTCCCCTTCAGCCTGCAGGATCCGGGCCACATTCCATCTCCTTCATTCAACCATCTTGTCTAGCCTGAATTTCATCACAAATGCCCCCTTTTCTGAACTCCTACAGCATTTATGTATCAAATAGAACTTGCTAGTATTTTTGCCTCTGCAACTCTGTAACAACTCCTTTGAGGAGAGGGAGGTACAGTGGTGATAGGGGGTGAGCCATCTGCAGGTGGGGGCTCTGGGGCTCTGGGGGTCCAGCCGTGGCCTCCCTGCTCCTCATTAGCTGTTGAACAAATCACCCCCGCCCAGTGATTCTCAGCTTGGGGGCAATTTGTTCCCCTAGAAGACTATAGAGACCAGAGACTTTTCTGGTTGTCACAACCGGGATGGCGCTACTGGCCTTGGAGGCCAGGGATGCTGTAAAACGTCCTGCAATGCATAGGACAGCTCCCTATAACAGAAAGATTTTTCAGCCCCAAATGTCAATGGTGAGAACCCTGCCCTACATTATCTGCTGATCTCCTCACCTGTAAAAAGAAGAAGGGTATGAAAAAATAAACTGAGAAAAAAATGTGTGAAAGCAGAGGAAAACTGAAAACACTGAAAATGCTATATCCACTGAAGCTATTTATATTAGACTTCTTGCTCTTGACACCCCTGTAACAGTATTTCTTCATTTGTGGAGTAGGGTTAGTGGGATGATGGCCGGAACACCGAATGAAGGCTCATTGTGGGTGATCTCATTTGATCCTCAGAGAAGCCCAACTGCATTGGCACCAGCATAGGCCCTGCTTTTCTACAGAGAAGACGGGCGTCAAGCCACACAGAGGCAGCTCAAGGGCACACACTCAGGCAGTGGTGGAGCAGGAGTTTCTTAGTTCCCACTGTGATCAATGGTTGCATCATCTCAAGACAGTGCATGGAAAAGCATTGGAAAACGTTGGAATGCTGTACACGTGTGGTTGCAGTTGCACATCTGTGACCCCGTCCTGATAGCATGATGTCATACGTGCCTTGGAGATTCAGCGAATGCCTGGAGATTAATTAAATGTGAATTACAGCCAGGCACGGTGGCTCATGTCTGTAATCCCAGCACTTTGGGAGGCAGAGGTGGATGGATCACTTGAGGCCTGGAGTTCAAGAACAGCCTGGGCAACAAAGCAAGATGTCATCTCTACAAATAATTTTAAAAATTAGATGGGCATGGTGAGCACCTATAGTCCTAGCTACTTGGGAGGCTGAGATGGGAGGATCACTTGAGTCCAAGAGTTCGAGGTTGCAGTGAGCTGTAATCGCAACATTTCATTCTAGCCTGGGCAAAAGAGTGAGACCCTGTCTTTTAAAAGGCACAGGGGAGGGTGGGAGTAGGGAATTACTATATTGAGTTAAGAGAGGCTGAAAACTGTGAGGCTGCTGTGTGACCTGAGAGCCACATCATGAGAATCTAGTGCTTGGAAAGTACTAGATGTTAGGATAAGTCTCCATAGCCTCAGAGGAGCCTGAGACCTTGTGAGAAGGGTGACTTAGAGCCTAGGTCCTGCCTGACTGCCATTCTCAAAGGATGCTTAGCTCCTGTGCACTTTGCCAGCACACTGTGCACAAGTTCATGTAGCTGTTGAAGAGAATCAGTGAAACCAGGGTCCCGGGATGCTTTCCTTCTGGTTCCAGCTGCAGCAGAGTACACAGGCCACAGTGCTTATACCCCAGGGGTGGGCCCAGAGCCTCCAGAGTGGGAGATTCATGACACGGCTCTGTCTCCTGCAGTGATGTCATGCTCTCCTTTCAGCTAGATTTTAATTTCCAGGGAGAGCTTGCTAAGTTCACTGTCAGGATGCTTGTCCATGGGGCTGGAAGGCCCAGCCTCGATCAGCAGCACAGCATCTACTGAACCACGGTTAACTGTTGTCTTTCTGTATTGAAGGGGGTGGGGAGTGAAATCAGGCCTTGCCTGTCATGACATGGCCAGTGTTGGGAACAAAGCTTATCTTGGTCATTTATCATTTCCTCTTTGTTTTTCCATTTGGGAAGTAAGAAATTAAATTGTATCTAAAGAGAATCTCCTTCCAAGGTCTTCCTCTGAAAATCATTCTGGGACTAGAAAGGGTTTTTCCTATGCTCCGGGCAATAAAGCTTTTAAGACTGATGACATTGACAAAATTCTCTGAGTGACACGCAGGAGGCAACATAATCCTTCTGGTAGGAAAAACATCAGTCCAATAAGCAGATAACATATTGCCTGTTCCTCTGTAAATAAAACAGGACACATCAATTTCTCTTCTGCCTGTGAATGATGACCAATTTATCAAGTGTACACTGAATAATGACTTTCCGTGGGGACAGCAGCTCTTAAGATAAAGTGTTACTGCTCTAGCTACATTATTATAAACAACATCCAATTTATGGAGTTGGGAAGCAGATGCATTTCTCAGTCATATGTCACTATTATCTAGAACGAGCCATAAAATCTAGGCTGTCGCATATTTTCTGGCTGCAAACTTCAAGCAATTAATAGTCCTACAAAGCGGTCTTGATCACAGACCAATTTAGAAATTAGTTGTTCAATATGATGATTAAATTCTAGAGCTGGAACTTGCGATGGCCAACTGTGACAAATCTTATACAACTTTTCAGACGGAAGGAACTGTTTGAGACGCTGGGAGTTTTTGGTGAATTTCAAATGAGGTACCTTCACCTCAAGAGTGTGCTGTGATCTGGCCCAGCCTTCGAGAGGAGGATGAGTCACCGGCATTTTCCTGCATCCAAATGCCGTGTCTGGTCCCCAACCCCTGAGTCAGTGTTAGGGAGGCAGCAGACACACAGCAGACGCACCCTTCGCTCTGATGGAGGACAGTGTCCACACTGCTCTCCTGCCAGGTCTTTTTTTTTTTTTTTTTTTTTTGAGACAGGGTCTCGCCCTGTCACCCAGGCTGGTGTGCAGTGGTCCAGTCACGGCTCACTGCAGCCTCAAACTTCTGGGCTTAAGCCATCCTCCCATCTCAGCCTCCCAAGTAGGTGGGACTATAGGCGTGCACCACCATGCCAGGCTAAGTGTGTGTGTGTGTGTTTGTGTGTATTTTTAGTAGAGACAGAGTTTTGCCATATTGCCCAGGCTGGTCTCAAACTCCTGGGGCTCAAGTGATCCGCCTGCCTTGGCCTCCCAAAGTGCTGAGATTATAGGCATGAGCCACTGCGCCCAGCCAAGAACTTTCATTACCACCCTGCCTTTTTCCCCAGCTTAGGGAAGACATAGAAAGCTATAAGTTGGCAGGACCTTAAGTGAGAACTAGGAGATATAAGACGGTGGGAGAACAAACCTTGGAATAAGATTTGAAAATGTGACCCTGTGCAGTGTGAAGCCTATGCCACCAGAAACAGAGTGGAAAGAGTGATAAGTGCTGGGGACATTGTTGCTCACTAATAGGTTATTTTAAACATAGGGGTAGGACCACGCTTCGCACTGTCATCTGTAATGTGTGAACAAAAATAGTTTTGTGGCCGGGCGCAGTGGCTCACGCCTGTAATCCCAGCACTTTGGGAGACCGAAGTGGGTGGATCACCTGAGGTCAGGAGTTTGAGACCAGCCTGGCCAACATGGTGAAACCCCGTCTCCACTGAAAATACAAAAAACTTGCTGGGAGTGGTGCCGCATGCCTGTAATCCCAGCTACTTGGGAGGCTGAGGCAGGAGAATTGCTTGAACCCAGGAGGCAGAGATTGAAGTGAGCCGAGACTGCGCCATTGCACTCCAGCCTCGGCAACAAGAGCGAAACTCCGTCTGGAAAAAAAAAAAAAGTTTTGTTCTAGCCGGATGCAGTGGCTCACGCTTGTAATCCCAGCACTTTTGGAGGTCAAGGTGGGTGGATCACTTGAGCACAGTAGTTCACGACCCGCCTGGGTAACATAGCAAAACCCCGTCTCTACAAAAAAATACAAAAATGAACTGAGCGTGGTGGCACATGACTGTAGCTCCAGCTACTTGTAGGGCTGAGGCAGGAAGATCACTTGCTCCTGGGAAGTGAGGCTGCAGTGAGCAGAGATCATGCCACTGCACTGCAGCTTGGGTGACAGAGTTAGACCCTGTCTCAAAAGAAAAAAATAGTTTTGCTCTGTCATTTGGTTGACAAAACCTATTTCAGCACTCCATTTGCCTTGAAATACGTCTATTTATTTCTGTGGTTATTCAGAAGTGCTGTCTTTTGTGCATCTGTGGGCTGCTCAGGACGGCGATGCAGTCTGAAGATGGATTTCACTATATTGAACGTGTACTATTGCATTTAAAATTAGAGACAAGAGAAAAGAAACCACCACTCACTGATGACAAGTGTCTGGTGAAATGGACACTTGTACAGGCTGCTTGTAAAAGTACATTCTGTTATGAGACATGGGAAAAACAATTTGGCAGTAAGTATCAAAACCTGTGTTGTGGGCGCTCATGTAATCCTAGCACTTTGGGATGCTGAGGCAGGAGTTTGAGACCAGCCTGGGCAACATAGTGAGACACTGTCTCTACAAAAAGTTTAAAAATTTAGCTAGATGTTGCCCAGGCGCAGTGGCTCATGCCTGTAATCCCAGCACTTTGGGAGGCTGAGGCGGGCAGATCAGATGGTTTCAGGATGGGGGCTAGTCACAGAAAGACCAAACGTTGTTTAGAAACCTGGAACTTTCAGCCTCGCCCTCCAAGCTCTGGGGAGAGCTGAGGAGCTGGAGATTGAGTTAATAATCCATCTTGCTGCCGGGCGTGGTGGTTCACACCTGTAATCCCAGTACTCTGGGAGGCCAAGGCGGACAGATCACAAGGTCAGGAGATGGATAACATCCTGGGCAACATGGCGACAAAACCCCGTCTCCACTAAAAAAATACAAAAATTAGCTGGGAGTGGTGGCACATGCCTGTAATCTTAGCTACTCGGGAGGCTGAGGCATGAGAATCGCTTGAACCCATGAGGCAGAGATTACAGTGAGCGGAGATTGCGCCACTGCACTCCAGCCTGGCGACAGAGGTAGACTCCGTCTCAAAAAAAAAAAAAAAAAAAAAAAGCTAGATGTCATGGTGTGTACCTGTAGTTCCAGCTACTCAGGAGACTGAGGCGGGAGGATCCCTTGAGCCCAGGAGTACGAGGCTGCAGTGAGCTAGGATCGTACCACTGCACTCTAGCCTGGGCGACAGAGTGAGACCTGTTTCTAAAAAACAAACAAAAAATCCTATCTCCTTTGACTCAGCCATTTCCCTTCTAGGATTTATTCTGTTTTTTTCTGTTTTTTTTTTTTTTTTTTTTTTTTTTTGTTGTTGTTGTTGTTGTTGTTGTTTTGAGATGGAATCTCGTTCTGTCTCCCAGGCTGGAGGGCAGTGGTGCGATCTCGGCTCACTGCAAGCTCCGCCTCCCGGGTTCACGCCATTCTCCTGCCTCAGCCTCCCAAGTAGCTGGAACTACAGGCGCCTGCCACCACTCCCGGCTAATTTTTTGTATTTTTAGTAGAGATGGGGTTTCACCGTGTTACCAGGATGGTCTCTATCTCCTGACCTCGTGATCTGCCCGCCTCGGCCTCCCAAAGTGCTGGGATTACAGGTGTGAGCCACCGCGCCCAGCCTCCTTCTAGGATTTGTTTTAAGGAAAAAAGTTAGTGGAGAGTTGCTGAGTACAGCACCACTTGCACTGTCAAAATTTGTACAGAAAACACATGTCCAGCATAAGGGGACTGGTTAAGTAAGTATTGAGACATCCATGAAATGTGACAATACACAGTCCCACAAATCATGTTGTGGAATGTGTTTTGGATCCATTGCTTAATGCAAAAAGTCACTTAAAAAACATTGTATCATGTGATCTCAATTTTACAAGAGAAGGATACACTGTGTATGCTTGGAGGAAAAGAATCACCAAAATATTTACAGTGACTATCTCTGCATGTTCAGAGAGGGCCTGATCTTTAATTTTTCTCCTCTGTGCTTTTCCTAATATTCTACCATAAACATACATTATGTTTGTTATCAGAGAGAAAGAAACAATGGGATTGTTGAAGAACCTCAGCCAGGGAAGTTAGCAGAATTCTTATAAAGACTAGAAGAATTTATACAGGATATTGGACTATTATATCATATTATATTATATTATATCATGCTGTAAGGTTCTGCAGTCACAAGGGGATGGGAGGGGAACTTCTTAGCAGTTCTATTTATGATCAGATGATCTTGGGGAAATACAGCGAAGGAAAACCAGGGTCAGCTGAGCCCAGGGAATTTTCTAAAGAGCATCATTTATGATGATCACATCTTGGAAAGAAGATGTAAGAAGTGTACTGGATATGTTTTGGTTTAGAGTTCATCATAAATTGGAGAGAAATAGTAGACTTGGATATCCCATAAAATAGCTCTGAATCCTGGTAGGATTAATTAAATCTCTATCCATGCAAGATAAAGTGGTGAAGCAAATCCTAACTGGGCCTCTGTTGCCTAGAATGGGTCTTGTGCTTAAAAACAACAACAACATACAAGAAGAAAGGAACCTGGCCTTGGAGCTGGAGTTGGTGATCTACATCCACCCTGGTTGGAGGCTCCATGAGACCCAGCCCTACACCCCCAGGTCTATCCGGAAAGAAGCCACGGCAAGGATGGTAGAGGTCGTCCTCATCAAGGAGGTTCCATTAACACCATCTCCTTTGTCAGCCACACCCATCCACCTGTGTGTGTGCCTGTATGCATGGGTGCCAGCCACAGGCATCACTTGTGTGTGTGTGCCAGCCATGCCCATCCAAGTGTGTGTGCACATGCCAACCACAGTCTATCTGTGTGCATGCATGTGTGCTGGCCATAGTCCAGACTGTGTGGGTTTTGCTTTGGCACCAGACTGGGAATCCCAGAATGGGGCAGCTGTGGGACCACTGCCTTGTTCCCTGTACCTTCATAAACAGCTGTTTCCTTATTTCATGCTGTAGCATGCTCAATACCTTAGAATCGTGAGTGTTGCTTAGGGGGACAAGTAATTGTGTTACTCCTTCCCCACCCAAACTCCTCTTGGTATTTCTCACCAAAGTGCAACTAGCATTAGAGCATGGGATTGTTGCATGGGATTGCCCCAACACTGAAGCCCTTTTAGGTTCCCTGGCCCTCCTAGTGAATACAGTAGGACCCTTTCTGATCCTATGACAGTAGGACGCTTTCTGATCCTGTGATAACCCCAAATGCCCCTACCACTCTTTCAAAGCCATGTGGGAGCCATGCTGAAATGACAGGTGTGATATCCAAATTGAATTGGATTAGCTCAAAAAGCCTTCAGGCCCGAATCCTCTCCCAATCTGTGACCTCTCCTCCAAGTGCCTGAGAATGACTGAGTGTCACACATTTGCGTGATGGCTTTCCTGTTGGTGACCTGTAGCTTTGAAATACTCCGTGCTTCCGACAACATATATCTGTGGATATTTGGAACGTGTGGCTTTGACCAATTTTGGGATCCCATAAATCTTAGAATATCAGAAGAGGAATCAAGGACCCAATATTTTAACTCACTCATTTATTCATTCATTCATCAGTCAGGATTTGTTAAGGACACACTGTGTTAGGCACTGGAGCTCAACAATGAGCACAGAAATGAGTCAAGCAATCACATTAATAATATGTCATTGCAAACAGGGATGCATGCTCTGAGGAAAGAAAAGAATAAGTTAGAGGGGAGTTTGTCTTAAAGGAACTGCCCAGACTGAGCAGTCAGAGATGGTTTTTCACTAAGTGATGTTTGAGTGAGATCTCAAGGCAAAGCAGGGGCTGGCTAGACGAAGGGGAGTTGTGGTGGCATTTGATCATTCTAGATGGAAGACAGAGCCTGTGCGATGGCCTGTGTGCAAGGGCTGCCAGGGCGTGGGAGGAACTGAAAGGAGCCAGTGTGGTTGAACACAGAGAACCAGGGGCATTTGAATAAGGGCCTTATGGGCTTCTTACGGAATTGGAGTTTTTAAAAGAGCAATGGGGAGCCCCTGGGGGCCTTTAAACAGAGGTGCTAGGACCAGATATGCATTTTGGAAAGATGATCATAGATGCAGTATGGGGATTAGATTAGAAGAGAATCTGACTAGATCCAAAGGGAAATCTTCCACCCTTTTCAGAGCAAGAGATGAACACAGCCTGGACTAAGGGGGTGGCAGTGGACCAGGCAGTGAACTATGGGTAGACTTATGAGATCTTGAGGAGGTAAAATGATTGGTGCTTGGAGATGCATTGGTTTGAGTGATGAGAATAAAGGAAATGATAAGGATGATTTTCAGTTTTCTTGTTGGGCAACTTCCAGAATGGAGGTTGATGCCATGCATGCCACTGGGACCTCAGAAGGGATCAATCACATGGAGCTGGCCGGGAGGGCTGGGAAGAAATCATAAGTCCACCATTGGACAAGTTGGGCTTCACTTGTCTTTGAGACCATTTAAGGAGAAGTCAAATAGGGAATTACCTTGGTGGAGGGAGGGGCAGGAACAGGGCGGAGACAAGAGAAGATATGGCCATGGTGGACTTGCAGGTCTCTGTGAACCTTGATTTTCTGTCCTGTTTTCCTTTTCTGGATGGTTCTGCTAGATGATGGGGTGGCTGTCCAGTGTGACAAGCAGCAAGGGAGGCTCAAGTATCACGGGCAGGAGGAGAACAAGAACTAAAACTCCTTAAAGATTGTGCGCAAAATAAGATTAAAAGTATAATTGTCCCTCCGTATCCATGGGGGCTGGTTCCAGGACCCCCGCAGGTACCAAATTCCTTAAATGCTCACGTCTCTGATAAAATGGTGTCCTATTTGCACACAACCTGTCCACATGCTCTGTATACTTTAAATCATCTCTAGATTACTTATGATACCTCATACAATGTAAGTGCTTTGTAGATAGTTGCTATACTATATGGTTTAGGGAATAATGACAAGAAAAAAGAAGCCTGTGCATGTTCAGTATGACACAAACATCCATTTTTTTCCCAGAATATTTTCAAACCATGGTTGATTGTAGCCACAGATGTGGAATCTGCAGATACTGAAGGCTGACTGTCATATGTCCTTTGGAAACCTGAAATAATAGCATCACCTGTTGACAGTCTAGGACCTTTCAAAGATCTAGCAATACTGATGAATTAGAGATTTAAATTTTTTTTTAATGTTTACAAGCATTCTGACTCATTAAGACCCTCTGACATGACCTCAATGGCTTGACTTGTTGGGAAAGATAGCCTGGCCTTTCCTAATACGAGGTGAAGACCTATATAGCTCCAAAGGAAGGTTCTCGGACATGTCCCTGATCACTTTTTGCCCCTGCCTGAGGCCATTCATTAATGAGATTGTGTTGAGGAAGGAAAAGAATAGATTAAAGGAAATATCACAGATGTTTCCCTCACTCCCTGGGAGTGACTTCCTGGTCACTTTGAAGTTTAGATGGTGGGGTATTTTCCAACACTAATAACCAATTATCTGATTCTCTAAACACCAACTGAGTGTTCAAAAATTTAACTCAGTTCCTGCGTTAGTTTGCTAAGGATGATGGCCTCCAGCTCCACACATGTCCCTGCAAAGTGCATGATCTCATTCTTTTTTATGGCTGCATAGTATTCCATGGTGTATATGTACCACATTTTCTTTATCCAGTCTACCATTGATGGGCATTTGGGTTGATTCCATGTCTTTGCTATTGTGAATAGCACTGCAATGAACATATTTGTGCATGTGGTAAACTAATACAGGAACAGAAAACCAAATACTGCATGTTCTCACTTATAATTGGGAGCTAATGATGAGAACACACGGACATATAAAAGGGAAGAGCATGCAGTGGGGCCTATTGGAGGGTGGAGGATGGGAGGAGGGAGAGAAACAGGAAAAATAACTAATGGATACTAGGCTTAATGCCTGGGTGATAAAATAATCTGTACAACCAATCCCCATAACACAAATTTACCCATGTAACAAACCTGCACATCCTGCACACGTACCCCTGAACTTAAAACTTCAAAAAAATTTAATCCAATCCTGACACTAACCATCTGGAGTGAGCACAGACCCCACAGGTTTTAGGGCTCAGTCCCACAAAACTGCACTTGCTCCTGATGGGGTTGCACGTCCTGGGCTTCTAGTACTTCTGAACGACTGGCTATAAATTGAGGGTTCCCATGATGGTGGATGGAGGGTACATAGGATGAGGTCCTTAAGGGTCCTGAGCAAAGCAGCTTCTGTTCCTGCGGAGTTGGGGTGCAAGAGCCTCCTGGCACAAGAATGTGTTCACCAACCCAGAGGCTCTCTGAACTCCATCATTTAGGAGTTTTTATGGGGGTTTTGTTACGTAGGCATGACTGATTTTTTTTTTTTTTTTTGAGACAGAGTCTCGCTCTATCGCCAGGCTGGAGTGCAGTGGCACGATCTTGGTTCACTGCAACCTCCGCCTCCCGGGTTCAAGCAATTCTTCTGCCTTAGCCTCCTGAGTAGCTGGGACTACAGGAACGTGCCACCATGCCCAGCTAATTTTTGTATTTTTAGTAGAGACGGAGTTTCACCATGTTGGCCAGGATAGTCTCCATCTCTTGACCTCGTGATCTGCCCACCTCAGCCTCCCAAAGTGCTGGGATTACAGGTGTGAACCACCAGCCTGGTCGCAAGATGGGTTATTAACTCAATCTCCAGCTCCTCACCTCTCCCCAGAGCTTGGAGGGCGGGGCTGAAAGTTCCAGGTTTCTAAGCAACATTTGGTCTTTCTGTGACTAGCCCCCATCCTGAAACAATCTAGGGGCCCAGCAAGAGTCGCATAATTAGAACAAAAGTCACCTCCTCTCACCCCCATCCCTCAGGAAATTCCAAGGCTTTTAAGAGTTCTGTGTCAGGAACTGAAAAAGACCATATATATATTATTATTTTTTTGAGACAGGGTCTTGCTCTGTTGCCCAGGCTGGAGTGCTGTGATGCAATCTCAGCTCACTTTAACCTCCGCCTCCCAGGCTCAAGTGATTCTGCCACCTCAGCCTCCCAAGTATCTGGGACCACAGGTGTGTGCCACCACACCCAGCTAATTTTGCAATTTTGCTTATTTTTCTTTTCTTTTTCTTTCTTTCTTTCTTTCTCTTTCTTTCTTTCTTTCTTTCTTTCTTTCTTTCTTTCTTTCTTTCTTTCTTTCTCTTTCTTTTTTTTTTTTTTTGACAGAGTTTCGCTCTTGTTGCCCAGGTTGGAGTGCAGTGGCACGATCTGGGCTCACTGCAACGTCTGCCTCCCAGGTTCCAACGATTCTCCTGCCTCAGCCTCCCACGAAGCTGGGATTACAAGCACGTGCCACCACACCTGGCTAATTTTGTGTTTTTAGTAGAGACAGGGTTTCTCCATGTTGGTCAGGCTGGTCTCGAACTCCCGACCTCAGGTGATCCACCCGCCTCAGCCTCCCAAAGTGCTGGGATTACAGGCGTGAGCCACCACGCCTGGCTAATTTAGCTTATTTTTCACAGAGACATGGTCTCACCATGTTGCGCAGGGTTGTCTTGAAATCCTGGGCTCAAGTGATTTGCCCACCTTGGCCTCCCAGAGTGCTGGGATTACAGGCCTGAGCCACTGTGCCTGGCCTATGCTTCTCATTATGGCACAGGTGGCTGGTCCACTCTGGAGGTGCTCCCTGGGTAGCAGGTGCACCCATGGGAATCCTAGCAGCGATTTGCAGCCAAATTCAGCAGTAGCTCTCTCGTCCCCTAGGAAGCAGCAGCTTCTGGCCAGCATGCTTGCCTGCAGCAGCTGATCCTGTCCCTGTAGAGGGTCTTACCTTCCACAGACTCTGTCCAAAGCCGTTGGCTGGTCAGAAAGTTCTGAATCTGGATGGCTCAGGACTTGCCTAGTGAGAGTGTGTGGAGTAGGCAGGGGCCACATGCATGCCACATGGTTATATCTGTGGCCAACGGCTGTCTAACAGAAGTAGGAATGCTTCCATTCCAAGAATAAGGGCGCTTCTCACCATTCATTGAGTGTCTGCTTGGAGCCAAACATTGGCACACTCACTTGCTAATCCTGAAGCCCTGTAGGAAGGCATGGGATCCCCCAGGTTGTAGGTGAGTTACTGGAGCCCCTAGAGGTTAGAAAACCTGCTCAAGGTCACAGAGACGTCAAGAGGCAGAGTCAGGATTCAAACCCATGTCTGTCTGTTGGGATCCAATGTCTGTGTCCTTTCTTGGTGCATCCATATTCATGTGATGGGGACAGAAACCAGACGCAAGACCTGATGATCGCTGGAGGCCGGCCAGACCCACACAGCAGTGGTTGACTTACCCCATAAACTAAACCAGGGAGACAATAGCCTAGAAATCCCCATGAGATTTCGTTCATGGTGTGGGCGATCTGAGGCACAGTCGGCAGCCTTCACCGGTCAGACAAGATGCAGGGGACTTCCTCTGATTCACTAGTTCACCTCCTGGTGTCTATGGGACCCTGTGTGGAGACTTACAGGTCTTCAAGGATGCAAAATTTCCAGCCGGGAGAGCACCACATGGGCCTCTGTTCTCCCAAAGACACGGCCAATCAGGATAGCTGGAAAGGCCTCCAGGTGAGAGCCTGGTAGGAAGTCCGCCAGCTGGTGTAGACAAGCCCGACTGTCCAACATACAAACACTTAACCTCAACTCCCTTCGGCCCTAAGGAGAAGGATGGGCTGCCCAGTTCTTTCCTGCATCTGCTTCTCATGCTGCCTTTAATAGCACCTAACTCATTTCTTCAGCAAAAAAGACTGGTGAAGGGGAGGAACACAAACTGTCCCACTGGGACAACTCTGTCCCTTTTATTCAAATCCACAAATGGGCCAGGCACAGTGGCTCGTGCCTGTAATCCCAGTACTTTGGGAGGTCAAGGCAGGTGGATCACTTGAGGTCAGGAGTTCAAGATCAGCCTGGCCAACCCCGTCTCTACTAAAAATACAAAAATTAGTTGGGTGTGGTGGCGCGTGCCTGTCCTCTTAGCTACTTGGGAAGCTGAGGCAGGAGAATTGCTTGAACCCGGGAGGCAGAGGTTGCAGTGAGCCCAGATTGCACCACTGCACTCCAGCCTGGGTGACAGAGCAAGATTCCCTCTCAAAAAAAAAAAAAAAAAATCCACAAGTGGTTCAATATTTGCTTAGACACCGGCACCTTTGCAAAGCCTTCTTCAGCACTCGGATACCCCATACCTCCCTCTCTTCTCTGAACCCTAACACTTTCTAGTTGCACCATTATCTTTTTAAAATACTAGGTGCTTAGGTAACCTTTCAGGGAGAAAAATAAATCAATCACCAGATGAGCATCCAACTTTAAAGTCCTTCCATCCCTCCAGGTTCTTTTTTGACCTCTCTGGGAGGCTTTACATGTATTTCCACATCTTGGGAAATCGTGTGCACGTGTTGTTATGTGATCTCCTTCTAGAAACCTTTATTTCTGAGGCACATTTCCATGTATGGACATCAGCTCCATGCCTGTTTTCAACTGGCTCTGCAGTGGTCTGCCGTGCAAACGTCTTGGGGTTTTCTTAGTCATTACAGGATTGCTGGGCACTGGGGTTGCTTCCAGCTCGTTGCTATTATAAATAGTTGTGCTGCCTCCGGTTGCTTTTGCATTGAATCACCCACTGCTTAACTGTTTAACTGTTTCCTGGGGATAGTCCTAGCTCACTGAAGGTAGGGATGTGGTTTAACCTTTTGTATCCCCCTCACTGCCCACAGGAGTGCAGGGCTCTAAGAAGAGCTTTATAACAAACACGGTTGCCAGGCGTGGTGGCTCATGCCTGTAATCCCAGCACTTTGGGAAGCCAAGGTGGGCGGATCACCTAAGGCCGGGAGTTTGAGACCAGCCTGACCAACATGGAGAAACCCCATCTCTACTAAAATTACAAAATTAGCCGGGCGTGGGGGCACATGCCTGTAATCCTAGCTACTTGGAAGGCTGAGGCAGGAGAATCACTTGAACCCGGGAGGCGGAGGTTGCGGTGAGCTGAGATTGTACCCTTGCGCTCCAGCCTGGGCAACAAGAGAGAGACTCCGTCTCAAAACAAAAACAAACAAAAACAAAAAGACAAGACAAAACAAATAAAAAAACATGGTTAGCAATGGACTGCACTCTTGCCATGTGCCAGACGCCGGGGTAAGTGCCCTCCACATATCATCTCATTTAATCCGCATAGCCGCCCCACACAGTAGGTGCCACGGTGATTCTCATTTTATCAAGGAGGAAACTAGCGCTTAAGATGATCAGATGCTTTCCCCAAAGCCGTATAGTCAGCAGACGGTGGCTGGTGGAGCTGGCTGAGGCCACTGACTCCACACACCCCTGCTCAGCCTGTCTCATGGAATGTCGCTGGGACGGGCAGATGGCTCCTATAGCCCTTCCAGTGCACTCCTGGCTGGTCCTAGGCTGAGGCTGGGCAGTCTTTTAAATTTATGTATATATTTTAAAATTTATTATTTATTTATTTATTTATTTGAGATGGAGTCTCACTCTGTTGCCTAGGCTAGAGGGCAGTGGCGTGATCTCAGCTCACTGCAACCTCCGCCTCCTGGGTTCAAGCAATTCTCCTGCCTCAGCCTCCCAAGTAGCTGAGACTACAAGCACGCACCACCATGCCTGGTTAATTTTTGTATTTTTAGTAGAGACAGGGTTTCACTATGTCGGCCAGGCTGGTCTCGAACTCCGGACCTCATGATCTGTTTGCCTTGGCCTCCAAAAGTGCTGGGATTACAGGGTGAGCCACCGCACCCGGCTTTATTTATTATTTATTTATATGCAGGATCTCACTCTGTCACTCAGGAAAGAGTACAGCGGTGCAATCTCAGCTCCCTGCAGCCTTGACCTCCTGGGCTCAAGCGATCCTCCCTCCCACCTCAGCCTCCTGAGTAGCTGGGACTACCGGTGTGCACCACTACACTTGGCTAATTTTTAAGTAATTTGTCATAGAGATGGATCTTGCTATGTCGCCCAGGCTGGTCTTGAACTCCTGGGTTCGAGCGATTCTCCCACCTCAGTCCTCCCAAAGTGTTGGGATTACAGACATGAGCCACCATGCCCAGCCTAGGCAGATTTCTTGGCTTGCAGCTTTCTAAGAATGTTCAAGATTTGCCCCATGCAGAATCACATGATTGAAAGTTACTCGTTTGCCTGTGCTGCTAATCCCATGTAGAAGACCACCTTCGAGTGCCTGCACCTGTTTGCTCCCAAGCTCCGTGTCTGCCATGTGAGACATCTGTCACTGTCACACCAGGCTCCAAGTGGACTCAGCATTTCCATTCCAGCTCCTGGGTCCCAGACAGCGTTTTCTAAACAGAAGAGCCCGTCTTCCTCTCATACCCACTGAAGGGAGAATGGAGAAGAGGGCGGGGTTCTGCTTGCAGGGCCCTTTGCACTTCAAATATTTTACAGGAAGGGGATTGCAGATGCACCCTCTGCCAAGGAAGCTTTGAGGGCCAGCATCACATAGCCCTGTGGTGAATGAGAGCTGGCAGGGTGACAGTCTGCGAGGAAGGAAGGATGGAGCTCCGACCCCTTTGCTTTCTGAAACTCCTGCTGAGAGAGTTGGCTCCACAGCCCTGGTAGGGCTCGGGTAGCTGCTGTGGCTGAATCAGTCCTCTGTTATCACCCGCTCGGTGCCATGAAGTGGAAAAGCAGTCTCTGCCCTCCTCGTTCCTCCAATAAGCCCATCCTAATCACCCTTATCATGCTCCTTCCACACCCTGAGAAAAAATGGCCTCGCAGCAGACGTTTGAAGGCACCGGGACTGGAAAAGTCTTTCAAATGGCACCTGATTTGGCTACATGCCTGCAGACAGGTGAAAGTTAGTGCCCCCATTTCACAGGTGAGGCCACTGAGGTTCAGAGAAGTCAATCAATGATGTGATCATGCTCACACATCCCAGCAGTGACCAAATATGTAACGTTCATACACTGTGGAATAGAAACCCACTGATTATCAAATGTCTTTTATTTTATTGTGATTCTTACTTTTTCTTTTTGAGACAGAGTCTCACTCTGTCACCCAGGCTGGAGTGCAGTGGTATGATTATAACTCACTGCTGCCCTGAACTCTGGGGCTCAAGCGATCCTCCCACCTTGGCCTCCTGAGTAGCTGGGACCACAGGTATGCAGCACTACTCCTGGCTAATTTTTGTAGAGATGGAGGGAAGTTCTCACTATGTTGCCAGGCTGGTCTTGAACTCCTGGCCTCAATGATTCTCCCACCTGGGCCTCTCAAACAGCTGAGATTACAGGCATGAGCCACCATGCCTTGCCCCAGATGTCTTTTCTTTCTTTCTTTTCTTTTCTTTTTTCTTTTTTTTTTTAAGGCAGAGTCTCCCTCTGTTGCCTAGGCTGGAGTACAGTGGCGCGATCTTGGCTCACTGCAACCTCCGCCTCCCAGGTCCAAGGAATTCTCATGCCTCAGCCTCCTGAGTAGCTGGGACTATAGGTGTGCACTAGGATGCCTGGCTAATTATTGTAGTTTTAGTAGAGACAGGGTTTCACCATGTTGGCTAGGCTGGTATCGAACTCCTGGCCTCAAGTGATCAGCCCCCCCTCAGCCTCCCAAAGTGTTGGGATTACAGGTGTCAGCTACTGTGCCCAGCCCCAAATGTCTTTTTAAAAATAGCATAATTTTTATAATTAGAAAAGTAGTACATTCCCATTTTAGAAACTGTAGAAAGAATACAAAGAAAGGAAAATAAAAACTGTGATAACTATATGTGTTTTGTGGTATATCATGCCAAACTTTTCATAAATATTTTCTTAGCTGGTTAGTTCCAATTTTCTGTTATTATAAACAATGCTGGGATTAACATTTTGGGAGTAGAGCTTTTTCTGTATTTTGTGAACTTCCATAATCTAGATTTTCCAGAAGTGGAATTACTGGGGCAAATGACATAAGCATTTCCAGTTCTCATGGCGGATGCTGTCTAATTGCTTTTCAGAGGAGTCAATGCCTTCGACACCCCCACTAACAGTGCCTGTTCACCCCACCTTCTACCATCTGAGTGCAAATTAGCTGAGTGTAGTGGTGCATACCTGTAGTCCCAGCTACTCAAGAGGCTGAGGTGAGAGGATTGCTGGAGCCCAGGAGTCGTCGAGGCTGCAGTGAACACTCTATCCTGGGTGACAGAGCAAGATCCTGTCTCAAACAACAACAACAACAAAAAAATAAATAATTTAAAAAGCCTGCCCAGGGTGGTGTTTGGCATAATAGACAAAAAACACATATAGTTATCAAAAGCGTGTTTACAAAGATCTCTTAATTACCAGAGAAAATGCTTATAATGTTAAGTGAGAAAAGTCAGCTACAGAAATTTTTATGCAAAGGAACAAAATTCTGTGAAAATATATGCATGAAGATTATATAATATACTCAAGTGTTGACATTAGGTTCTCTCCAGGTGATGAAATTAATAAACTTAATAAAATGATTGAAGTCCATCAACATCTTCCATTATGGTTTCCTCTATGATGTCTATCTTTGTTAGTCACTTAATTGTTAATAGCTAATTTATCGAGTGTTTCCTCCACACCAGACTCTGCTAAGCACTCCTGTCCCTGGGTTCCCCGCCACCAGTCCTGAATGCCAGGGGTAAGTTTGGGGGCAGGCCTGGGCCACTCTTCCTGAAGTGATCTTCATTCCTGGTTCTGGGCGAGGAACCCCTGAGGAACTTCCCACTTGGCTGCACGACAGTGAAGTCAAGGGGTAAACCTGCCAGGGCCAAACCAGCGAAACCAGCATGCAACCTTCTTTTCTGCCAAAAGCCTCCAACTCCACAAAGGGTTGAACTCTGTGGTGGGCCAAGCTCCCAGTGCGAGATTAAGAGAGAATAAAACATCATTCTTTCCCTCAAAACCTTACCAACTAGTTGAGGGATGGCAGTAAATAGATGACTGTTCTATAAAGTGGAATGCAGGAAGGGCCATAGCAGATGTGAGATTGGAGGACCTTGGGCACTCAGAGTGGGATGTGACAGCTGAAGGGCTCCATGGAGGAGGCACAACTTAACCTCCCCAAAGGGCGAGGAGATGGCAGGAGGGGACCCCAGGCAGAAGGCCTAGGGCAGCCCAAAGGATGGAAGGTGTTGGAGGAGCCATGAGACATTCCAGTGGGAATGAGGAAGGTGGGTCTGAAGGGCAGTGTTTGCCAAGCTCAGGGTCTGCCCTTGGTGTGGGCTGTGGAACCGGAGGTTGTGTCCACTGTTCAGAGGGGGATGATGACAAAAGCCCATGGGGTTAGAGAGGGATCTCAACTTCAGGTGAGCAGTGAAGAGGCTTGAACTAGGGAGATGGATGTGAGAATGGAAGCCAAATGACAGATTTGAGTTAACAGAGATGGAATTGACACTACTAGATGATGGAGTGATGGAATCGTTCCTGGTAGCTTGACTCCCCACCTCCTCTTTCCTTGGCCCCCAGGTCAGCCAGGCACAGTCCCACTGGTTCCACCTCTGTAACATGTCCTGAGGTCATCGGTTCCCTCCAGCTCCAAGGCCACCACCCCATCACGGCTTGTCCGCTTCACTACATTCACCTCCAACCGACCTCCCAGCTTCCCTCATGGCCACTCTAACATCTCCTCCTCACTGTGGCCAGGATCAGGGGGTCCTTGTGATTTGTCATCTGAATGAAGACACTTTTGTAAGTGGAAGGGGCATGGAAGATAATGACAGCAGGCAAAAGACATAAACCAGGACTGTCCTGAGCAAACATGGACACATGGACTCCCCAGCCAGAAGAATCATCCACAAACCTAAGTTACACCACATATCATTCCCCTGCTTAATGGCTTCCCTTTGCGGTTAGAACAAAGCCCTGCATGTGCTCACCCAAAGTCCCTTTCCCAATCTCACCTTCTTCTCCCTCTTGCATCCTTTCCCCTGTGCTCTGGCCCCACAGTCCTTCTTTCAGCTCCAAGAACTTCCACTTGCCAATCCTGCTGCCTCTATGCCCTCCCCCGATTCAGGTCTCCTCCACATGGTGTCTCCCCAGACAGGCTTCCATGACCTTGATGATGACTCCCTCCTCTCCCTAGTCCATTCTCTGACACTCATCACTGTCTGAAAGTAAGTTATTTATGGACCTCTGTTTGAAGCTCCAACATGCAAAGAGCTTGGGAGTCATCACTCTTGTCCTTACAAGAAAGAGCTGAACAAACAGAAAATCGATGACTTTTTGGAAGGACCCATTGGAGAACTGAGCTTGCAGGGCAAACTACCATCCTGAAATCTTGAAAGACAGATAAATCCAGAGTCAGAGCCAAGATCTACTGACCTAGAACAGAAACCACTGGACTCATAAACTGGTAGAAACACTTAAGTGATTATCTTAATGAATCTGGAGGCTGAGTGTGGAGTAGTGTGAGAATGACAAACTCCTAGGGAGTGCAGTCTTGATGGGGCCCCTCACACTTTTTTGGGCTTTACCTCCAGAAACCCTACCAAGTTCTCATGGTGAAGATCCAAGATGGCATCTTGGATGGAAGAGTAATTCTTGTGAAATATACCTAGAGCGTTCTCCAGAACAAAGGCCTACCCTTTGGGGAAAAGGCTTCACCCGAGCCTTGTTCCAAAGCCATGGGGGAAGGACAACCCTCTCACCCCACACCCCTCTGGCTTCCCTGCCTTACCTAAGGTGGGTGGAGGTATATGCAAGAAGAAACACTTGGGTGTCACAGGCTAGGGTCACAGGCCCACTAAAAGCCTGAGATTTAATTGGAAGATTATAGAACTCTTCCCACTCCCCTACATATTACCACCACACCAACAGGCCTGCATATAATTATAGTAAATTACAGCTGAAAGAGCTTTGAGACAGAGACTCTCTTTGAGGAGGAGTATGTAGGGAATCCTGAGGTTAAAAGGGGAGAGAAAAAACACAAACAAGGACATTGGTGGAATTAAAAGGCTCTGGCACCTTTAGTTTTTACAGAAAACACTAAACAAAAAGACCAACTTCTAGCCAGATTCTCATAAATCCTTACATAAGAGGTCTATTTACCTCAGTTCCCATTACCTAATACAACTTGTCCAGCTTTCAACAAAAACGTACAAGTTCCACCAAAATCAAGAAAGAAGTCATAAGAGAGAAAGCAATGATCTAAACCAGACTCAGCTATAACACAGATGTTAAAAATTATCAAGCAGGACACTTAAAGTAACTACGATTAATGTGTTAAGGTCTCTAATGGAAAAAGTAGACAACATGCAAGAATACATGGGTAATGTAAGCAGAGAGATGGAAAACAGAGAGATAAAACCAAAAAGGAAATGCTAGAAATTAAAAAAAAATAATAACAAATGAAGAATGCCTGTGATGGGTTCATCAGTGGAATCAACATGGCTGAGGAAAGAATCAGTGAGCTGAGAATGTTGAAAGAAAATTCACAAACAGAAATATTACAACAACAATAAAAAAAACAACAAAAAATACAATGTCCAAGAACTGTGGGGCAATTACAAAAGCTGTAACATGCACAGAGTCGGAATACAAGAAAGAGAAGAGAAAGAGAATGGAGCAGAACAAATATTTGAAGTAATAATGGCAGTGGGCCTTCTAATATTAATGACGTATACCAAACCACAGATCCAGAAAGTTCAGTGAAATTAAATTAGCTACCTTTGTGTTTGTTGCCTAATTTCAGTTTTAGTACCCTCCAATCCATTTTCCACCCTTCATGAGTGATCTTTATCAACACAAATATCGATTTTATTTCTAATTTCAGACACTTCAATGGCTCCTTATTGCCTTAAGGATAAAAATCCAAATTCCCCAGCATGGCAAAAGAGAAATAGTTCACTATGTAATCCACTGTCCTGGCCAGTCTCAATGCCTGCTTCAGTCTCAAGACTGGTTCGTCTCTGCCCTCAGCTGTTTGGAATTATTAGCAGTTCTATGGAGGGGCCATCAAAAGCCTTTGGGATCTGTGAGGCACAGTGGCTCAGGCCTGTAATCCCAGTGCTTTGAGAGGCTGAGGAGGGAGGATGGCTTGAGCTCAGGAGTTCAAGACCAACGTGGGCAGCATAGCAAGACTCTGTATCTACAATAAAAAAAAAAAAAAAAAGACTGGGCATGATGGCTCATACCTGTAATCCCAGCACTTTGGGAGGCTGAGGTGGAAGAATCACTTGAGTCCAGAAGTTTGAGACCAGCCTGGGCAACACAGCAAGATCCCATATCTAAAAACAAACAAACACACAAAAAAACTTAAAAAAAAATTTCGGGCATGGTGGTATGTGCATACCTGTGGTCCCAGAACTTGGGAGGTTGAAGTGGGAGAATAGTTTCAGCCTGGGAAGTTGAGACTGCAGTGAGCTGTGATTGCACCACTGCACTCCAGCCTGGGCAACAGAGTGAGACTGTCTTAAAAATAATAATAATAATAATAATAATAATAATAATTTTAAAATTAGCTTGGAATGGTGGTGCATGCCTGTAGTCCCAGCTACTCAGAAGGCTGAGGCAGGAAGATCACTTGAGCCTGGGAATTTGAGGCTGCAGTAAGCCATAATTTCGTCACACCTGGGTGACAGAGCAAGACCGTGTCTCAAAAAAGAAAAAAAAAAGCACCTTTGTGCTGTTTTCTCCTGCTTTCTTCTGCTCATTCCTCGCCTTTCCTTTGTCACACAATATTTTAACTGGCTATTTATTTATATCCCTCTCCTGACAGAATGTAACTACCCAAGAGAAGTGTTAATTATTTACAACTTGGAAGTGAGGCATAAAGATGATTACATGCCTATACTTGTGCATTATCCAACACGCCTGCCTACAGGTACCTGACTCTCTAGGGAATATTGTCTTTTCTGATTTACAGTTTACTATTGATCAGGCGTAGACTCTAAAGTTCCATGTTAACTTATAGAAAACTGATAAACTATAGATGATTTTTGTCCAGTAGAGGTGTAAAGGATTTCTGGCGAGTAGAAAATCATAACTGTGTGTGTTACAGTTTTATTACCTTGTAGGATATTAACCAATTTTGAATGTTGTTTTAAAATTGTATTCCATCATCCGTCTACTGTCTCCATCTATATACATAAGTATCTACGCGTCTGTGTATGTGTATATTTTCCCTGGCTTTTTCAGAACTAATGTTACTATTCTGTCAGCTCCATCATTATCGATTTACTGATTTAAATAAGTCATTGGCACAGGCCAGGGCAGCTGAGGAAGTGGGATTGCTCAGCAAACTTTAAGCGAGAGCCTGTCTCAAGGAGTGTGGTCCAGTCAGCAGCTTCTAGGTGCAGTGCCTTCTGGAATCACCATACCAGGGGTCCCCAACTCCCAGGCCCTTGACTGGTACTGATCCATGGCCTTTTAGGAACTAGGCCACACAGCAGGAGGTGAGTGGCTGGCCAACAAGCAAGCAGTACCACCTCAGCTCCACCTCCTGTCAGATCAGCCACAGCATTAGATTCTCATAGGAGCACGAACCCCATTGTGAACTGTGCACGTGAGGGATCTAGGCTGCACAGTGCTTATGAGAATCTAATGCCTGATGATATGAGATGAAAGTTTCATGAAACCACTCCTGACCCTCTCCCCATCCATGGAAAAATTGTCTTCCACAAAACCTATCCCTGGTGCCAAAAAGGTTGGGGACTGCTGCACTACACCTTTCGTGCCAAGGTCAGGCCCAGCCAGTGACAGAGTCCAGAGGGTCCTGGGCCTGGCCATTTCTGACCACTTCCTCCAAGGGATGACTGCTGGGGCTCCTTGGGGGCTGGTCAGACCTCCTCAGAGTTGTCCCTCACTCAGAGGCTCTTTCCTCCCCATTCTCCTTCCTTCCTCTCTCCTTTGCTGGACACTGCCAGTGAGGCCCTGAGGCTGAGTTACTCCCCAGGCCAGGTGTGGGTGGAGGAGGGCAGTTGTGGTCACAGGCTGAGTGGGAAAGGAGCCGGTTTCTTCAGGCCCTTGGAAAATCAGGGAGGAACTGGTATGCTAATTCAGTAATTCTCCCATAGCCTTGACAGGTACAAAATCTCTGAAAACCGGTATTTAAAATTATATTTCTAATCATGCCATTTTCTCTGCTTGGCAATTCAGGAAGTTGAATAGATGATTATGAATCATCCGCAAGTGTGGCTAATTAAATATTTGATCAATAGAATTTAGTGCTTTTCATCTGCAGAGAGTTTTCCTGACATTAACTAATTGAGCCAAAGAAAGGTATCACCTTCATTCTATAGATGGCAAAGCTGGCAAAGGGAAGAGGTTTAAAGAAGCCAGCAAAATAAAAAAATAAAAAATTAATGAGCGAGTGCATGCGGGGGGAGGGAAGCCTGGCTAAGAGGAACTGTGGTCTGCAGACTCCCACTTTGGGCACGTTCATGTCACTGCACAATTTATCACTGCTTGCATCAGGGCAATGCGAACATTCCCAGGTCAGCCCATCGTAGAGTTCAGGTTCCTTGAACTGGAAACAAATGAGCCGGACGGAGCTGGAGTTGGCCCCTGGGGTCTTTAGGGGAAGGTCTTGGCCCAGTTCTGTGCCTAAGAGCAGAGGCTTCCTCTGCAGATCCTAGGACTGTGAAGCCGGAGGCGGCGCTGGAGTTGGAGCCTTGGCTTCTGCGTTGAGCAACAGCGCCACCTGCTGGCCACAGCCTTCCGTCTGCGCGGCTGCCCCTCGCCAGATGCAAAGGTATCTCCTTTGTCGCTTCCGTATTTCCTTCCCTGGCCAGTCCCTGCATTTCCTTTCCTGGCTTCTCCAGCTGGAGGGAGGCAGCTGACAGCTTATATCAAACCTGATAGAAATCTGTTAGAGAGACATTCGGATATTAACAGCAAACACCTCCCCCTAACCCTATCACCCCTGGATAAAATTAGTGTTCATGAGGAAAGGTCTCATTCCCAGGCAGGTCTCGTTCCTCAGCTTCCACTGGAATGGGTCTCTTACCAGCGATGGGAGGATGAGGAAGAACTGAATGTTGAAGACCCTCCTCAGTAAAGGGCATAGCGGGTGCCTCTCGGGGCTGCCTGCGAGGATGTGATGAAATCATGCAGAGAAAGCAGCCTGTTCGGGCGGGGCCTGCGATTCCTCTCCCGCCCTTACCTAAGGCCCTCCCTAAAGCAGGAGGTGACCTTGGGCCTCAGTTTACCTCCATTATTCAACAACAATCAGGTACAGGGGAATGCGGACCACCACATCTGGGTGCCGTCCTTAAAGAGCCTTGCCCCACCCAGCTCTGTTATCTTAGCCGAGTCCCGTAACTTTTGTATGCCTTGGTCTTTTGTTTATGACATGACCAATCTATCTCCCAGGGCCATTCAAAGATTTTTTAAGAGTCAAAATCTAAAAAAAAATTTAATATAGCAAGATTCCAAAACTTTCCATATTTCCAATGCAACAGAACAATTTCGTTTTCCTGAGCAGCTTATAAAATCAGAGCAGCATTTGATAGAGCTGCCTCATGGTCACTGAGGTCTACCAAAAAATGGCACTACTGGGTAGGAAACCCAAGTCCGCCATTTTCCAAGTGCCATGTTGTTTGCTGGAGATTTCAGAAATATCTTTATATGAAGATCAGATGAGAGGAGGATGTAATAGAGTCAGCACCTGTAATGGTTTCAACATCAAGGTCCAAGATGGAAGTGCTAGCGCAGGGCGCAGGATACTATGAAACCAGGCAGCCCTGGAAACACCCCGGGTCCCATGAGAAAGGGACGCACTAGGCCTGGGGATCCTGAGGACCAGAGGAGTCAGTCGCAGGTGCTGTTGCCGGGTCATCCCCACATCTGAAGAGCCCCTTAGCCGGATTCCCCTGGCCCGCCCATGTCCAAGTTCACTTTCCTTCTGTGCACCCTCACCTCAGCCTCGAGGCCCTACTTGCTATGTCCTTATCCTGCCTGTGCCACACGTGGGAGACTGGGTGTGCCTCTCCTCTCCCTCTCCTCCTTCCAGATCTTCTCTTTGGAACTGATGGCTGAAGGACTGATGTCCAGTTGCAGTGAGAAATCCTGCCAGTCCTTTCAGGCCGACTCAGAGGACACCTCCTCCCAGAAGCCACCCTGATCCCTTCCCCTCCCTCCCACCTCCAGCCAGAAGTCCCTCCTGTGGACACGATTCGTTTCCTTGGGCTGTTATGACAAAGTACCACAAACTGGAGTGCTTAAACAACAGAACCTTTATTGTCTCACAGCTCTGGAGGGCGGAAGTCTGAGATCAAGGTGTGGGCAGGGTTGGTTTCTTCTGAGGCCTCTCTTCTGGGCTTGTAGAGGGCCGTCTTCTCCCCGTGCATCTGCACACGGTCTTCCCTCTGTGCATGCCTGCCGCCACTTCCCAATTTCCCCTTCATATAAAGACACTAGTCAGATTGGATTAGGCCTACCCTGAAAACCTCATTTAACTTAATGACTCAAGTATCTCCAAATAAGGTCACATTCTGCGGTACTAGGGGTTAGGACTCCAATCTTTTTGGGGGAGTAGGTGAAGGGGAAAGAGTGGGGCACAATTCCATGCAGAACAGGTTCTTGTTGCATTGCTATTATTATTATTTTTAGAGACAAGGTCTCACTGTATCACCCAGGCTGGAGTGCAGTGGTGCAATAATAGTTCACTGCAGTCTTGAACTCCTGGGCTCAAGTGATCCTCCCACCTCAGTCTCCCAAGTAGCTGGGACTACAGGTGCACCCACCATGATTGACTAACTTTTAAATATTTTTATAGAGATGGGGTCTCACTATGTTGCCCAGGCTGGTCTCAAACTTCTGGGCTCAAGCCATCCTCTTGCCTCAGCTTCCCAGTGTGCTGGGAGTACCGTGTGAGCCACCATGCCTGGCCCTGCATCATTATTTATGCTTCTTGGTGAATTATCATTATTTTTGTGTCCCAGGGAATGCAGATCCCTTGGGGCATCAGAGCCTAGATATAAGATATATTTGCGTTCTGTTGACCCTTAAGCTAAGTACCCACTCAAGAAATAATTGAATGAACAAGTAGTAAATACAAGTATTCATGAATGAATGTGGACCACTGCAAATAATGAGAGGTCTGGAATGTGCAACATGTTACTAGAAATAGACTTCAGCAGATGCTGTGGCTGTCGTGATAACCGTATGTGAATCTGTGGAAAGACTCCATCCAACCAAAAAAAAAAATCTTTCCCACTGGGACCTCAAATACCGTTGGCAAATGACGCTCCCTGCCGGATCTTTGCAGTTCCTGATTTTAATAATGGAATGGCCTCCTTCAGGAAGGAAGCATGGAGGGTGAGCGGGGAGGATGAAAGGAAGTCATAAGGACAGGTAGGGTCCTGCTGCATCGTCGTCTTTTAGGACAGGCTCTGACACTAACCAAGTCCTGCAATCCCAAATGCACTCTTTCCCCGTTTGCTGTCTTCCATCTGCAGAAACCGCTACTAAACATTAGGCTTGTTTTATTTTTCTTTGCTTCCATACAGGCTCTTGGTCAGTCATTGCTCAATATTTCTTTTTTTTTTTTTTTTTTTTTTTTTTTGAGACACGGTCTCACTTTGTCATCCAGGCTGGAGTGCAGTGGTGCAATCACAGCTCACTGCATCCTCAATCTCTTGGGCTCAGGCAAGGTTCCCACCTCAGCCTCCCTAGTAGCTGGGACTACAGGCACGTGCCACCACACCTGGCTAACTTTTTGATTTTTTTTAGAAACAGGGTCTTACTATGTTGCCCAGGCTGGTCTCAAACTCCTGGGCTCAAGCGATCCTTCCCTGTCAGCCTCCCAAAGCGCTGGAATTACAGGCATGAGCTGCTGCACCCAGCTAATATTTCTTTACCCTTATGGAGCTAACAAATCATGTTCCAGCCATTTCAGGATGAATGCTAAAACGGTGTTCAGATGGTAAAGTTGGACTTAATTCAGTGAGATTTAATAATAGACAATTTATGTCGATTTCCAAATAATACAAGTCAGTTCCAATATATCCCTTAAGAGACTTCCAGAACCCCATGGCGTCAGATGTGAAGAACAATCCCCACAGCTCTGCTGAGGCTGGGAGGGCGCTGGGGCTGTGGCGTCCTCCGCGCTGCCTTTCTTTCTGTTAGCTTGCATTCGCTTCTGCTCCTGAGGCTTCCTTTCCAATCTCAGCTGCGCGACAAAAGCTCAGTAGAGGCAAAAGCTCAGTAGAGGCCAGTTCAGTATTAGAAACAAGGGACGCTGGTCTGTTAATCTTTCTTCTCTATTAGTCCCCAAGGATCAGCTTTAGACACTGTGAAACCAGTGGGGCATTTCCATACAGGCTCCACACTCACAGCGCATCCATGGTACTGATGGTAGGAACAGAAGCCTCTGACGCTTTCCCCTGGCAGGTCCATCTTTCTGATCTAATCCTGGGGGTGCATCCATTGTCAGAGGTCTGGAGCAGCCCAACATCCTTTCTCTGGGGAAAAGAGCAAATGCATGCAATGCAATGTATTTACTTTTCAAAAAGAGGAAGTCTTCTTTGGGCCAAATGCCCTACCAATACAGTTAATTCTCAGTTATTTGCATTTGAATTACCTTGATGTTTTTGCATTTGAATTACCTTGATATTTTTGAAAATAGAGCACTGTACTTTTTTTAAGAGGCAGGGTCTTGTTCTGTTGCTCTGGCTGGAGTGCAATGGCAGGATCACAGCTCACTGCAGCCTCTACCTCCTGGGCCCAAGAGATTCTCCCGCCTCAGCATCCTGAGTAGCTGAGACTAAAGGCACGCCCCCGCCATGCCCAGCTAATTTTTAAATTTTTTGTAGAGACAGGGTCTCACTATGTTGCCCAAACTGATCTTGAACTCCTGGCTCAAGTGATTCTCCCTCCTCAACCTCTCAAAGCACTGGGATTTTAGGCGTGAGCCACTGCACCTGGACTTGCACTGGTACTCTTTATTGACTTCTTGGTAATTGTCCCCCATTACTAGTGGCTACATTAGTTCAGAAAGGATTTGCACAGAGGCCTGTTTTGAAACATGTGTGCTTTATTCTGGATCTAAGCTCAAGAAAGACCTGTGAAAATGAATGCCAAAGTCTCTCTCTGGGCCATGGCTTGATTGTGCCTACCCTCAGGGAGGAATGAGGGATGGCTGAGGATGGTGGGGTAGGGGCCCTGGGCCAAAAATCCCCAATCCCTGGGCCACAGACCAGCAGTATTGGTCTGCGGCCTGTTAGGAACCGGGCTGTGTGGCAGGAAGTGAGCGGTGAGCCAGAGAAGGAAGCTTCATCTGTATTCACAGTGGCCGGCTCCTCATCAGTTGCATTACTACCTTAGCTCTGCCTCCTGTCAGATCCACCCCAGCAAAGGAGATTAGGAGATTCTCATAGGAGCACAAACTGTATTGTAAACTGCGCATGTGAGGGATCTAGGCTGCAGGTTCCTTATGAGAATCCCATGCCTGATGATCTATCACTGTCTCTCATCATCCCCCAGACGGGACTGTCTGGTTGCAGGAAAACAAGCTCAAGACTCTCACTGATTCTACATTATGGTGAGTTGTATAATTATCTCATTGTATATTACAATGTAGTAATAATAGAAATAAAGTGCACAGTAAATGTAATGCGCTTAAATCATCCTGAAACCATCCCCCACCTGCTGCCCATCCATGATAAGATTGCCTTCCATGAAATCCGTCCTTAGTGCCAAAAAAGTTGGAGACCGCTACCCTGAGCAATCCTCAGTTTAGGTCTTCACCACGTGCCTCCTGGGATTTCAAAGCCTCACACACACATAAGCAAACATCCAAGGACTAGTGTCTACAGCCCATTGTTAACAGAAAAATTAAGAGACAGAACACAGTTTTTCTCTTTATTTATTATTTATTTATTTATTTTTTTTTGAGACAGAATTTTCACTCTGTCGCCCAGGCTGCAATGCAGTGGCGTGATCTCAGCTCACTGCAACCTCAGCCTCCTGGGTTCACGCAATTCTCCTGCCTCAGCCTCCAGAGTAGCTGGAACTAGAGGTGCGCGCCACCATGCCCAGCTGATTTCTTTTGTATTTTTAGTAGAGATGGGGTTTTACCATGTTGGCCAAGATGTTCTCGATCTCCTGACCTTGTGATCCACCCGCCTCGGCCTCCCAAAGTGCTGGGATTACAGGCATGAGCCACCACGCCCAGCCTCTCTTTATTTTTTAAGAGACAGAATCTCGTTATGTTACCCAGGCTGGAGTGCAATGGCACAATCATAGCTCACTGCAGCCTCAAACTCTTAGGTTCAAGTGATCCTCCCACCCCAGCCTCATGAGTAGCTGGGACTACAGGTGCACAAGTTTTCTTTAAAAAAAGGCAAGCATACACATTTATGTTAGTAGATGTAAAGACAACTCTAGAAGAATATAAACCAGATTATTAAAGTACTTGTATTTGGGAAGTGTGATTATCTATGATTTTCAATTTCTAGATTATATATCCTTGTAATGTTTGCATTTTTTACATAGAGCAGGTGTTACTACTTTTTAAAGTTGCTTTCTTGAGGTATAATATGTATATGCCATAAAATACACTCATGTAGTTGAATAAGTTTTTTTATTATTTTTTTTCTTTTTTGGAGATAGGGTCTCACTTTGTTGCCCAGGCTGGAGTGCAGTGACTTGATCATAGCTCACTGCAGCCTAGAGCTCTGGTGCTCAAGTGATCCTCCTGCCTAAGCCTCCTTAGTAGCTGGGATTACAGGTGTGAACCTCCATGCCTGACTAATTTAAAATTTTTTTTTGTAGAGATGGGGTCTCTCTGTGTTCCCCAGGCTGGCCTTGAACTCCTGAGCTCAAGGGATCCCCCTGCTGTGGCCTCCTAAAGTGCTGGAATTACAGGAGTGAGCCACCGCGCCTAGCATAAGTTTTAATCCTTCATAGAGTTGTGCAACCATCACCACAAGCCAGTTTTAAAACATTTCCATCGCCCCAAAAAGATCATTCATGCCATTTGCAGTCAACCTCCACTCCCATCTCCAACCCCAGCAACCACTGATCTTGCTGTGTGCACAGATTTGACTTTTCAGGAAGTTTCATATAAAAAGAATCAAACAATATGTGGCCTTTTGCACCTGGCTTCTTTCACTTAATGCTTTTGAGGCGTATGCATGTTGTAGTGAGTATCAGGTGTACGTCATGTATACGCAGGAATATCTGTCCCTTTGCTGTCGGGGAGGACCCCATCGCCTGGAGGTCCTGCATTTTGTTTTTCTGTTTCTCAGTTGACGGTCATGTGGGTTGTTTACAGGTCTGGGCTATTACGAATAATGCCGCTATGAACATCTGTGTCCAAGTCTCTGTGTGGACACACACGGCTAATTTTATAATTAAAAAAAAACAGAACAAAAGGACCAAAATGAATTCTGGAACTGTTTCTGGAATACGTTTCCTTTTACCAAAATGGGAATTCTAAGAATGAGGCAGGAAATGTAAAATAGGAGAGAAAGAAGTGGGCTCGCAG
Organism: Homo sapiens; assembly: GCF_000001405.40. Taxonomy (NCBI): domain Eukaryota; kingdom Metazoa; phylum Chordata; class Mammalia; order Primates; family Hominidae; genus Homo; species Homo sapiens. The sequence goes on along the minus strand of NC_000010.11, from coordinate 30,720,182 downwards.
CAGCCTTTCCCCTCCTCGGATTTGGGAACAAAGAGGCAGGGTTGTCCCACTCTGGAAGTGGCTCATATTCGCACAGTTCATCCAAAGCTGCGGAACACGCTCAACATCCTTTCTGCCCTGCGGCACCTCTGATATCCATCTCAACCCAAACACCCACCCCTCTCACGAGTTCCTTAGTTCAAGGACAGCAAATTCAGGACATCCCACTTCCCTGCCCCTGATGCATTTAGTGAGAGCGGGGGTTTGAGTTTGGACGACTGTGGAGAAAACCCCCAAGCACCAGTGTCAATTTATGGGCTGAGACTTTAAGGTTTAGCAATTCAAGTGTTTCAGCTAGGTCCCTTCCCAGTGTGCAAAGGTCAAAGGTTGCAGTTATGGAAGGAAAAGGATCAGAAAAAAACATGGAAAATAGGATCTGGTTCTATAAGCAGGAAGGAGACACAGGAAACAATTCAGAGGAAAAGAGGCAATAAGTAAACTGGCTCTCCAAGCTGGGGAGTCTTATTCAACAAGAGGTGAGAAGCAAACGGACAGCACATTTTGGGGGGACAATGTTTAATACAAGTAGATATTCATGATTTTTAAGCACTTTGGGAAAATCTGGTGTTAATGAATATTAATGAGGACACCTGTCTTATTTATTCATTACAGCGGCTCTCCACTGGAAGTTCCTGTAGCAACTCGAGCTCCTTCCTGGGTATCTAAGGATCCAGGTGGTATCTGGAACCTGCTGCAGAGGTTGCAACCCTGCCTCTCTCTTTCAGACACTCAGGTTGCCCTAGTGACTTTTCTCCACGCCACTTTTCGTGCTATCTATGGGACATAGACTTTGAACCTCTCTCTCTCCTTTTTCCTCTCCTTGCTTTGTTTAATCCATCATTTCTAGGTGTGTGACAACATTCCCTAATTTAACCCCCCTGCTTTCCTATTTCAGCTACCAACACAATGATCTTAATACCAGCAGGTATCTAGCACTTCGCATTTTTCAAACAGCTTCTGCTAGATCCTTGCTTGGAATTTTGTGATGTAGGCGAGATAGCTAGGAGTGTCTCCTTTTTAAAGGAAGTCATGGCAGAGAAGTTCAGTGACAGCCCAGTATTACACAATCATAAAGTGGTGAGACCAGGAGCAGGTTACAGGTCCCCACCCTGGTGCAGTGAAAGGGTGGGGCACGTAAGTTCTGAAGTTTCAGGCAAATGGGCTGTGACGGAATGTGTTAAACTTAGGCTAACAGGGAATAGGGAAGGGCTGTAACAACTCATAATAGGTCTACGGAATACCTTCAAACCCATGAATTCGTATTTTAAGAACATATACTCTTGTGAGGAGTTTTCTAACTCATTTTTAAGTTTTCTAGATGTCTTATCTGCATCCTTTTTTTTTTAGGCACTGAGATCTTGAAATTGAAATGTAGACAGAGTTGTGGGGTAAAGAACTTCTGTTGAGGCCAGGTGCAGTGCTTAAGCCTGTAATCCCAGAACTTTGGGAGGCCAAGGAGGGTGGATCACTTGAGGTCAGGAGTTTGAGACCAGCCTGGCCAAGGTGGTGAAACCCCATCTCTACTAAAAATACAAAAAATTAGCCGGGCGTGGTGGCAGGCACCTGTAGTCCCAGCTACTCAGGAGACTGAGGCAGGGGAATTGCTTGAACTCGGGAGGCAGAGGTTGCAGCGAGCCCAGATGGCGCCATTGCACTCCAGCCTGGGCGACAAGAGTGTGACTCCGTCTCAAAAAAAAAAAAAAAAAAAAAAAAAAAACCAAAAGCAAAAGAACTTCTGTTGAGTGATGATTTGCAAAAATATGTCTTCAATATAGTACTGAGTAATAATTTTATGGGGCAAATAGCTCTTTATTTAATCTTATGAACTTGTATAAAATCTTGCCCTAAACGAAATTCAAATATATAGCCATTAATATTTAATGATACAATATTGGTGCTAGGTTAACATTTACCAAAAAAAAAAAAAAAAAGATTTCCAGAAAGGAACATGCTTGGAATTTAATTTAATTTGAACTAATAAATTAATTGTTATGTTTATTCTGATGTTTTTATTTCCAAACGCACAAGACAAAAGTCCTGTATCACAAAATGATGTGTAATGTTTACAACAGGTATTAGAAATTGAGATGTTTTTATTTTGGTTATTTGAGAGTAAAACTGTAGATAATGTTCCAAACCATCATGGAAGATGCAGAGCAAACTTTTCTGTATATAAACTGTACATAAAAACAAGGCATTTAGGGGGAGATATTAAGGTAGAAAGGTTGATTCGCATAAATTCTCCAGGGTCCGTGCCATTAAGTACAAATTTGTTGTTCATTTTAGCACCGGAAGCAGTACTTAGAACAAGTCATACCTAATGCTGCAGGAAACGTTTCCAAACGTGTATGAAGATACGTCTTGGTGGCAGAGCTAATTCAACAGAAGCAACTCCATCTACCTTTTCATATTATTTTGACACCAAAAAAAATCTTGAAAGTGAATGAATACATATTGCTTTGTTAAATACATATTTGACTTATATGGTGTTTATATAAATATATACATATATTTTAGAATCCACAAACTATCAAAATAACATTTTATAAAGAGAACTGCTTCAAAAAAAAAAAAGCATTGTCTAGCTGGAAGAAGAAGGCACTGCTATCTATAGCAGCTGCGGCTTAAGTGCACATAACATACTCTTATCAATTCTGATAATCTGCTGAATGGTGGAAAGAAGTTTCCAAATAGTTCCCTTGAACATTTACAAAATACACAACTCCGGGACAAGCAGTATGTTTAACAATGTCAGGTTCTGAAAACTCTGATTGAAAAATACTTTGTGAAAAACACCAGTCCAAAAATATATATCCATTTCCCTGGTGCGGTGGTGTTGGACATGACCGTGAGGCTCCTCTGGCGTCTCCCTACTCAGAACAGGCCTTTTGCTTTCTTCAGGTTCACCTGCTTCCAGGCAGGCAGGGCATTGTATTCGTCCCTCATCATGTCTAGTGCAAACTGGAAACATTGGGAGAAGCGCCCCGCGACTCAGTGAAAGGAGCCGGGCGGTGTGTGTTGTTTTACTCCCATCTCCAATGCCAGCGGAAGAACCGCTTACCTCGAAGTCTTCGTCGGTGAGATAGATCTCAAGCTTCAGAGGATCGACCCCCTCCGGGAGTGGCCTGGCCAGGAGGTTGGCCAGCAGGTAAATGGTTTTACAGAGCTTGGCTAAGACGTCTTCCACGAGGGTGATCTGATTGGAAACTTCCATGTCCTAGAAAAGAGGAGGGGGCAGAGAGGACAGCTCGTGTCCTAAGTTTGAACTCCTTTTTTTTTTTTGACTGCAGGAAATAATATTTTTATTTTATTATTTTATTTTGTTTTTTATTATACTTTAAGTTCTAGGGTACATGTGCACAACGTGCAGGTTTGTTACATATGTATACATGTGCCATGTTGGTGTGCTGCACCCAGTAACTCGTCATTTACATTAGGTATATCTCCTAATGCTATCCTTTCCCCCTCCGCCCACCCCACAACAAGCCCTGGTGTGTGACGTTCCCCTTCCTGTGTCCAAGTGTTCTAATTGTTGAACTCGTTCTATTAAGTGCTTGCAAACACACAGACCTGTGCCATCTGCACACAGCCTGAGGACACATAGCTCCATGTCACTAAGGAGGAAACGGCTCTGAAAGATAAGGGATTGCCCAAAGCCCTGCAGTTGTCTCGACTTTTAATTTTTTTAATTTTTAAATTTGAAATAAAAAAATATAGTTTGGAGACAAGGTCTCTGTTATTCAGGCTGGAGTTCAGTGGGACTATCATAGCTCACTGCAGCCTCGAACTCCTGGGCTCAAGCGGTCCTCCTGCCTTAGCCTCCCAAGTAGCTGGGACTACACGTGTGCATCACCATGTCCGGCTAATCCATCCATCCTTCCTTCCTTCCTTCCTTCCTTCCTTCCTTCCTTCCTTCCTTCCTTCCTTCTCTCCCTCCCTCCTTCCTTCCTTTCCTCCTTCTTTCCTTCCTTCCTTCCTTTCTTTCTTTCTTTCTTTCTTTCTTTTCTTTCTTCTTTCTTTTTCTTTCTTTCTTCCTTTCTTTTCTTTCTCTCTCTTTCTTGTCTAGCTCTTTCTTTCTTTCTTTCTTTCTTTCTTTCTTTCTCTCTCTCCTTCCTTCCTTCCTTCCTTCCTTCCTTCCTTCCTTCCTTCTTTCTTTCCTTTCTTTCTTTCTTTCTTTTCTTTCTTTCTTTCTTTCTTTCTTTCTTTCTTTCTTTCTTTCTTTCTTTCTTTCTTTCTTCCTTTCTTTCTTTCTTTCTTTCTTCCTTTCTTTCTTTCTTTCTTCTTTTTTCTTTTTTCTTATCAGGTCTTGCTCTGTTGCCCCGGCTGGTCTCAAATTCTTGGCCTCAACTGATCCTCCCTCCTCAGCCTGACAATGCACTGGGATTACAGGTGTGAACCACTGCATTTGGCCCCATTTTATTTTATTTTATTTTTTTAGAGGCAGTGTCTCGTTCTGTCACCAGGCTGGAGTGCAGTGGTGCAATCATAGCCTTGAACTCCTAGGCTCAAGTGATCCTCCCACCTCAGCCTCCTGAGTAGCTGGGCCTGCAGGTGCATGCCACCATGCCTGCCTAATACACTTTTTAAATATTTTGTAGAGATGGAGTCTTGTTTCTCTGACTTTTAGATGTTTTCTCATCTTATCACAGAGTTTCAAACAAATCTTGTCTCAGAACCGCCTCTGGAAAAATGTTTAGGGACTTTCCCATGAGTGAATTACAAACTAAGATTAGTAGACTTTAAGTCTAAACACCAGAGACCTCCAAATAATGGAATTTGTTTAAAAATATTTTTAAAATAATTAAACTGAAAAGAAATCACACCCTCCTCCCCTCCCCGGCCTCATTTCTTTTTTTCTTTTTTTTTTTTCTTTGTTTTGAGACAGAGTCTCGCTCTGTCACCAGGCTGGAGTGCAGTGGCATGATCTCGGCAATCTCTGCCTCCCAGGTTCAAGCGATTCCCCTGTCTCAGCCTCCTGAGTAGCTGGGACTACAGGTGCCCACCACCATGCCTGGCTAATTTTTTGTATTTTAGTAGAGACAGGGTTTCACCGTGTTAGCCAGGATGGTCTCGATCTCCTGACCTCGTGATCTGCCCGCCTTGGCACCTTCTTAATCCACAATAGAAAAAGAAGGTCAGAAAGTGCATCCAGAATATTTTGGAGCAGAATCAAGTTTGCTTTTCAACCACTGTGTGCATTTAATCTGAACAAGCTATTCTGGGTAAATTATCTTCCTCCATTAAACTTGGGATCCCAGATTGGCTTCTCTCATTTTGGGTGGATGGATGATGGGAATGCATGACTAAGAGCTGTTGCCCAAATCACAAATATATGGGGGAACTAGTGGTCAACAGGCAGGTTTTGGGCTGGGCATGGTGGCTCATGCCTATAATCCCTGTACTTTGGGAGGCCAAGGCAGGAGATTGCTTGAGCCCAGGAGTTTGAGACCAGCCTGGGCAACATAGTGAGACCCCCCCATCTCTACAAAAAATACAAAAATCAGCTGGGTGTGGTGGTGCACACCTATAGTCCCAGCTACTCAGGAGGCTGAGGTGGGAGGATGGTTTGAGCCCAGAAGTTCCAGGCTGCAATGAGCCATGATGGCACCAGTATACTCCAGCCTGGGCAACACAGCAAGACCTCATCTCAAAAAAAAAAAAGAGAGAGAGAGAGAGAGCGAGACAAAGGCAGGTGTTTGAGTGATCCTGCCTGCATCTGAGTACTGACTTCTCCATTCGCTGAAAGTCACTTCATGTTTCTGTGCCTCTGCTCCCGTGCCAGTAAAATGGGAATAATAAGAAGATAGATCTTGATGGACTGTTGTGATAATTAAATGAGAAAATCAGTGTAAAGTGCTTGGAGCTGTGCCTAATGCAGAATCAGCACTTGGTGAATGTTAATTATTTGTATAACTTGCTGGTGTGGGAAGCCTGACTCTTCTCTGGCTGGAATTCCACAGGCCTGCACAACAGTAAATGGCCCTGCTGCCAACCCCCAGGATCTATAGTGAATACACAGAGAGGATGGTGCGTTACATCCTTCTGAAACTGGCTAAACTGTCCCACAGAACTGATGTTTATGGTTTCTTCGAATAAACATCAAAAATTTGACTCTCCCAGTCTTGAAACTTGAGAAAGTTATATTTGTCTTATCTGAGTTCCTTTCTCAGGAAACCAACCATCAGGCTTCTCTGATAGTATCAGAAAGCCAACAGTGTAATCCTAGCACTTTGGAAAGCCAGCCTGTAATCCTAGCATTTTGGAAGGCTGAGGCCAACAGATGACTTGAGTCCAGGAGTTCAAGACCAGCCTGAGCAACATGGCAAAACGTCACTGAAAATACAAAATTAGCTGGGCATTGTGGTGTGTGCTTGTAGTCCCAGCTACTTGGGAGGCTGATGTGGGAGGACTGATTGAGCCTGGAAGGTGGAGGCTGCAGTGAGCTGTGATTGTGGCACTGCACTTCAGCCTGGGCTGGAAAAGAAAAGAAAAGAAAAGAAAAAAAAGGAAATGGAAGCTTACCAGGCCCCTCACCCACCATGATGCCTAACTGACTCCCTGCTTCCTGTTGACCACCTCCTCTTCCTCAACCCTCCTTCATTCCTGTTTTCCCACATATGGTTACATTTATTCCCTGCTATAAAAAACCCTAATTTTAGTCGGTCAGAGACACAAATTTGAGACTATAAAATATACTTGGGTCATTTCCCCAATCAAAGCAGCTCTCTTACATGGTAAAAAAAAATCAAAACAGAAAAACCCCATCTCCCATCAAACCAAAATAAATCCTTGGAACTGCTATTCCTAGCAATGTTAATAGCTCATATATAAGAAATTCAACATCGTTATAGGAAACTTCTTTTCTGTGTGGTTGGAAAACATTCTGGATAACAATATATTTTGGTAGATAGAAGTTATGATAAATGCCTCATGCAGAAATACCAGGTGGTCTCATAAAAGACAATATTAATGAGATGTTGAGTGATCCCTTATCATAAGGGAGTCGCAGCACCTCCATTCATTCAGTTTTCTGAACATACTAATTCATCAGATTTCATTTGTGTCTCCTCTACACAAGGTTAACGTCTGAAACATGAGGGTTTGGTTGTGCGTCACATGGACACTGAGAGACAAGCAATGCCAAGCAACAGGTTCTTAGCAAAGAGAATGAAGAGTTCGCAGCTTTTATGTACACATACAGCCCTCAGCATGATTCAACTCACCTTTGCTTTTAAGTTTTTTAAATTTGGGTATACTGTGTAGAAAATTACTAAAATAGTTCAATTGATTTCCCATTCGACTTCTCTTCTTACTAAGTGAATTCTATGACATGTTATCATGTTGCAAAATAAATATTTTCCCACTTGGAAAGTGCAATTGGATGCTCTCCCCAAAGTAAAGTCAACCCACAATCCAAAAGGCACAGGAGCCACCTTCATATGGCAGGAAAGCGTGCTCACCATCTCTGTGATCTCAGCAGTGTCGTCTCTGTGCTCCCAGCTAGGAAACATATTGGTGAATGTTAGGGGCTCCAGACCAGCATGGATAAGGTAAGACTTGGGGACTGGCTTCTTGAGATTTTTTTCCTGTAGTTACACAGAATGCAATGTCAGTAGACCCAAGGGAGACACTGTCTTTCGCTGATTTCCCTTGAAATCTTTTCTTCTTTGCCAGAACTCATGACTTCATGCTTAAAATGCAAGTTACGAGTAGTTCATAACAACACATGGATAATGTTTATATAAGATGTTAGTTTCATGCCTGTGACTACAATAGTGATCTATAATCAACCTGAGTCTATACTTCTTGAACCTAACAAAACGCTGTGTATTCCTGGAAGGGAGAGAGAGGCTCTATCTGCAGCTTCTGGGTGGAGCATTTTCTTCCTCCTGAATTCACCTGTAGAGTCATCTGTCTGCCTTCCTACCATGGGATTAACTCCAATATGACTGACAGCAAACGACAGCATCTTATACATCCACATTCACTATAACATTGGGTGGAAGGTTTCATATGTTATTTATTGCTAAAGAGTTTTTCAGGAAGATAATCAATTGCACATACTCAGTGATATTAAACTAATTGTATCAATGAAAACATAAAAATGTGATAAGATATTAATTACTGGTATTTTCACTTTACATAAAAGACCAGAAATTTCATGCGGATGGCATACGAAAAACTACAAACTTAATATGGGTCTTTCTTTTAGGATATAATACTAAAAATAATAATAAATAATAAAAAGGTTGGCAATGGCCATTCACCATTTGGGGGAAACTTCCATTCTCCAACAGCATGGTAGAGCTTGCAGATAATGTACATGGCAGAGACCAACTTGTCTCTCAGTGTAATCAACCCCGAGTACAACAGGGTTTTAATCTGCCTGGGGCATTCCACAATACAGCCTTTATCCTTGAGGGTAACAAGTTAGATGGCCTCATAATATCAGAGAGAAAAACTAGTTCTTCTTCATGCTGGCAGCTGAGAATGCACTAATCTAAAAATTAATATATCTCAAAAAGTTAAAGGGGAAAAAATGGGTTTCATTATCATCTGCCAGGCTTTATAGACACTGGCTGACCCATGCAGAAAGGGAAAAAGGGTCTAGGGCTCCGGGGAGCTGCTGGCGAGGCCTCATCTTTGCAATACTGGAGCATGGTCTCCATCGTGCTCTTTTGGTCAGAGGCACGGCAGATGCGGGCAGAACCAGTGATCTTGTTCTCGATGGGCCACCAGCCTTGCCAGAGGCACACCTCGTGGTGATTGTCAAGGAAAGGCACTGTGAGGGCAGGGACAGAGCCCGACCGTCAGGAGCTCCTTCACGGACACTTCCAGTTCACTCCTCCCCAAACCCAGTGGATGTTGTCCCTCCCCACTGCTGTGTCACAGGGGGAAACCCCCTTGGCTGTCAAACCAGGGGCAAAGGGGCAAACGGAAACCCAGGACACTTAGCCCTTTGAAAGTTCAACTGGGAGAAGCCTGTAGGCAGAGAGAGGTGGTGTCAAGGAGTTGGTCTCTTTCATTCCTCATCCTCCAGGCCCTCCTCCCTTTGCCCCAGCTCAAGCCCCTGGCCCTTCTGGATACTGGCAGGGCTGTGCTAAGAGTGGAAGGGATAATGCATGTGCCACTCAAGGGACTGTTAGCACCACCTATCTCCAAAGAGCACAATCAACACTGGAGCACACATCTCACTGCAGACAGGTCAGTGGCATTCCTGCCCTGCACGTGACTGCTTAGCAGTGAGGTGAGCTCATGGCTCTCTTACAGAGAAATGGGCTTTAAACATCAAAACTGTGGCCAGGAGTCATGGCTCATGCCGGTAATCCCAGTGCTTTGGGAGGCTGAGGAGGAAGGATTGTTTGAGCCCAGGAGTTCAAGACCAGCCTGGGCAACATGGTGAGACCCTATCTCTACAAAAAGAAAAAAAAAATTGCTAGGCGTGGTACATGCCTATAGTCCCAGTTACTCAGAGGCTGAGGTGGGAAGATCACTTGAGCCCAGGAGTTTGAGGCTGCAGTGAGCCATGACTGTGTCACTGCACTCCAGCCTGGATGACAGAGTGAGATCCTATCTCTAAAAAATAAAATAAAATGAAATAAATTGAAAATAAAAATTGTTCTACTGCCTTTTCCTCCTCACTTTTTCTCCTCCTCAAATTGTCAGCCTGACTCTTACTCCAGGTGGCAAAACGCCTCTCACTCTTGCTAGTTGGCTCACAGTGTGTCCTTTCCTGGCATGCATTTCAGGATTCTGTGAAAACCACACTTTAAAAGCCCAGTGGAGGTTGATAACCCGCCCTGAGCCCCAGGATGAAGGGCGTGGGCACAGCCTCTCTTTCTGGTGGCTAAGGTTTTCCAAGCATGACATGTGCACTGGTCAAACTTTCAGTGGTGCCCTGAGATCCCAGTGCAAGGTGAGGTCCCTGGCTGCAGCTCCAGGCTCTTGTAATGTGAGAAGCAACAAACACAAACTGAGAGGCAGCTGACCTTGGCTTCATTGGAGGGTGGGTGGGAGGGGTTGTCAAGCCCAGTCTCTTGTGACTTTCCCAACCAGAATGAGGGCACAGAGCCCTGACCTTGGGATCAGAAGACCTGGGCTGGAGTCTTGGCTCTGCTGCGGAGACTTGGTATGGCAGACCCTGTTCACTGGCTAACTTAGCCGATACCTCAACACCCTTCTCCCTGGCCATTTGCTTTCCCAGGCTCCCTTGCAGCTGGGGTTGGCCATGTGACAAGCTCTGGCCAATGAGACATAAGCAGAAGTCTGCTGGGGGCTTCTGGGAAAACGTCTTTTTTATCTGATTAAAGAGAGAGATGTGGCTATTAAGTTCCCTTTTTTCCTCCACCCTTCTTTCTCTTTCTGTCTTAAATGCAAACATGATGGCTGGAGCAATGGCAGTTGACGGGTGACCATGCAGCAACAAGACTGAGAGGAAGGCTGGGAGAAGAGTGGAGACGCCAGGCCTGCCACTGTGGTGCTTAACCTGTTCTTAGCTGACGTCTTTGGGTGGGTTAAGTAACTGAGCCTTGTTGCTTATGCTATAATGTGTGGCTGATTTCACCCTCCCTCCTTTGGGTTTAGGGGTGAGGATGAAATGAGCTAACATAAGCACATGTTCTGGGTGTGCAGAAGCACATAGAAGGTGTGTCTTCTGCTGCTCAGCATAGCTGCCCCCTGCAGGCCTTACCTGGCTGGGGCACGCTGTATAGATCTTCCTGCAGGAAGGGCATGGAACTGACCACAGAGGGGGCTCGGGCAGGGTACACGAACTCCGTGGCTGCGAAATCCCCAGAGGAGCTGCTGAGGACGAACAGGCGGGGCGCGAAGTTAAAACTTCCGGGATCTTTGAAAGAAAAGAGAACAAAGCTGAAGATATCATGTGCATCAAAGTAAATTCCAGATGAAGAATGAATGTAAAATATGAAATAATTCAAAGCACTGTGGAAACACAGGTAGAATTAATCCGAGCTTCGAGGTGGAGAAGACCTGCTAAATTGTAATAGTAAAAGAACTGGCCGGGCGCGGTGGCTCACGCTTGTAATCCCAGCACTTTGGGAGGCCGAGGCAGGCGGATCATGAGGTCAGGAGTTCGAGACCAGCCTGGCCAACACGGTGAAACCCGTCTCTACTAAAAATACAAAAATTAGCTGGGCATGGTGGCACATGCCTGTAATCCCAGCTACTCAAGAAGCTGAGGCAGGAGAATCACTTGAATCCGGGAGATGGAGGTTGCAGTGAGCCGAGATTGTGCCACTGCACTCCAGCCTGGGCAACAGAATGAGACTCCGTAACAAAACAAACAAACAAACAAACAAGCAAGCAAACAAACAAAAAAAACTGGAGTCTCTGGTTCTATATCACCGCAACTTTTCCTAGCTCCAATCCCATTTCCAACATTACAACTGTATTGAGGTTTGAAGGGAAGAAGAAAACTCATTTAAGTTCCTAAAAGTTCAGGGGTCATTTTTATTTGTTTTTTGGCCATTTGTTTGGTAAAGTATCTGTAACGTAGGTTCCATAAATGATTCTAATAATTTCTTAAAGCATTTTCACTAAAAACAGCCTTTCGTACCATCCACTGTGGATCTGAACTGGCTAAGTTTGTATGTTTTTGAGAGGGCAAAATAAAATAGGAACCATCAATGACTACATTATAAATAACTATAATTAATTTGGAAGCCACTCAACTGAAATTTCTGCTAACTTAGCAAAAAAATTTTGCCTTTGATTAGCAATCCTGTTCCTCAAAGTAGTGAAAATCTGTTGCACCAACTAGATTACTGGGGAAAGGCATGTTTCAAATAGCTCATAACAGTCTATAAAGACCTAGACATTTTTAGCACTCAAATACATTGTGTAAATACACATTTACACTTAAATAACCAATATTACGTCCTAACATTCTAAACAGACTTGACCGTATATACCCAAAATACAACTGTATCTCTTTTTAAAAGTATTTTTATTTTAGAGACAGGGTCTTGCTCTACTGCTCAGGCTGGAGTGTAGTGGTATAACCATAGCTCACTGCAGCCTTGAACTCCTGGGCTCAAGTGATCCTCCTGGCTCAGCCTCCCAAAGCGCTGGGACTACAGGCAGATGCCACTATACTGGGCTGATTTTTTAATTTTTTGTACAGATGGGGTTTTACTGTGCTGCCCAGGGTAGTCTTGAACACCTGGCCTTAAGTGATCCTCCCACCTCAGCTTCCCAAAACTCAGGGATTACAGATGTAAGCCTAGACTTTTATTTCTTTAAAGATATTTTACAAAATGGGCATTTCACTAATTTTCCTTACAGTTTTCCTGCATGTATTGAAATGTAGTCCTATATACAAATTAATTTTTCTTATGTGTATTTATTTTTAATTTTATCAATGTAAATATTCAATTTTCAGTGTGAAGAACTTATGGGGTCATTCTTTTCACAGCCTTGATCAGTTGCCTAATTTAAAGTGTAATACAAAAATTAATGGGGTGTGGTGGCGGGGGCCTGTAATCCCAGCTATTTGGGAGGCCAAGGCAGGGAGAATTGCTTGAACCCAGGAGACAGAGGTTGCAGTGAGCCGAGGTTGCGCCACTGCACTCCAGCCTGGGCAACAGAGTGAGAACCTGTCTCAAAAAAAATAAATAGGGCCGGGCGCGGTGGCTTATGCCTGTAATCCCAGCACTTTGGGAGGCCGAGGCAGGCGGATCACCAGGTCAGGAGATTGAGACCATCCTGGCTAACACGGTGAAACCTCACTTCTCTAAAAATACAAAAAATTAGCCGGGCATGGTGGTGGGCACCTGTAGTCTCAGCTACTCAGGAGGCTGAGGCAGGAGAATGATGTGAACCCAGTAGGTGGAGCTTGCAGTGAGCCGAGATCATGCCACTGCACTCCAGCCTGGGCAACAGAGCGAGACTCTGTCTCAAAATAAATAAATAAATAAATAAATAAATAAATAAATAAATAAAATAATAAAATAAATAAATAAATAAAGTTTGGATATGTTATGCCATCAAAAGAGTTTCAAGAATAAGTTTGGTACCAGTAGGAATAACAGAAAACAGAGATATGAAGACTGCTCGTGGTTAAGTATTCTTGCCCCAGAGCCACCTATTTATAGAAATTAAACCCCTATCACGCCCCGGAGGAGCCTGGCTCAGCATCCCTGAGCACCTCAAGCAGCTGTCTCCTGACCCTGGTGGGGCACGAGCAACCCTACCCTGCAGGCACTGGGCCAGGACATTGACCCTAGCAGGCCGGCCAGCATTGGCCAAGTGGAGGCTGTACCACCTGTGCAGCTGCTGCTTTTGCTGACCCTCTCCCAGAAGTGCACCCTGAGCTCTGACTCAGTCCTGTTTGCAGGTGTGGCCCTTGTGCGCACAAGTGATAGGGGAGCCGGACTAGTGTCACCAAGGGGCCAGAGCTTCCGCGTTGGCTACGGAGTGACTGCAAGTGCCATGGGGCTGTGCTTCCCCCCTGCTGGAGGGATGGTCTGGAATCTGAACGCTCCCTGCTCTATCTTAATTCTCCAAAGCTGGACTTTTTCAAAGTTATAAGTCTGCTGGAAAGAAAGAAAGAGAGAGAGAGAGAGAGAGAGAAAAGAAAAGAAAAGAAAAGAAAAGAAAAGAAAAGAAAAGAAAAGAAAAGAAAAAGAAAGAAAGAAAGAAAGAAAGAAAGAAAGAGAAAGAAAGAGAGGAGGGAGGGAGAGAGAGAGGGAGGGAGAGAGGGAGGGAGGGAAGAAAGGAAGGAAAGAAGAAAGAAAGAAAAGAAGGAAAGAAAGAAGTGAAGAAAGAAAGTGCCTGGGCAACATAGTGAGACCCTGTCAAGGAAGGGAAGGGAAGGGGAGGGGAGCGGAGGGGAGGGGAAGAGGGAGGAAAGGGAGTTCCTCCCACTGGGGGTCCTTGTCTGACACCCCACTACTCCCTGGAAGGAGAGGCTGGAGCTGCCTGGGCCCTGGAAGATCCCCTTCCTGCTGTTTAAGAAGCCCCTGAAGTTTGGTGTGTTCAGCGGCCCAACCTCAAGTCGCCTTGCTGCTGGTTCAACCCTGACCTGCTCCACAGTCTGGTGACTGGGATCTTCGGCCCCTCCTTGTAGCCAAACTCACGGCTCTCCACATCCTGTGCTGGAGCCCCACTCTGACTCCCTGCATGCAGGGTGGGTTAGCAGCACAGTTGGGTTTGAAAAGAGGCAGGCCTGGATGTGAGTGTCCCGCTCCACTCCCTGCTAGCTTGTGGCTTCAGGCAGGTTCCTTGATCTTAAGGTCCTGTTCCTCATCTGAGAAATTAGCATCACAACAGAACAAGTCTCAGGAAACCCAGGAGGCACTCAGCTAGAGGCAGGGTAAAGCCCCCAGCATCGTGCCCTGAGGGGGCAGGGGGACCTCTGGGCCACAGCCCGGCTCTGCACAGCACACAGCCCCACTGGCCGTGTGCTCAGTGAGACCCGCCTGCTGGGTGTTCCTGCACTTGCTTTACATCATGGATAACTGTCTTGGAGACAGGGTCTGAAATCTTTACTTGGTCCCTACAGAAAGTGTCTCCCATAGAGTAGATGCTCAGGAAATGGTGTCAGTTGATGAAACAGATGCATTTTGTATAAATCAGGAAAGAAATCACGTGGTTCCAAGCCTGCAGTTTTCTGATCAGCAAACAGCTGCCTGTGCTTCCTGTGGCCCCGGGGGCAGGTGCACCCGCACAGCAAGGAGGCTGAAAAGAGGTGAAAAAACTCCCTTCTGAATTGAAATCACAGACCTGTGACCTGCATGCTCTCCTAAATGGGAAGGGGTGAGGAGCGCTGTGGGAAAGGCTCCTCCTTGGCAAGGAAAGGGATGATTTCTCCGGAGTTCACCGGACTCCCCCTTTCCCCAGCGCCAAGCATCCGGGTGAGTGTTTTGCAATGGGGTCTGTCACCATCAGGAACCGAGGAGAGTTTAGACTCTGCATTTACTACACCAGACCCACAAAGCACCACCTGTGCTCTCAGTCTCAGGAGAAACAGCCTCTTTCACTTTTCAAATCAATCTTCTGTGCATGTATTTACTATAATGTTACAGCACCATTGGTTCCAGCTTTAAATCACGAAGATATGCTCTACTTAACGACTTTAGTTGAAGCAGCACACAGCCACATGGGAAATACCATTTAGAGGCCAATCATCTCTTTCCCAGAAAATCTCTGGGGACAGGGGCAGGGGAGGGAGAGAGGGAGCTGAGAAGCCTTGATGTGCAAGTTCAATTTCTACAGGTGAACACCAGCGGCCTCGGCAATGCTAGGTTGTTAGGAATTCGGCCTTACTTCTTTTCATCTCTGTGGTTTACTAACTGGCTCTCAAAGGCGTATGACTGCGGTGCCCCACTGCACGCACGCAGCAGAGGGCATGACAGGGTTCATTGGAGAAGCTGGCTCCCGCAGGGCTGCTGGGCTGACCTCTTTCAGCTGGAGAAAGCCATAAGCGCTCACTAACCTGCCGTGCTCACCATGAACTTCCACTTGACCACATAGGCATCCCCCTCGTGGAACTGCCCGATGCTTTGTTTGGGGAGCCTGCTATAGTCAAATTCCAGGATGTACCAGACATCCACGGAGACACTGGTGATCTCAAACTGCCTCCTGTGGTGTCCTTCCACCAGGCCACAGCCACAGCCAATGTTCACCCTGTCCAGGATGGCACCTGCTGTCGTCTGGGGCACGGACACCATCCGTGTCACGTTGTTCCGCTTGACATCGGCCCTGGAGTCTTCCTATAGGGGAACATGAAGACATCGGTTCAGTTGCCTGTTTCCGCAGCTATTCCTTGTCACACTCAACGCTGCTTCAGCTGTTCATGGGACAGCATAAAAATACACCTTCCACACTCTGTCTCAGGATGTTTAACTGCAGTCAGGGAAAGGCTGCATTTTCAGAAAGACTCTGGCAGGTCTGAACACCCATTGGCCACACTGGTGCATGGGGTGCCTGAAAACAGGTGCAAACCCGACTCTTCACCTCCCAGAGTCAGATTAGAATTGGAGGCCAGTCTGCTGTTCTATTAGTGAATCCTGGGAAGGCCTCTTAGCTTTAAGGGGTGTGTGTGTGTGTGTGTGTATGTGTGTCCATTTTTTTTAATTAAAAAAGTATTTTAGTTGACACATTATTATGGATATGATTTGATGTGTTGATAAATGCATCTGTTTCATGGGGAAGGGGGTGTGGGAAGGAGACGGGACAGGGAGGATAGGGAGATGTTGGCCAACAGGTACAAAATGACAATCAGAGAGGAGGAATGAGCTCTGGTTTTCTCCTGCACAGTGGGGTGACTGTTTTCCAATACTGTATTGCATATTTCAAAATAGCTAGAAGAGAAGATTTGAATGTTCTCACCACAAAGAAATGATACATCTGGGGTGACAGCCATGCGAACTATCCTGATTTGATCATTTTACATCAAGGCCACTTTTGTTGGGACCCGAACCAAGCCCTGAGGTTTGAGACTTGGTCACTGGAATACCTTGTGCTGGGCAAGTTCCCCGGGGTTCTTCTCATTTGGTCTTTTCAGTTCTGTCCAATCCAGAAACTTTTCTTTGAACAAAATCGTCTCATTGTGTTCAGTAAGTCTCCCAAATATCGCCCAGTCGGGCCGCCCCTGTCCTTTTCTGTAGGGTGGGAAGGGGGTTGGGAGAACAGACAGGAAAAGAACCAAGATGAAGCCAAGCTTAAACAAAGGAATCTAAAACACATGCGGCTGCTGGAAAAAACCTCAAAGTACGTGAGTACATATAAAATAAATGGTTTATTTTCCTGCATTTTACCAAATACTGACATTTTGTTATTTTAGTCTGAAGTCTTGCAAAGCTTTGTGTCCATGGAGTTTTTGATGTGCCTTAATGTGACATGAACCATGTCAGGACTAGACTTTTCTTACATTCTAGCAAGTTTTTTTTGTTTTTGTTTTTTGTTTTTTTTGAGATAAGGTCTTGCTCCGTTGCCCAGGCTGAAGTGCAGTTGCACAATCATAGCTCCCTGCAGCCTCGAACTCCTGGGCTGCAGTGATCCTCCTGCCTCAGCCTTGCAAATAGCTGGAACTGCAGATGTGTGCCACCATGCCTAGCTAATTTTTTAATAGAGACCAGGTCTCGTTATGTTGCCCAGGCTGTCTTGCACTTCTGGCTTCAAGCAATCCTCCCACCTCAGCCTCCCAAAATGCTGGGACTACAGGTGTGGGCCACTGTACCTGGCCACATTCTAGCAAATTCTTGTCTTTGGGATGCCCTGGGAGTGGCACGCTGGGTGGAGATTTCGGCAATAGCAGGAGCTGTGGGCAAACCTCACTTGTCATCTACTCTGTGCCACCCAGTCACCTGCAAATGCTCACCAAGTTTCCTCCAATTAATTAATAGACGTAGGGAAGAGGTAGCTCCCTCCTCAATTCTCTATTATTTTATTTCATGTTACAACAAAGCTCTCCAGAGTACAGAGATTCTCCCATCACTAAAATGAACACACTTTCATAGATCTTGAAGTGCCTTTTTGTGCACTTATTTCTAGGCCACTGACCAAGACGGCAGATGGGGAGAGCACAGAAAGATAGGAGGTCTTGTGCGGGCTTGGGATTTCAGAATTTGTGCTGTCCCCAAGAACACAGGTAATTTAGAAAAAGGTAGAGCTGAGGGCTGGGTGTGGTAGCTTATGCCTGTAATCCCAGCAGTTTGGGAGGCCGAGGCAGGTGAATCACCTGAGGTCAGGAGTTCAAGACCAGCCTGGCCAACATAGTGAAACCCCGTCTCTACTAAAAATACAAAAATTAGCCAGATGTGGTGGCGGGCACCTGTAATCCCAGCTACTCGGGTGGCTAAGGCAGGAGAATCACTTAAACCCAGGAGGTAGAGGTTGCAGTGAGCCAAGATAGCACCATTGCATTCCAGCCTGGGCGACAAGAATGAGACTCTGTCTCAAAAAAATAAGTTAATTAAT
The DNA here is from genome assembly GCF_000001405.40 of Homo sapiens. NCBI lineage: Eukaryota > Metazoa > Chordata > Mammalia > Primates > Hominidae > Homo > Homo sapiens. The sequence continues at coordinate 30,702,203 of NC_000010.11, read as the reverse complement.
TAAAAATTTAAAAAAAGAAAGAAAAAGAAATAAAACAAAAGGTAGAGAAGATATGCGTGCTGCGGAGGGAGTAGCCCTGGAATAATATGCACGATCTTTCATCCCTCCAGACCCATCTTCGGTTGTGAATCTGGCCTGGGATGCAGCCACCTCTTAGAGCAACCCCCGCTGCTGCTTGTGCCCTGCTGTGCTACTGCCTCAGTCACTTCCTGCTTGGTCAAGACCACAGCTGCTGATGTCACAGCTGAGGCACATCAAAAAGGCTGCCTGATTCAAAGAAAGCTGCCGGATAAATCATAGAGCACAGACACTTCTACCTCATGCTCTTATGGGACTTTAGGAACCAAACATAAGCACCTATGGAAAATGCACGGTGGTCTTGAAAGGCTGTGTGGTCTTTATCAGAAAATATCTGAATGACTGTCTCTTATGTCAGTCCTACTCTGCAGGCTTGCTAAGATGATAATTGAAAGGGCTTTTGGTTTCTGCTTTAGAATCTGTCACTTATGTTTTGAAGCGTTGTGAGCAAGCGATGCAGCAGATTGCAGGGTGAGGGGGATGAACCTGGGCCAGAAGCCAGATGTGTTTCTCCACGCACTGCCCTGACCTACAGCCGGAACTGGGCTCAGTGGTTTCAGCCTCATTTGCTAAGAAGGGCTGGGTGCGTAATCTTGGCTGCACCTTAAAATCCCTGGGAGCTTTTAAGACATATTGACACATAAACTGTAACTCACATGAAACGAAAACACATCTCTGGGGCTGGGCTGAGCAAATGCCTTTTTTTTAAAGGCCCCTCAGGTGATTCTGTCTCAGAGATGTTGAAAACCAGTGGGTTAGGAGCTCAGTCATCTACTTTCAGATCTGTGATTATGCCACTATTAAATACAGTTGGCTATCACATAGATTTTTATGCTTTAGCTTGTTTTTTTTTCTCTGCTATACCAAATAAAATCTTTTGAGCTGTTGTAGTTCCAGTCCTTAAAACAACAGTTGTTACCATACTGAGGTTAAACATTAGTGCATTTGCTTAACAAGGACATTAAAACTTCTTACCACACTGACATAATTTTAATGATTTCTATAATAATTAATAAGAAAATCAATAATTGGATTTTAAAGCAGGAAACTAGGCAGGAAAGTTGAAATTCATATACCAGTTCAATGGAAAACATTAAAATGTAGTTGTGTGATGCCCAATATTCTATGCTGTTTGTTGGTTCATTGGTTTCTCATCTATTGTAACAGCACCCATAGTTAAAAAGCACTACTTTTTTTGGTCTGATAGTTAAAAAGACAACAACAATCCTTTGCATGTAAGAATTTTTTTCTCATAATCACAATTTTAGAGTTTGCACATATTCTATTCAATTTCAAAAATAACTTTAAAGAGTCTAGTACCTGCAGGGAATATTACAATTGCAATCATTGTTTTAATACCATCTCCTCTCCCTCTTCCCTTCCCAAAAGGTATAAAGACATAAACATCATCTGCTGCCAAATAAATCCTGGAATTCGAGGGCGATGCTGGGAAGGTATGAAATTAGAGGGAGGCATGTTGCTTTTGCACTTTCAGATCAATGGCTGAATTCCAGACCCGGGGAAGCCTTTCAGATCCGCATGTAATTTGTTTAAACAATTGCTGTTCATCTGCCACAGCAGCACTTGGAATGCCGCAGGGAGGAACTTGCAGCATTTCTTGCTCACTTCAAGAAATCAACTATAACAAACCTCTTCTGGAAGACGACAGCATCCATATTTCTATAATAGTTAGATAAAAGTTAAAGAACTGTTCCTTTTGTGAATATTCACAGTCCACTGCATATAATCGTTTATGAAAACTGAACCCTATAAAGAGCGAGAGTAGAGGACTGTGGTGAGAACAGAGGGATCGAAGGGAATCAGCTCGCTCAGGGAGCCGTCCCAAGGTGGGGGCAGTAGTACCTGCGGATAAGCGGATTGCATTCTCCAGGATCCAGGGGATTAATGTCACAGTTCTCATAGTCAAAGGTTCCATTCCATAAGTGCTTTGCCAGCTGAAATTCTATTTTTCGTTGTGCTAACGTGACTTCTTTCCCATGCCATACGTAAACTTCACTACCAAAATCAAACACCAGTACCTGGGAGAAATGGCACAAAAGAATTTGTTAACTTCAAGAACATGCAACAGTTGAATCAGGTGCAACAGGGTCTCTGTTGACAGTGAGTCAAACGGAGGAAGACAGAAATCCTAATGGGGTGACCAGCACAGACACAAAAAGGCCAGGAGATCTCAGCTGGCACTGCCCCACCGAGCCAGCCTCTGCCCTGTGGGCACGATTCCTCCTCCCAGTGTCCTAAGTGGCCAGGATAATGTTCCCTCCTCTGAACTCTCAACCTGCTTACAACTTGCGATTCACAAGAGTTCTTTAGGTACATCTTCCTGTCGACTTCCTGCCTCTCTCCCCTATTCCTCCCCCTCTCATGTGCTCGTTCATTCACTTAATATATACACAGAGGCCACTTCATATACCCCAGGCACTCATGGTCCAATGGTGTCTTCTCTCCAGTACACAATTCCAAGATCCTTAAGGGCAGGGATCAGATCATGGTGATACATACAGGAGGGGTTGATTACTAAGTGTTTGCTGAATGAATACATGAATGTAATGCTATTTCTTACGTTCATAGTTTGTTTTATTCTTTCTCTTAGAATGATTTCTCCCTTCACTTCCAGCAATTCAAATTTTGCTTAACTCTAAACTTGGCTCAATTTCACTTTCTATTGAAAATTATTCCTGATGATTCCTGTATTTATTTTTCTGTGACGTTTCCCCCATGTAAAAGACCATACATATCACACAGTCAACCTTGCTCCAGATTACATTCCTTCTAATACTCTTCCGCCCAATTAAACTTAAGGGCCTTGCGTGTCTTCCACTTTCTTAATACTTAGCATACTTAACGGTACTGGAAAAGTATATAATTAATAAATATTTACTGGCATGACAGGACAAAAACAGCACATTAATTGGCAAATCCATAAATTATATATATGTATATGCATCTATTATTCCTCAAACTTAAGGACTGAAAAATATTCCATTAATATTTATACAAAATGCAACAGATAGGACTAAGTAACATTTACATTTTGCCTATGATGCTGTCAATGATCCATGCCACCTCTGAACAATATTCTGGATTTCATATTAGCATTTAAGATGTCAGTAAAGGGGTGAAATAACAAATACCCTGGCTGGGCACAGTGGCTCATGCCTGTAATCCCAGCACTTTGAAAGGCTGAGGCGGCTGGATCACGAGGTCAGGAGATCGAGACCATCCTGGCCAACATAGTGAAACCCTGTCTCTACCAAAAATACAAAAATTAGCCAGGCATGGTGGCATGTGCCTGTAGTCCCAACTATTCAGGAGGCTGAGGCAGGAGAATTGCTTGAAGTCGGGAGGTGGAGGTTGCAGTGAGCCGAAATCTTGCCACTGCACTCCAGCCTGGCAACAGAACAAGACTCTGTCTCGGAAAAAAAAAAAAAAAGAAAGAAGGAAAATCCTTTTAAAAAGCTGTAAATGTTCTACAATGGATACTGACACTGGCTAACCTTTATTGGGAACTTACTCTCTAATCTATTGGGCAGCCTGTGCTGAGTGCTTTCAATGTGCTTTCTCATTGAAGGGCAGAGGCCACAGGCTGTACCTCTTTGGGTTGCAGAAGAGAGCACTTTGGAATTTTCCCCCAGTAGTCGTCATCAGGAACAAGTTTGTCATCCATGAGACAGTAAATGCAGTTAGTTTCTATTATGGCTGCTTCATAGAGTTCATCTTCTTTTGGGTCTCCAGCAGCTTGGGGATAAGAACAACAGGAGAGCATCACATTTTACATTGCAAAGTAGCTGGTTTAGAAGAATGAGCTAAGGGAGAAGAAAGGAGATTCAAGTCTTGTCAGTCTCTGAAGTACAATGAAGTCTGACATTGGTAACTGGTTTGGCCACCCAGAAGCTTGCAGAAGTCTTTGGCTGCAAGAGTGTGTATATTAATTCCTTCTTCAATGATTTAGATATAAGTAGCTCTACAATCAAGCTGCAAGTTCTGAGGCCTAAAAAAGAAACGAACACAATTACCTGGGTAGAAAAGCCCTTGGCTAGACAGAGTGGCACATGTCAAAACCAGAGGGAGAAACAGTGTGCCTGCAAGGAAAGCCTTGTGACCACGGGTGTGGGTGGATGCTGGTTACTGGGTATTTTAAATGACCTCAAGAAAATGTAACTGAACGACCAGGGAGTATCAATTCTTTAGAGCAATAGTTCTCCATCTTCAATAGGTCACATATGATGCTTTTAAAAAGCACTATTCTTTGGGCTTTACCCCATGACAGTGTCATTCAATAGGTCTATGGCAGAACTTCAGAACTACCTGGGATAAAGGACTTTAAAGTGGGGCCGCTTCATTTTTTACACAGGAGTAGGAAGGAACCCAGGACCTAAACACTGGGGTGTAGGTCATAGTCCTAAAACATCCCATTTAAACATGTAATGAAAGCTTGTTTGAGAGACATTCAGGAAAAGAAATCCTACCTATCCCTTCTCACTTGAATGCAACACCTGGCTTTTGAGAAGCTTTGTGACTGACGCCAGGAAGAACACTCCACCGGTGTGTAAAGGAGATGTTAGCTAAAGCGTTTTTATTTTTCAGGTACCAACCTTCGCCTTTTCTATGGCGTTTGCGAACTCTCCTACCCACAGGAAGCAGCAGTGGGGAGAGAGCAGGAGGAAGCAGTCCCCACTATTGAGCGCCGAAGCTCGAGGTTCCACCAGCCTGGTCTGCACGTGTCTTCTTCCTGAACACGAGGCAGACACTCACCGTCTTTCCAGACAGAACGGGGATAGGACGCACCCCATATCGGAAGCATCCCTGCTGCGGACGCTTTCACTTCTAGAGTCTTGTCTGCTAATAAGAGTGCCCATGGCCCAGGGTGGCAGCAGGGGGATTTAGAAAGGGCATGATGATGGCACTAGCGGCTGCTTTCCTGGTTTGTGCTTTCCCAAATGTCACCCACTTATCAGGACCATTATCAGTGTCATGTGCGTGGGTTAATGAAGGCTCCCTCTTCCAGGGAGATGAGCACACAGGCTCCTTTTCCCTCCTTCACTCTTCTCCCGGGGCCTTTCTCTCCCCTGGCCACCTCCTGCACCCAATTACATCTGTGGCCCAGGCAAGGGAAGCCATGCCTTCAGGAAGGGTCCGATCTTCCCCTGGGGAGTTTCCACTATGAACCCTAGGGGCCTCTCAACAGGAAGGATGGAGGCGCCACCTTCTGTGGCTTTCAACACCTTTTCCTAAATATTTGTTGATTTTGAGCTTTCCACAATTACACTGATCATGTAGTCTCTGGGTTAGGACTCAGGACAGAGATTGGTTATGTGAGCTTCTCACTAGTCTTTTTAAATACACACAATAGGATAGTGGTTACACAGAAACATGTGGGAAACCCTCCTGGAGGGAGAGGATATTTCCTTCATTCTCATCTCAAGGATTCATCTATACAGTGGCCACCAGGAGGCAGCCGAGTCTCCTCCTCATGGCCCAGAGACCCCTGGTTTGTCTTTGGAATCTCCCTTGCTACGGACAGGAAGGGCACTGGAGCGGAATGCAGGTGGGCTTCATCTTCATCGACCTTCCCTTGATTCCTTCTCCAAGCTGTGTCTTCCTCCCCAGTTCTGTACTGACTCAGGCAGAACTGGGCAGGGAGCAGAGAGCCCCTCTGATGACGTAGGGCACCTCTCGTAACTGCATGGATGTGTGGCTGCCTCGTGGGGCATGGGGCGCCAGGAGTAAAAGCTGGGATTCTGGAGTGGGGGGACCTGGGTTCGAATCCAGCTCTGCCACCCAGTAGCTGCTGGGACCCCAGACACATTCCTGCCTCTGGAAGCCCTGGTGGGCAGAATACTTCCTATGTCATGGGATTTGGGGAAGCTTAAGAGACAGGAGGTTGCATAGCAAGGAACACACAGTAGGTTCTCAAAAAACGTGCGTTCCCTTCCTGGCACATAGGATGAATTACACAGTCAGGACTCCTTACGTGACCAGACAGAAACCACGGGCCCTGAGTCACCGTGCCAGGCTGCTCTGAAATACCTTTAATCTGCAACAGCATCAGCCTCTTGAAGGGCACGGCGCTGTTGTTAGAGTTCTGTTCCGTCAGGTTGACGCTCCGCAGGCTGACGTTGCTGAAGTTTTCTTTACTGGCTAAACCCGCCAGGGTGACTTCTGAGAAGCTGGAGTTGGAAGATACTGGGCGGGTTGAATAAGGAAACACAATGCAGGAGGTTCAGTTACAGTGACAATATTTACAGTCAGAAATTATTCAGAACTGACTCAACACCTTTGTCTTTTCAAGTTAATCCCGAGAGGGAAAACATACTCAAGTTTGATTAAATGTGCAATTCAATACTTAACCACCGCGTTAAGAATTAAATACAGCATTGAAAATATAAACTGCTTGTTGACAAGTGTCACACCGCGCTGTGCAGAGGGACAAGAACTGAGTGATGATGTGGACCAGCTACTTTAGCAGAAAACCAGGAGCTGGATTCACTTGTTGCAATTCCACTGAAAGCTGTTCTAAATCCTAACAACTTTTACATGCCCAAATGTATAGATGCCAGATGACTGTTAGACAGCTTTCACCAAAAGCCTTTATATGTTTAAAAAAAAAAAAGTAGACACTCTGTAAGGGATTATTAGGTTCTAATCTTTTGCTGAAGCAAAGTGATCAACTAGACATTATCTTGAGGTCTCTTGCTCTCAGAGTTGAGATTGTAATTATAAGATGCCAAGTTTTCAGTGCAAACACCTATGGGTCGGTCAGTTATCACTAATCCAACCCCTGAGCCCCCCAAGAGTGGAAGCACAGGAAACACATGTAAGATTTGTGCTAACAAACCTTTATTTCTCCAACTTATTGTTTTTAAAAATGTATATGCTTGAGAGAAATTCAGAACATTTTTCACTGGCATTATGTTTGGAGAAATATGACAATACTTGTCAATTAATTGTGGTGTCGTGATTTTGAAATATGCCGTTTTTTTTGAGAAAGGGTCTGACTCTGTCACCCAGCCTGCAGTGCTGTGATTACAGCTCACTGCAGCCTTGACTTCCCAGGCTTAAGTGATCCTCCTGCCTCTGCCTCCTGATGTGCTGGAATTACAGGTGTGAGCCACCACACTCAGCCTGAAATATACCTTCTTAGTAAACTAGTTATAATGAAAAGACTCAACCACTTCATCTAAATACTATATTTCTAAGAAAAACATTACGAAATAGGTTTATGAGTGTTATGGGAAAATGAAAATTATAGCAAGATTATTCCAAAAATCAAGATTATGCATGCTATCACCTCAAACCAAGAAAAGCACTGTTTCAGAATGATGGAACCCCACATTATTGGGCAGATAAGAGCAGTGTGGCTCAGCCTACAATGAGACTGAGAGTCTGGAGCCTATCTCCTCGCCTCCATTCATTGCCCCCAGCCAGCTCCCTCCAGCCAACATCCCAACTCCAAGAACAGGGTCTTACCAAGAACAATTTGAAAAGCACTGGTGTATGTGTTGATTAATAATATAAAAATCTAGGATTACAGGCTGGGCGTGGTGGCTCACGCCTGTAATCTCAGCACTTTGGGAGCCCAAGGCTGGTGGATCACAAGGTCAAGAGATCGAGACCATCCTGGCCAACATGGTGAAACACCATTTCTACTAAAAATACAAAAATTAGCTGGGCATGGTGGCCTGCGCCTGTAGTCCCAGCTACTAGGGAGGCTGAGGCAGGCGAATTGCTTGAACCTGGGAGGCGGAGGTTGCAGAGAGCCCAGATCGCGCCACTGCACTCCAGCCTGGGCCAACAGAGCAAGACTCTGTCTCAAACAACAACAACAACAACAACAACAACAACAACAACAACAAAATCTAGGATTAGAAATTCCAGTGATTTGAGCTGTTTTACTATAAGAGATCAAATGACTTGCTTTTGAATAAGATTAAATGAAGAATGATTGTGTGTTCAGGATCTACAGATCTGAAAATGGCCAAATTACCATACTCAGAAATATCCATCTCTTCTAACTTCCAGAAAGAAAACTCAACAAAACAGGATAATTCGTAACCAGGCACGGTGGCTCGGGCCTGTAATCCCAGCACGTCGGGAGATCAAGGTGGGAGGATTGTTTGAGGCCAGAGAGTTTGAGATGAGCCTGGGCAACATGATGAGACCCCAGTCTTTAAAAAAAAAAATAAAACAAAAGCCAAACCCCAGGACAATCTGAATTAACCAGTTGAACAGGTGATACACACTTTGAGAATTTCCATGAAAAATATTTAAAGTCTAGGTAAGCGTGCACACGTATGTGCAAACTTACTCCTTTTTACTTCATGAGGGCCTTCTGAGCACCATTATTGGCCTTCACAAGGCAGAAAACCAAGCAATGAGTAAAGCATCGGAAGAAGCCATTCCCAAACACAGAAGCAGGGTGGGGGTTCAAATACTCTCTCTTTTCTACTTTTATCCGCTTTGACTCCATGAAGGCAACGTTTAATCTCTGCTCAGTGTATTCCTGAAGGAGATCTTCTCTTGCCGCCAGCATTTTCAGGGGGTTTTTGGAGGCCTGAACCTGGCGCTTGGGCCTAACTGCCCACTTGTGCTCGGCCACGGAAGACGTCAATCTGCGGATGGAAGCAGAGCCGCGGTCCCGGTCTGTGACACCACCACCCCTGGATGACCTGGGGGTCTTGGACTCCACAAAGTATTTCCTGATTTTGTTACAAATCTTGCAACTCCTCCTCCCACCGCCACTCCCCTCACATGGAGTCATAGATTCTTGGAGATGGAAGAGGGATGCAAGCCCACTGAGTTCAAATCTCAGCCACGCCCAGACGCCCCCACTCACTCCTGCCCCTTGGTCTCCTCCTGGGAGGGTGTGGAGTACTTCCGGGCAGCTCACGGCTCTGCTAGACAGCTCTAGGGTTTAGGGAGCTCTTCCCTCTCCTTACCGCGCCCATGCACACGTCCTAATTCTCACTTTGGAATCATACACCCATGTCTACTTCTCTGTCTCTGGCAAGCCCTTCGGGAATTTGCAGACCATGGCTCCTTGATGTAATCCTTTTCACTTAGACTAAACTTTCTCCCTATGCAATAGCTTTCGGTCCCCTTACTGACCCTCCATGACTAGCTTCCACTCAACTCACTGCCCCCTCTGAAAAATAACCACTTTTTGGAAGAATATATTGAAATAAAATAGGCCCGCAATCATCTGTGACCACCCCACATTCTCACAACTCTTTGGGGTGGAAAATCAGACTAGGGTCGGTGAGCAGACCGAGCGAAGCGATCTCCCAATAGACTCCTGCTGCCACTCTCCACCTCCAGCTGCACGGCCTTCTGTTCCCAAAAGGCCTCTTTACGTACCATGGTGTCATATGTGTGTGTCAATATACATATATGTTTAAATGATGATATACAACTCTTTAAACAGTGACATTGGGTGGGCGGAAGATTGCGAAGTGGTTAAATAGCTATGTATGCAAATACCCAAAATACTATTTTGAGGTGGAAAATGGCAAAGGGTTCATTTTTTAAGATAGGAAATGAAAATATGCAAATTGAAACAAATTGAACAAACTGAAACATGCAAAAAATATCTCAAGAGCAGTTTACAGAAAAACATATGATAAGGGAAGAGACTGTCACTCTGACAATTTCGCAGTTAAGACCAGATGGATGTGGTGGATTGCCGTGGATGGAGCCTGTCTAGCGTGTCTCCCTCTGCTTCTGGTAATAGCATCTGGATTTTCCTTCGGGGAAACCACCTCCCTGCGTCCCCACCGTGGCTCTAGAGGAGACCCAGACACCCGCCTTTACCCAGTCAGCATCTTCTATCCCATTGGCCACAGTGACTGGTTTGGGGATGGACACGGGCTCAATTTGAAGCCAAGAAAATCAAACCTGGAACTTCTGCTGGGACTACTGGGAAGAGAAGCTACCCGTGCTGGGCTGGCCAGGGAGGCAGCCTTGTGACTCCAGAGGTGGGGTGTCCATCTGCCGCCAGGCCACTGCCTAACGGAGAGTGAGGCCAAGGAAAACAGCCAAGACAGACTGTGTTCTGAGGGGCTTTTAGAACCCGAGGCCACTTCCGTACTTTTCAGCGAGTGAGCTAGTAAACCCCGCCTCACTTTTCAGCGAATGAGCCGGAAACCTGCCCCCCAGCACTTTCCAGCGAATGAGCCCGGAAACCTGCCCCCGCACTGTTCGGCAAGTGAGCCAGTAAACCCCTCTCATTTTTCTTTTTGGCTGAAGTCGGTTTGAACTGGGATGGTTTTCTGGCACTTGAAATTGACGGGATCCTAATACCATTATCGCTTTTCCTAGTTGGTTTAGTCATGATCCCGTGGGAAGAGAAACCCTTAGTCATCACTGAGAAAACCCGCAGATCTATTGATTTTGTAAATGATTGGAAGCTAAGTAACATGCCTTACTGATTTTCTAGTGAGCTGTACTAATTTGAGCCCATCTCATCCAAATATTTTGCAAAGTTATGAGTAAGAAATATGTCAAATGAAAGACAGGTGTTGAACTCTCTGCTAAGTGATATAAACATAAAAACTGCAAAACGGTATTCAAATTATGTGAAAAATTCATTGACTCTTTATGGCACAGGACAAGCATCTGTGGCCCACGCGGTCTGCCTGCATGCACATCTGGTCTGCCGTCTGCATGTTTTATCTGCTGCGAGGCTCCGTGCCCCTGGCTCCTGCAACACGGTGCCCTGGCTCTAGAATACTAACGCGGCTGTGATGGAGTTAGAAAGAGAAGGAGGCCACACTGGGGGAAGAGCCTCATGGATGTGCCCTCTGCAGGCGAAGGAAGCCCTTCTCAGTGGAGGAAAGACGGAGACCCAAATAACTCACTTGGGTGCATAAGGATCGAAAATGACATCGAAGTCCTCGTCCAGCTCCACAGGACTTCTCAGCATATTACAATCCACGTTGCGGTAAAATTGGGCAAAGGTTTCGTCATCATCCGGCTTCATCAGCTCCTTCACAGATTTGCCGGTGACAGTGAGCACCGTTTCGTGCATCCCGCCAACTATCAACAAACAAGCAAATGACGTAAGAGTTTTATAAAAACAAGGACTCCAATTATGCTTCACCAATAGTTTAAAAATTCTATTTCCTCCTAAGTTCCAGGAGTGGAAGAAATACGGTTGTGATATACAAGGTCCTGCGGTTGCTTCCCACCTGAACAAATCTGCAGTAAAACGGGAGAGAGGGAGGCTGACCTTACTGCACACAGGAGCCCACTGAACGCTTCTGAACCTGCACTTGCTTCTGTTGAGGGTAGATGAACCAGCCTCAGCCTCATTCTACATGAAGGGCTGGCAAACTTCTTCGGAAAAGGGCCAGCCAGTAAACATTTTAGGCTTTGCATGGGGAGGGGTGACATGGGGCCCGTGTTACAACAACTCCGTTCTGCTGTTGTAATGCAAAAGCTATTGACAATAGTTCACAAATAGGCATGGATGTGTTTCAGTAAAACTTTATTTACAAAAACAGAGCTGGGCATGGTGGCTCACGCTTATAATCTCACCACTTTGGGAGGCTGAGGCTGGAGGATCGCTTGAGCCCAGGAATTCAAGACCAGCCTAAGCAACATAGTGGGACCCCATCTCTCCAAAAACAGAAAAAGAAAAAAAATTAGCCAGGCTTAGGGGTGAACACCCATAGTTGGAGCTACTCAGGAGGCTGAGGTGGGAGGATTGCTTGAGCCCAGGAGTTCAAGGCTGCAGTGAGCTATGATGGCACCACTGCAGTCTAGCCTGGGTGACAGAGCAAGACACTGTCTCTAAAAAACAAACAACAACAAAAAACCAAAGCAGGTGGGCAGCTGGATTTGGCAGTGGCCATCGCTTGCTAACCCACAGGCTAGATCACTGTTCCACATTTGTAATAAATGCTTTGCTGATTGGCATTCCCTGCTTAGCTAGTTTAGTGATTATATTATACTTTTATATTTCTGTTCAGTGGTGGTTGTATTATTTTTAACCTTTTAGTGGTCACTGTCAATAGTAGGGGCTCCCAGTGCCTAGTATTTGATAAGTTTCCCGGATTGGACATTTTAATCAAGAGATAAAAGGCAATTTCTGCATATTGCTCTTTTATTTTGCATATTTCTTTGACTTGTATATTGAAATATTTAGTTCAACATTCATTTGCCATAATTTTACTTTAGAAATCGTTTGTGATTATAAGAAATAATGTCAGCTTTTACCTTATTGGAAACTGATAACATACAATTTAAAGTTCACCAGGCCCAAGATCATGTTGATTTGCTGATGTATAATAATCTGCTTTCAGAGTTATAAGCAAAATCACTTAGTTCACAATTCCAATTGGATGGCATCCCAAGGGCTTAGATTCAAGAACAAATGTGATATTGGGAGTCCCCAATTTAGTATGTTATCAAATGAATTAGGGCTTGATAGTCTAATCGGTCTTGACCAAAACTTCATTTTTTGAAGATAACAACAAAGGCGGTGATTACAGTATGAATTAGGAAAGCCATAATAGAAAGAAAACAATTTAGCTGAGGAAGAAAAGCAATCAGAATTAGGATTTAGAGATTCTGAGAGCAAAGCCTTCTGGCTTCCGGTAGGTATGTTTTTGTTATTCAGTCTTCTTAGAAAGGTTTCCAGCCTGTCCAGCTTCAGGTCCCATTCTAACTGCGTATCTGGTCTGGCTTCGATATCTAGGCAAGCAGAAACCGTCAGTGAGACAGCATCACTAAGGCCTCTTCTGATCAGGCTTGGCGTGGCCGAGGCCTTGGCGACTTACCTTCCAGGGGTTTGGAAACGGGTGTGGTGCCTCTTGTTTTACCGCAAATGGCTGAGGCTACTGGGGTTATGGCAGTAGGTGACGCCAAACCTGTGGAACACACAGACGAGCTACTGAGCATCTCAGGGTCACTTCTGGAAATCTCCGGGACCCTGACCGATCTCCAGGAGTCCCAGGGTAGACGGCACAACATATAAGAATTTACACACATGCAGGCACACACACACACATTTCACACGTACCACGACTGTGGGACAACCAACTGCAGATGTAGACAGGATTTTATTATTTCCAAGGACTGTAGTGGCTGACGAGCTGATAATCCAAAATGAACGGTGGAGATGTGGGAAAACATGTCCATGACACGTAGACTTGAGCAAATGCAGCTGTGAGTTCTGAGGCCCTTTGGAGATGGTGGGGGCAGCTGAGAGTGCATTGGTGCCATCTGCAGAATGAACTGTGTCACACTTGCCAGCAAGTGGCCCCCCACACTGGAGCTCTCCTCCAGGCTGAGGGGAGGGAGGGACAGTGGCCTTGGGGACATGACACAGACAGTAACCCAAGGAGGGTCAACCTTTCAGAAGAAACCACAGAGCAGGGCAGGTCTGTACCGACTACAAGTTTTGGAAGGTCCAGTCCATCTCCCGTGTGGGCAGAAACAGGAAATGCTTTTCCTCGTATATTTACCGAGAAGCAGGGTGGGGAATCTTTAAAAGGGAAAGTGGTGAGAGACACATGAAAGGGAAAGGGAGGAATTCCTGCATGGAGAAAGTATCCAGCTAGAAGAAGAAAACTTAGTAAAGAGAAGGATGAGTATTGCTTCCCTAACCTAAGTGGAAGGCATTGGAAAGAAAACTAATTAGTGCATTTACAAAAAACCAAAATGAGATGTGAATGTTCTCTGTACTCATTTGTAATAAATGTGAAATCCTTAGATGACATTGCCACTTAGATGACAATGCAACCCTGGACGAACAACATCGACAGGATATGCAAATCACTATCACAAGGAAAACCAAATGAATGAATGATTCTGCCCCTTCCTCCTGTGAACGGGAGAAGTATTATAGCATAAAAAATTTAATAAAAATACAATTAAATGGTTTAAAACTCAAGTTTTAGGTAATATCCTAGAAGTACTTCTCATTTTATATATGTTTGATTGATGATGTCATTAAAAGTTTTAAAAGTTGTTTCAATTGCCAGAACTGCAAAGGGTTTATATCCATGAGAAATTAAACTTTCTTGAAAGATTTAAAGATAAATAAAATCTGGTATCACAGGGTGGGGAGGGAAATCATCATTCACTAGAAGGATGCTTAAGAGACATCAGAGGAGTTCATTAGCAAAGAGGCCGTTAACTCCGCAGCTAATAAACAGGACTGGCTCTGAAGGCTGGTTTCCAAAGCAACCGGAGAAATCCATCCCTATCTTGGCCGGTGCCGGGCAAATCCGCTGCCATGGCTCCCCCTGCTGGCGGTTCAGGCAGTGGCACTATCCAAAAGAGCTCTTCTCCCAGCTAGAGATAAGGATCTTTAGGCAATGAATGGCTCAGGGCATGGAGATGCAGATTACAAAATGTTAAGACAAAACAAAGATCCCACCATAGCTCTTTTCAATGAATTCTAGGTACAGCAACCAGTCACCTACTGTCTTCGGGAACATTTTCACGTCTCTCTTACTCCAGGTGTGGTTGGAGTACTTGGCTTCCAGGAGAATCCTAGAATACCACGAGAACCTTGTGGAGTGCTAACCGTTACACAGAATCAAGGAATATAAAAAAGGGAGAAAGTCCTAACGTGGCTAGCGGGAGAAGAGAGGTTTCTGGGGTAAGAGAATGAAGGTCAGGTCCCAGATGCCTCCTGGCAACGCGCTGAGAGGTGGTCACTCCTGGTGGCCTGATGTTTCTGGGAGATAGGACCCCAGGCTGTTGTGCAGGGGGTTATTTTATTCTGCAGTGAATGTTAATCGGTTACCATATCACTGCAAATCAAAAAGTGCTAATGACTCAAGTGAAACATATAACCCAGGAGGTGATGGCAAATATTAGAAACAGAAGAGACAGTTTTTTCATTAATTATAAAGTATAAGAAGATAATTTCCTCAGTGAGCCATATAACACCTGTTAAATAAAGATCTCTGATATATTCAGGAAAATATGAAAGCGAACTCATCCACCGAGAAATGGGAACTGTTGCTTCCACAAACCTGAATAAGAGCAAATCTATATCCTCTGATGTCAATGTGGACAAGGGCAGTGGCATTTGGTAGTAAGAACCCACTTACAAATAAATTCAGATTTTTAAGATGGAAGAGGAAAAAAGAAACCAAAGCAGAAAGTCATCAAGATGAAAGTCTGGGCTAGAAGTTGGAAAACCTGAGGTCTGGTTCAGGTTCTCAGTTCCAGTTCTACTTAGTCACCCTGCACCTAACGACGTGCTTCTGTTAAAGAAGGGTTGGGGCTCACGTTAAAGGAGTTTAAACATGAGTGTCCAGTTCTGTGATCTGATGCAGAAAATTGGCAAATAATTTACTGTAAGAGTAAATTATCTTCTCTCATCTTTTCACAATTCCAAGATGAGGCTGAAGAGATGTATTGGAAGGGATTCCCCACTAAGATTTGAGTTATTTACAATTCAGGGATTTCCCCTCCTTTCCTTCTGCAAACATTTATTATGTACCTATAATGAATTAGGTACTATTCATGAAAGCATGGACCCCTAAAGGTTCTGAGAAAAAGGAAAGCTAAGCCTATAAAGTTGATGACAAGATGTTAAGACAAAGTGAATGTGAAAATGTTTACCACTAAGTTGGGAAATCTGCTTTTAAATAATAGCTTAGAAAATGATGGTATGTGCATATAGGTGACAAAGGGACCCCAAATTTTAACGATTTCCTGCAGGACATGAAACAAAGCCCCAAACACTCCTATGAAGACTTAAAGCTCTCAGATGACTTTACTAAGTATTTCATATGTAAGTCAATTTCATAAATGTTTGAATACAGACAACAAATCAGTTCCAAGAGCTCAGCAGCAAAGAATGGACTGCCCCAGAGACATCCCACTGCCTTGGAACTGAGGACATATTTTAGACATCTATTAAAGCATATCCAGGATTGACTTTGGTCAGTCAGAGAAATCAGGTTTGATGGAGAAGGACCCAGGAATTAATATAAAAGGAAGAGGAGACAAACTTCTCTATTGTGAAAGGCTGACTTGGGGTAAGTGGTTGCCAGGTCACAAGAAAATGGAAACGATTTAAAAGTAATTATGGGAAAGGACCAAGATTTGCTAGCAGACCTGAATTGCTTTTGAAACCTACAATTGCATTCAATTCTAAAGGGGTAAGTTTTGAAATAGTGACAAATTAAATTATGCATTTGAAGATGACACTATTTATGACAAAAAGATATTCAGTAGGACTATCTCACAGAACCTACCCAAAAAACATGTACAGAATGTCAGTAAGTTTAAAACTTTTTAAAGAAAGCTGGACAGGGTGTCTCACGCCTGTAGTCCTAGCTACTTGGGAGACTGAGGCGGAAGGATCACTTAAGCCCAGGAGTTTGAGACCAGCCTGGGAAACACAGTGACACCCCATTTCTACATAAAAGTTTTAAAAAGCCAGGCATGGTGTTGCACACCTGTAGTCCCAGCAACTAGAGAAGCTGAGGTGGGAAGATTGCTTCAGCCCATGAGTTTGGGGCTGCAGTGAGCCATGACTGAGCCACTGCACTCCAGCCTAGGCAACAGGGCAAGACCTTGTATCTTAAAAAAAAAAAAAAAATTAAAGAGACCATGGTTTCTTCTTTTAAATTGAGCTATCGTGTACCACCATGCCCTCCATGGGTGAGTGTGCTCACATGTGTGCATTGTGCACACACCACACACATACACAGGCACACACACACAACTGACCTTTCTTCACCATCCTGCCAGCCACAGTGAACTGGGTCGAGTCGTTGGCCGCTCCTCTGCCTCTCGTCTTCCAGGCCTCCTCTCTCACAGTGATGAGCTGCTTCCTCTCCTCAATCATCATTTGGCTCTCTCGACTTTCTGTGACCCGCTGTTCATAAATGTACAGAAGAGAAAACAGGAGAGAGAAATGACAGCGGTGTGGATCTCAGCCTGCAGCATTTCATGCGTGAAAAAAGCAGGTAGACAAAGAGGAGTAAGTATATTGTCCAAAGATGTTCAAAAATGTTCTATCTGAAATGGGCTCAGCTTCCTTACGTGCAGGTTGGGTGGGAGATCACCATTGGCGATGCTGTAACTTTAGATGAACGCCTCTGTCCTGTGACTTACCGGTTTGGGGCACTGGAGCACCAGAACAATTCTTTGTAAACACAAACAATTAAAAATAGATTGTTTTCATGCCCTGGACTCTACAGGGTTTTAAAGTTTCTCTGTCTTAACCCATCTAGTTAAACTCAGTTAACTGGGAGATTTTTATCCCTATATACTCACAAAGAACATGATTGATCTAGAAAACTTTATCCATGTGAGCACACGAGGAACTTGCCCAGTTAGAGACAGGGAAGGCTGGTTAGGAATAAGGGGCAGGAGGTTTTCTGGCACTCTGCTTGGTTTTTCCTGCAGCCACTGATGTTCTGCGGGCAGGTAGACAACCAGGAGAGCCCACAGAAGTGGCTTTAAACTGTGAGACATCTGATGTTGAGGGTGAACTATGCTGTAGAAAAAACCTACATGCACGGTAACATTTCTACGTAAAATGCTCTCAGCAGTTTCTAATTGGAAAATTTCTGGAGAGATCTGCTTCTTCCATTTCCAAGCCATTGGTGATGCTCATTAAGCTTGTGGTTGGGGATGTGGCAGGAGGGGAAGGGGAAGAAGCTACAGGGGACTCAAAGGGTATCAGGAAAGGAGGAGGGGCTCAGGACAGGCCTAGGATGAGGAGATGGGACTGAGGAGGGAGGGAGAGGAGCAGCGATGGAGGCAGAGGACAGGACTCACGCCACTGAGTGATGTGTATTGGGGAGAAGAGTGTAGTTGGCGGTCGCGGGCAATACCAGGGCAGGAGATCCTCAAACGCTGGCCGGCAGAGTTTGCTTTTCCTCTGTCTTCAAGCCATCCCTCCCTGCACCACAAGACCCCTGTCTATGGCGAGGCACTGGGCTGGGTGGGGAGCGGGGGAGAAGCACAGGAGGTGTGGAGCTAATGCCAAGGAAGGAAGAGTGCAAAGGTGACCCCTCCAGAGCAGAAGGCATGTCCCTGGCCGTCACCTGCAGGTCTCCTCTGGAAGGGGGTCTGGGGGCCGGCGATAGCCTCCTAACTTTGGCCTCTCGCTTTCCCCTGTCTTTTGGATCTGAGGAAGGCCATTGCTGCTAGTGCATCTGCTTTCAAACTACATCTGAGCACTCCACACCTTCTTCTAGCAGGTCCCCCAGATTGCTGCTAGTGCATCCGCTTTCAAACTACTTCTGAGCACTACTCAACTGCTTCTGGCAGGTCCCCCAGCTTTTCTGCCTTCCTAGGGCGTTTTCCTTGGCTAAGAAGTCACCGTGGATCAATGTGATCCTAAGGCCTCGTGCTGACACAGGGGGGGACTCGGAGAGCCCCGAGTGAAGCCCATCGTAGAGATTCTCTTCCCTGATGCCTCTCCTCCTCACTGCGGCAAACCACTTCCCTTAACCAACCCACGAGAGAGAAGTTCCTAATTCAGGAGGGACAGGCAGAGAGTGGAGATGGGGGCAGTTCATTTTCTTAATGCCCTGGAATAATGGGGGTTGACAGAGGAAAGGCGCCTTCCTTTCCTTTCCAGCAGCACAAAACCAGGTCTGCACTGGGAAGATTTGGTTTAAGCTATGAACGTGGACTTCTCCATCATCTAAATGATGAATCTTTCTTTCACAGGATTCTTCTATAAAGCCCTCATAGCCAGAAGTGATTTCGAGGTCCCTGCCAACTTAAATTAGGTTAAAAACCTTTTCCTAAAGAGACATGACAACCAAACTCAATGCATGATCCTGGCTTGAATCCTAGATGGGGTGGGGGCTACAAAGGGCATTATTGGAGGAAACTGACAATTTTAAGATGGACGTGGATCAGATAAATATTGTATCAACATTAACTTCCTCCTCTTGGCCACCATATTGTGGTTATGCGAGGAAATATCTTTGACTTTAGGAAATAAAGTCAAATATTGAAAGGTAGAGGAGCACAATGTTTCCAAACTACTGGCACATGGTTGGGGTGGGAAAAATGAGATGGGGGAAGAGAAGGCAAGAAAGTGGGGTGAGGAGTGGAGGGAGGAAGGGAGCGAGAGTGAAGGAGGGGGGCCAATGTCAACAATGAGTGGTTCTGGTAAAGGGTACGAAAGTGCTCTGCCTATAATGGAAATTTTTCTATAAGTTTAACATTTTATCAAAATTAAGATTTACTGATTTTTTTAAAACCCTAACTTTTCTGCTTATGATTGGCGAGAAGCTCCTAATTCCAAGTAACTCTCTGAATCACGTATCCTTTTTAAATAAACGATGAGGTTCACTTGCCCAAAAGACCTCATCAAAATTCAACAAAGAGAATATGTTTTCTTTGAAAATGAAGTTTCAGGAGTGAATTTTAATCAAACCAAGATGGCACTTGGGTTCAAATATTTCCAAGAAACACATCAAGTGCCAAGAAAGTTGGCGTCTCCAAAGGTCCAGCCATCACTATGGTGACTCACTATTCACTTAGTCAACTCTGCGGTGAATTATCTCAGGCATCTCGACAGTCCGGGGTGGGGTAGTGGGTGTGGATGGTGACTCAGAAAGATGGTGGCCTTGAGTCAACAATTTTGTTTTTCAAAGCACTGGGATTCCCCCAGAGCCCTTCATGCACATGATGGATATGAACCCTGGGACAATATGACCTTCTTAGAATTTAAAGCTTCCATTTCTTTGCCAGATCTAGGTCAAGAACAAATAATTTGTAATCTCTGCTAAATGATAATATTAAACATAAACGTTTTTGCTTCTCTAAAAATTTCTACTTAACATTGCTACTTAGTAGGGTTGGCTTATGGCTCCCCAATTCCTGCTATCTGACTTTACATGGCTCTATAAGGAGGTAAATAATATATAGGCTGTTTATACTCCAAAGAATTTAACAAAAATCTATCACAAGTTGCTCTTCTATTTTGAACTCAAAGTGTGAAAACAAAGAAGATGGATATCTTTGTCCGTTTGCTTTTTCTCAGCTTCTTCATTATTGTCTTGTTTTTTCCTTTTAATTTTTTCTTTCCTTGTTTAGAGAAGGACATATGTACATTAATAAGTACTGTAGCATTTCCCAGGTTTAGCCGATACAAGTTGAGTGTTGACTGGAATCGTAAGAGAGAATTGGAGAAGAATCTGAACAGAAACCTCTACCCCATCTGTCCTTTATTCTTTCAAAGATAGATCCCATGAATGTGGTGGGGAGAGGCAGAGGGAGAGGGTGGAGGAGAAAATGAGTATTTGTGTATGTGTATGCACATGTGTGTGTGTGTGTGTGTGTGTATAGAAGGTAGTGAAACAGGTAGAAAGGACGGTCTTCTTTTAAAGATGGTCAGAGACTTGGTAAGTCACAGCTGGAAACTATGCAAAGAATGAATTAACATGAATGCTTTTAGGTTGCATGATGTTGCTGATGGGTTTGCTTCTGTCTTTATACATCGACTGAGAAATCATAGCAAATCTCACTTAATGTTTCTCACACAGGGATGTGATCCAACAAGAGAGAGCACAACTAAGTCGTATTATAAGGATTAGGGTAGATTTAAGGGTAAAACTCCTCCACAACCGGAGAGCTTCATGGGAAGAAAATACTGTGATCTGGCTTTTAAATTTTTATCTTATTCACATCTAGTTAAACTAAACTATAAAGGAAGAAATTATAAGAGCACGTATTAAGCAATAGAAAAAAGGTCAAAGTAATAAAGTTGTACTTTTCAGTTTTCAAAAACGCTAGCATCATTTCGATTTCTACACACTGTGAAAGAAATTTAGCTTTGCCCCTTCCTTAAGAGAAATTTCAGTCCCTTGTCACTGCATGCAGCCTCAAATAGCCTGAACAAGAGATGAAGATCACGGGTCTAGGCTCAGACCTTGAAGTAATTGTTTTCCAGTCCTGTCACCATCTACCAGCTCCTAAGATGAAAAGAAGGGAATAAAGTGAAATCTTCTTCTGGTACAGCCCTGAAGCATGAGAGAAAGGAATTCAGGCTGAAGCCTGACACAGAGACAAACAGTCCATTTAGACAGAGCCTGTGTGCTGTTTAAATGCTCTCTTTTCTTCTCTGAACCTCTGTATTATTAAGTATGAAGACACCAGTACTGCTGGAGGAAAGAAAAGGAGTGACTTGACCTCTGAGAACACAGATGAGCTAGTGCTACATACTTAGTATATAAAATATTTACATTCAGCTGGGAAAAACTGGTCAGAAGTAAAAATATAGAATTTTTTGAAATTTTAATTTTGAAGTGATGAAACATAAATGTCTTTGGCAAATGTTATTTTCTCTTAAACTTAACAATATATGGAGAGATATTCCATGTTCATGGATAAGAAGACTCAATTTTGTCAAGATGTCAGTTTTTCCCAACTCGATCTATAAATTCAATGCAGTTCCAAAGTCCCTGCAAAATATTTTGAACATATTGACAAACTGATCATAAAGTTTACATGGAGAGTCAAAAGACCCAGAATAGCAAACACAACACTGAAGGGGAAGAAAAAAGTTGGAGGACCAACACCACTCAACTTCAAGACTTACTATAAAGCCTCAGTAATCAAGATTGTGTGGTACTAGTAAAAGAATAAACAAATAGATCAATGAAATAGAGAGCTCAATAGTAGATTCATATAAATATAGTCAACTGATCTTTGACAAGGAGCAAAAGCAATAGAATGAAGAAAAGATACTGCTTTCAACAAATGGGTGCTGGAATAACTAGACACTCACATGTGAAAAAAAAAAAAAAGATCCAGGTACAAATCTTCCACCATTCACAAAAATTAACTCAAAATGGATCACAAAGACCTAACTGTAAAATTCAAAACTATAACACTCCTAGAAGATAACGTAGGAGAATATTTAGATTATTTTGGGTTTGATGATTAGTTTTTAGATGTAACAGCAAAGGCAATATCCTTGAAAGAAATAACTAACAAGCTGGACTTCACTGAAATTAAAAACTTCTGTAAAAGACACTGTTAAAAGAATGAGAAGACAAACTACGAATGGGAGAAAATATTTGCAAAAGACATGTCTGATAAAGGACTGTTACCCAAAATATGCAAATAACTCTTAAAACTCAACCATAGGAAAACAAACAACCAGATTAACAAATGGGAAAAAAATCTAAATAGATACCTCACCAAAGAAGATATACAGATAGAAAATAAGCATATGGAAATATGCTGAATATCTAATTTGCAAATCCCTAATGATGGGATTTGCAAATTAAAACAAAGTGACACTATTACACATCAATTAGGATGGCAAAAACCCAAGCACTGACAACATCAAATGCTGGCAAGGATATGAAGCAACAGGAAGTCTCATTCATTGCTGGTGGAGATGCAAAATGGTGCAGCCACTTTGGAAGACAGTTTGGAGGTTTCTCATAGAACTAAACATACTCTTACCATGTGATAAAGCAATCATGCTCCTTGATACTCAAATGAGTTGAAAACTTATGTCCAAACAAAAGCCTGCACATGGATGTTTATAGCACTTTTTTATAACTGCCAAGATGTGGAAGCAACCAAACTGTCCTCCAGTAGATGAATAGATAAGTAAACTGTGGCATGCCCAGGTAATGGAATATTATTTGGCACTAAAAAGAAAAAAGCTTTCAAACCATAAAAAGACATAGAAGAATCTTTTTCTTTCCTTCCTTCCTTCTTTCTTTCTTTCCTTCCTTCCTTCCTTCTCTCTCTCTCTCTCTTTCTTTCTTTCTTTCTTTCTTTTCTTTCTTGCTTTCTTTCATGCTTTCTTTCTTGCTTTCTTTCTTTCTTCTTTTTCTTTCAGATGGAGTCTTGCTCTGTCACCCAGGCTGGAGTGCAGTGGCACGATCTCTGCTCACTGCAACATCTGCCTCCCTGGTTCAAGCGATTCTCCTGCCTCAGCCTCCCGAGTAGCTGGGATTACAGGCATCCGCCACAATGCCTGGCTAATTTTTGTATTTTTAGTAGAGACGGGGTTTCACCATCTTGGCCAGGCTTTTCTAGAACTCCTGACCTCGTGATCCGCCTGCCTTAGCCTCTCAAAGTGGGATTACAGGCATGAGCCACCACGCCCAGCCAGAAGAATCTTAAATGTATATTGCTAAATGAAAGAAGCAAATCTGAAAAGGCTACATAGCGTATGATTACAACTAGATGACATTCTGGAAAAGGCAAAACTATGAGACAGTAAAAACTTACAGGTTGCCAAGGACTGGGCAGTGAGAGTGACGAAGAGACAGCACACAGAGGATCTTCAGGGCAGGGAAACGATTCTGTATGATAGTGTAATGGTGGACATATGTCATTATGTATTTGTCAAAACCGAGAGAATGGACCACACCAAGAGTAAATTTTAACATAATCTATTAACTTTGGGGATAGTGATGTGTCAATGTAAGTTCATCAATGGTAGCAAATGTGCCACTCTGGAGGGGGATGTTGATAATTGGGGTGGCTGTGTGTGGGAGGGCAGGGATGATGTAGGAACTCTGTACTTTCTGCTGTGAACCTACAACTGCTCCAAAAAAATAAATTCTTCTGAAAAATATATCTAGTTGTCCCTCAGCTTCTATGGGGGACTGGTTCAAGGACCTCCTACAGATACCAAAATCCACAGATGCTCAAGTCCCTGAAATAAAATGGGGTAGGATTTGCACACAGCCTGTGCACATCCCCGCTGTGTACTTTAAATCATTTCGTGATGACTTATAATACCTAATACAAGGTAATGTTATGTAAATAGTTGTTCTGCTGTATTGGTTTTTAATTTTTTAACTGTTGTATTGTTCTTTCTTATTGGTTTTATTCCCAAGTATCCCTAGTTGGTTGAATCCTTGGATGCGGAACTGGAAGAGATGAAGGGCCGACTGTATACACTTAAAGACTTCAGTAATATATCTTTTCCTTTAAAGTTTAATATTGGCTTATTTCAAAGAAACACAAGCTCATTTCCCCCGTTCGTGATGGAATAGGAAGTTTGCTCCACATTTCAGCCCCTTTCTTGGGGTGGACACTGGCTGGGTACGTGGGGCCTGGGCTCTTAAAACCAGCATTTCCAGCTTCGGGGGAAGGAACCAGGAGAGTGAGGGAAAGGCCGCCCCAGGGAGAAGAAGTGGGGAGTTTCCATCTGTGAAGAGGCGAGATGACTACGGGAGGACCCCAGACACCTTCCCTGTCAGCTTCGCATGTGAAACCCTGAGCCACTCATTCAATAACTGCTGGTGCTGCTGGAGCAGGCCCATCGCGGCACTGTCAGAGGCCACCTGACAGCTAAGAAAGCCCCAGTCCTGCTGGGGAGGCAAGGCCCTAGAGGGAGGGGACAGAGGCCCTAGTGGGAGGGGACAGAGGCCCTAGTGGGAGGGGACAGAGGCCCTAGAGGGAGGGGACAGAGGTCTTAGTGGGAGGGGACAGAGGCCCTACGAGGGAGGGGACAGAGGGCCTAAGAGGGAGGGGACAGAGGGCCTAAGAGGGAGGGGACAGAGACCCTACGAGGGAGGGGACAGAGGCCCTAGTAGGAGTGGACAGAGGCCCTAGAGGGAGGGGACAGAGGCCTCAGTGGGAGGGGACAGAGGCCCTAGAGGGAGGGGACAGAGGCCTCAGTGGGAGGGGACAGAGGCCCTAGAGGGAGGGGACAGAGGCCCTAGTAGGAGTGGACAGAGGCCCTAGAGGGAGGGGACAGAGGCCTCAGTGGGAGGGGACAGAGGCCCTAGAGGGAGGGGACAGAGGCCCTATGAGGGAGGGGACAGAAGCCATAGAGGGAGGAGACGGAGGCCCTATGAGGGAGGGGACAGAGGCCCTAGAGGGAGGGGACAGAGGCCCTATGAGGGAGGGGACAGAGGCCCTAGAGGGAAGTGATGGGGCAAAGCCCTACAGAGAGGAGATGGGAACCTGGCATTGATGGAAAAGCGGAGCTGTTTTGACACCAAGGACATTCCACGGGGAAATAAAAAAACAACTGTTAATATTTTTCATGTTATTCACCTACGGAGTGGCTCAGTCCAGGCAAGGTCTCCCTTCCAGGGTGGGAGTCCAAGGTCTCCCTTCCAGAGCGAGTACAGCGAGGATGGAGGGAAGGGTGAGGGGGTTCATGGTCTCTTGCTTTAATAGGGCCATTGGAACCAGCTCCCCCTGGTTCTTTAATAGGGTCACTGGAGGGGCCTCCCCTCTCTGAGTCTTCCTCCCTGTCCCTCCACACCCCAAACTGCCTCCACCATATCCTCCTCCTCTATGAACTGAGCAGGACAACATCCTCACTGAGCCGGAGCAAAGAACACGGACGCATCTCCTGGGCTCCTGACTCAGGATCCAGGCTTGGAGGCTGAAAGGGGACACTCTCCTCTTAAACCAGTTTCATGACTATGAGGTGAATTAATGCCATCAAGTCCACCTGAAAATCTGAGCCAAGGATCAGTGTGTGTGTGACTGACCCTAAATATATGAAGAACCAATTAAACACACATAGGCACACACTTAAAGACACACACACACTCTCATAGACACACACACACAGACACGCTCTCATAGATGCACACTCAGCACACACACTCATAGATACACACACAGTCTCATGGACACACTCTCATAGACACAGACACACTCATACAGATATACTCTCACAGACACACTCAGAAACACACTTATAGATACACACACTTTCATAGACACACACACTCATACAGACACATACACTCATAGATACACTTTCACAAACACACACTGTCAATGGTACACACAGACATTCTCTTATAGATACACAATCTCATGGACACACGCAATCGTACTGAAACACACACAGTCCTCTTTCACAGTGAAATGTAGCAAAGAAATTATTGCCCCAAATTAAACAGAAGCTCCTCCCCTGCGGCTCAGAAATTGCAGTGAGGCTTAAGATGAGCGGCTTTTCCTCACCCGATTAGTCGACACAAAAGACAGGTATTTATGGGCAGCAGGAATAGCACGATAGTAAGTAGAAGCATATACAGGTTCCTACAGAGCAAAGCAAGAGGATTTAAGATGAAGAGAAGATTTATCAGAGCGGGGCCGGGCAGGGACGTGGGGGAGGGAGAGACAAAACAATGATTTTTCTAACAGAATGTTAATTTACTCATTGCAATTTCAGTTCTCTTTTCAAGAGAGTCCTCCCTTGAATGCTAATGCTAAAGTAAATCCACACAAGCGCGGTAAATATACCTGAGTCAGCTTTGTGCAGTAATTAAATGAGTTAATTTATAGAAGATTGTCAGTTACAGAGAGAGGAACCATGACTTTCATTGACAGTTTTAACATTAAACAGAAAATATCATCTTCTTTAAAGTATCTTCATTACATGATTAAAAAATAGTTTAAGGGCACGGGCTCAGCTCTCCACTCCGGACAAAGGCTGTGTCTGGTCTGGAGATAAGAAAAGCACCAGGGAGGGTGCACGAAGGAACCACCCAGGATCAGGATTACCCACGCGAAGTGTAATTCTGGCCACCATCGAGAGGACACCTGTGTTAGAGTCAGGCTTACCCAAAGCAGATTAGAAATGGCACTATCATCCGCAACTCCTCCTTCTTCCTGCAGGTTAAAACAAACAGGGAACATGGCAGAGTACTGGAAGAGAAGAGCCTGGTCAGGGCATCGCAATCACCTTCAAGTATTTTGTGCCTGGGTTCAAACAGCAGCATGCACGTGCTCACACAATAGGGTGATGTGAACCTCAGGCCAACTCATTCCCTGACCGCAGAATGATCATCTGGAGTTTAGAGAGCATTCCCTCAGCCTTTCTCTCCCTCCCATCCTCGCACTTTAAAGTGACTTCATTCTCCTGAATTATGATCTGGAATTTCAATGGCAGCAGACACTGAGAATATAAATGTGCAGATTCACCTTTCTTAAAATTTCAGGGACTTGTTCTGGGGCTGTCATGGACACTGACCTCACAGCTGCTGAAGCACAGTGGGATATCCAGTTCCCTCTGGAACTCAGAAACAGACACAGGGTTTTAATGGCCAAGTCTATGAAGAGTTTTTTCTTCTTCGAAAAGGTCTGATTCGCTGGAAAACTATCTTCACAAAAGTTGCGGGGTCACCGTGTATGTCTTAATGCCAACTAAGCCGAAATGGGGTTGGAATTGAAAATAACTATTTGGTGAAAATAAATACAAAACCGAAAGTTAGTTGTAACAGAGAATCCTGCCAAACCACTTCTTTGAGACTTTGCTTCATTTCATTTTTCTCTCTCTGTTAAAATGAGTTACTCTGGCCTTCCCTTCCCTTCCCTCCCTTCCCCTTTCTTTCTTTCTTTCCTTCTTGCTTTGTTGCCCAGGCTGGAGTACACTGATGTGATCATGGCTCACTGCAGCCTCGACCTCAAGCAATCCTCCCACTTCAGCCTCCCGAGTAGCTGGGATTATAGGCATGCACCACCACACCTGGCAAATTTTTGTATTTTTTGGTACAGACCGGGTTTCACCATGTTGACCAAGCTAGTCTCAAACTCCTGGGCTCAAGCAGTCCTCCCACCTTGGCTCCCCACAGTACTGGGATTACAGGCATGAGCCACTACACCCAGCCCCAATATAAATCTTAATATAAAAGACCCAAAATGGGCCAGGCACAGTGGCTCATGCCTGTAATCCCAGCACCTTGGGAGGTCGAGGCAGGTGGGTCATGAGGTCAGGATATTGAGACCATCCTGGTCAGCACGGTGAAACCCCGTCTCTACTAAAAATAAAAAAAAAATAGCCGAGCATGGTGGCGGGCCCCTGTAGTCCCAGGTACTCAGCAGGCTGAGGCAGGAGAATTGCTTGAACCAGGGAGGCGGAGGCTGCAGTGAGCCAAGGCCGCGCCACTGCACTCCAGCCTGGGAGACAGAGCGAGATTCCGCCTCAAAAAAAAAAACAAAAAACAGAAAACAAAAATGAGATGCTGGCTAGAGCACCTCAAATATGTTTTCTTTTGGGACCAATGCCTTGACAGAGACAAAACAGTTATAGATTTTTCAAGGCACCCTTTAATATATTTTTAAATGTGACTCCAAGAAAATTTCAAAATGACCTGTGTGGCACACATTCTATTTTTACAGGACGGTGCTGACTTCCATGTTGCACGTGTTTTCACAGGAGCAATGGAAGGAACTTCTAGAGTCCCCTCTCTTTCCTGCCCCTTCCACATTTCCACAGACTGCACACTCACGGCAGCAGCCTCTCAGCACACAAAAGGAACGTAGGAACCGTGAAGGGCGTGATGAGCTGACCATAACGCCGGCTCCTTTCTGCCTTTGGTGCTAAAGATGGAAGGTTCCGGCACCTGCTCTCCTGGGTACCTCTCCGTCAGCAAGGCTAGAGCTACTCCGTGCAGCAAGTGCCCCTGTTCAGGCCCCACGTGTCATGACTGTCTGTCCTTCTCCAAGGCAGCATTCAGACACCCCGCAAGCAGTGGGCATGTCAAGCCTCCTCAGCTACTGGGGGAATCCCTCAAGACAGACCAGGTTTAAGGCGCCTCACCCACCACATCTGAGCACAGCCGGCGGGTGACTGAAAACAGTGCCAGCCCTCGGGAAGGAACGAACCGAGGGGTCGTCAGAGGCCGTCTGAGAAACACCTGACCTCAACAGAACCTGAGATTGCCCAGTGTGGGCTACAAAGGCCTAAAATAGATCCGCTTATTTTAGCTTCAAAGAGCTTATTGTCTCCAGCCAAAGGGAAGCAGGCCACTGAGAAGAGTGGGAGAGTTCACCGTCTGCAGAAACAGCAGCCTCCACGCGCCCAGAGGCAGCATTTCCCATTCCAGCCCTAGCCTGCTTGCAAGTCCCGGGGCTTCAGGTCACTGGATTATCAACCCCAAGGGCAACTGCAGTCAACTGGCCTCTCTTGCCTTCTAAAAACCTTAGCCAGCATTCAGGTGGTTCGGATCTCATCCTCCACTCAAAGCCTTCTGGCTTCCACACCTAAGGTGATCCTCCATTCTTCTAAGGGGGCAGTGCACCCATTTCACTATTCACCAGGAACCTCTTTTGCTTCGTGCTTTTTGGCTTCATTTAAATTTCCACTGGCTCTCTGGGACTCCCAGTTCCTGATGGGCCAGGGAGTCTCTGCACCTTCCAAAGTGATGGAGAAGGGGCCAGGCGCTGCTTGGTGCCAGGACATAGTAGTTGGCAGGTTTGCTAATGAGGAATGTGTTAAAGTCGTTTTTGAAGCAATGATTTCAAGATTCTTTTAAATAAAGTTTGTGGGTAGCAGGGATACATTATTTGACAGATGGATTTTCTTTCACTTCAGGATCTCATTTTTGAAATCTGAATTTCACACGGTGTGTGAAAAATATGCGCATGGGTATACTTTCTAAATATCTAGTTATATTTGAGAACTTTACAAATGGCTGAGGGTTAAATGTCTTTAGTTATGTTATCTTTAACACCATGTATGTCTCAAAGAAGAGAATTCAAATTGCCATTCCAGTGTAATCTAAGAAGACACAGAAGTATCAGAGGAAATAGTGTCAGAACTCCTGACTCACACTTCTATGTGCACATCTCATTTTTATGTACGTTTCTTAATGCATGAAAGTCACACTCATCATCTCTCCCTTTCACAGATGCTTAACTTATTGTAGAGCTAGAAGGGGCCTGGGGATCATCTGGTTGAAAGCATTCTTTTTCTTTTCTACTTGAAGACTTCTGATCCTAGAAAGTGACCTGGGAGTGCATCACCGGTGCATCATTTCGCCTCCAGCCAGAAGGTGCATTTGCAATTGTAGGGCCAGTCAGCAAGTAAGTCACCATCGGTTTTGAAAGTGTGCACTATCTGGTCAAAAGCTGGTCATCATCACATCTGTGATTTAACAATTCATCAATATTTTCGCATATAAATGCTTGGTAGTATTGATCACCATGCATTACCTAATTTTGTTTCAACTTATAACATACATTACTGTACATTCTCAATAAAAGGCATAGCTACTCATGAAACACGCTTAAATGATGAACTAAATACTCGTAAATCACAATTATGTGCTTATTTTTTATACTTAGGTTTAAAATCTCTGCATAGGAAACACAAGTCCGTATTTTACATGGAACTTAAAGATATTAGTGGTGAATTCAATTTTTTTCATTATAAAGGCTTTAATAACACACTAAAGCCAGACTTCATTTAGAAGGTTTTTAAACTGAAGAAGAAGTCCACACTTTAAAATTCAGGCACTTGCTTGCTGACACAGTGTGTGTGTGTTGCTGATCCCAATTCTGAAACATCTCCAGGCACAGCCTTCTGCCCAATTTTAGCTGCTCTGTGACAGGTTCTCAGTGTTTACCCTAAGGGCAAAAATGCACAAATGCTTCACAGAGTAGGAATTAGGTGGCACATGCTTGTCTTCCAAGCACTTCCAAGAGTGATGCACTTCCAAGAGTGATGTTAGTCTGAAGGCTTTTCCTAACACAGGGAATGTTACCTTCCTGACGAGGGACTGCCCTGCAGGCTGCTGGCTGGTGCCTTGCTGCCCTCCTGCCTCCTGCTGAGTCTGTTTCTCCAATCTTCCTCCCCGCTTTTCTTCAACAATGCCAATCTAGGAGGAAAACATGCCAGCCACAAAGAGTTCAGCACCAAACTCTTCCTTGTGATAGAACCATAATCTAGGTAAGTGAGGCGGCTTGGGCCAAGACACGACCACGACCACCTCATTGTAACATTTTGAATTTTATTTATTCTGAAGATAGCATGTCTGGAAAAATAATAGAGTCCCTTTTCTAAGACGGCCCCGAAGATTTTACAGTTGATTGAAACACAGAGCTGAAATCTGACTTGCTAGATAAAAGATGCACCATTATCCCAGCCAAGGAATGTTTTTCCTTGCCCTTGGGCTGAGAGCAAGAGAACCGTTCTCAGAGGAAAAAAAAAATGCCTTCTAGCGACGCCTTCTGGTCAGTTGGTGAAATAACATGAAAGGACTAAAGCTGTATCGTAGCTCCTACTTGCAGAAGAGAATGCAGACGTGGCTTAAAAACATAAAGCCATGAGGTACTAACAGTCTCTTAATATCATCCCTTTCAATTAGAGGTAAAATTTGATGTTTATGACTGTTTCTCTTCAGATATTCTAAGCCCTGTTCTTTTCCTATAAATGAATTTGGTCTTTCTAATCTGTCTTCTTTAAACAGAAACTATTTTCTACCAACCCGTTTTAAAAAAATTATCACTTCAACTTTCCTCACAGGAAAGACATATACAAAAAAGGTATCTAATTAACTGAGGTTGTTACCTAACCCACTTTAGTTCAACAATGGCATCACTAGGAATCTGCTTGAATATTGGAATCTTGAATGGTTATTTTTCACAAACATGAGGCTGTTTCAGCTAACTGTATTGTCATGAATGAAGAAATCTTAGGCATTTGCATTGAACGAACAAACATGGGAAAGATAAAAGGTAAAACAAAAAAGGTGATGATCATTAAACTCATCTGAGCTGCTGTTCAAACAATTTAAAGAGTAGGGAAAAAACCAAATAACTAGATCCCTTTCCCTCTGTGCTGGACCTGATGGGCCAGGTCTTCTCAACATCACTAATGCATAATCCATAAATGTTGTATTTTTTATTTTTATAAATTTGTTTTAGAGACAGGGTCTTACTTTTTCACCAAGGCTGGAGTGCAGCAGCATAATCATGGCTCACTGCAGCCTCGAATTCCTGGGCTCAAGTGACTCTCCCACCTCAGCCTCCAGAGTAGCTAGGATGACAGGTGTGCATCACTATGCCTGGCTAATTTTTAGAACTTTTATTTGGTAGAGACAGGGTCTTGCTCTGTTGCCTAGGCTGGCTTTGAACTCCTGGCTTCTAGCGATCCCCCTGCCTCAGCCTCCCAAAGTGTTGGGATTACAGGCATGAGACACCACGTCTGGACAACAGTGTATTTTTAAGCAGCACATCAGCTCTGGTCCCAATTTGTCCACTAACTCCCTTTGGGTATCTCGGTTCTCCCTCTCGTATCTGTCACATCAGGAACTGGACCAGATGATCTCTAAGGGCCCTTCTTGCAAGCTTCCCAATTCCCCTTAAATATTTGTTTTGGAGATGGGATGACATATATCCTATGATAAATGTTTTGTTAAGTTAATAAGAAAACAAATTTTGTTGTATTTAAGAATCCAGTGACATCTACATATGTGTACACAATTACACCTATACTTGTCTATTCACTCAGTCAAATAATGGAAAGTAAAGCCGTGAAGAAAGGAGACCCCCAAAGGAGGAAGGAGCTTCAAACTCTGGATCTGTCCCCTTCCTCAATCTCTTCCTTCTCCCCCCTTCATTTCTGTTTTCCTCTTTCTGCTAAGTGGCAGCAGATAAGATCTCAAGTGCTCAATCTCTAGAACTGGGATAAGGCTGCCTTATCAATCTCATGCAGATCCCTTTGGGTCAAGGTCTCATTTAGTCCTAACTCCTGTAATTCTCGAATGTTTAACAACACCCTGCATGCTACAAGAGCTAGTTCATGGGCTTGGACACGAAGTCTAAATTCCTTCAAGAGTTTTAATCCACACCATTTCATACTATGTAATGACTATGATTCATCTTTTCTCCTATTATTTTGAATGAGTCAGTTTTATTCTAATAAAATAATCTCACAAAATAAAATCATTAAAAGAAATTGGTATTTGCATGCTGTATTTGAGCTTTCAAAGCTCAAATCAATAAATGAGACTTTCAAAAAGTAAACATGCCAGCACTTTAATACCCAAATGAGAAGTCATTCTAGTTCATCATCTTGTGGGGCCAGACACTCATCTCACTGATATTCTCCCTGCAAACTGGCCTCAGAACCAGCTTCTCTCACTTCACCTTCGACCCAGGCCAGCAGCTACTCCTCTTGACCATCCATCTTGTTAATCAGATTGGATCTAAATGATGAATTTTTAAAAGATCAAATTCATCTTCCTGAGTTGAGTTCATTAAAAGTCATGAGCTCCGGTCTTTGAAGACCTTCTCAAAAAGAAGCTCCCAAAAGTCTGGGGCAAGGACACCAGCACCTATGTCATCGGACGGTTTCCCTGGTGGTTGCTTTGTGGCATCTAAAACTGACTTAGAAAAACACAAGCTGTGGCATCTGAGATCACCTCCTCGTCCATCTTATACTCTGCTGATCTGCACGGCGACCCCTAAGACACTGGGAATTGTTATTCCCATTGTGACGGACAAGGAATGTGGGTACATCCGGGTCAAGAATTCCATTGGCTGAGGTCACACTGGATGTTAGTGGGCAGAGAGACATGACTGCAGCCCTCGCCTGCCTGTGCGTAGCTTGTTTCACTGCGGTAGAACATTAGCTGACTGGACACATTTTTGCCACACCGTTTTAGGAAAGGCATAGGATTCTGGCTTTCTTAAAAGGTTTTTCCCACCATGGGATGGCCTCCAAAGAATTCCTCCATTCCAAAACCCTGAAATTTTGCTTCTACATGTGCTGGCAGGGTTACCATTGGGGACTTCTGAAGACTACAGAGTAACCAGAATAATCTGGAAGAAACTGTGCTTCCATGGAGCCCACCTGGCACTTGGAGCCAGCCCTTGGCTCCAGCCTACGGAGCACATGATAAATAACTCGAAAATAACATGCACTAAAACTTGAGTGTGTTCTTCCTGTCCCTTTAGATTTCCTCATTGGTGTCCACCACGCTGAGGACGGAGGGAGATCTTCCCAAATGTGTTCCTTCCTCCTGTGAGCTCACAGCCCTCCGGCTCACCGCAGACCACCAGGCTCTGAGAGGGTCGAGGAGCCGACGTCTGGGCCTACGCAGGACATAAATTCCTGCCGGTGCAATTCAAACAACTGTCAGTGCTTCTAACAACTGCCAAGCCGAAGTGCTGTTTGCAGGACTGTGATGCTGGGAGCCTGGGCAGCGGGTTGGCCTGGGCTGTGTGAACCCAGGGAGAGGCATGACACTGGCCTGCTCACCCAACGCCTGGCCCTGGGCCACCGTGACAGGTGCCTGCCAGGACACCCGGGGAAACGGTGCCTCCTCTTCCATAGCCCACACTGTTCCAGCAGGGAATGCTGGCCTGAGAGCCCTGCTTGGTGAGAACAAGGACTTCAGGCTCAGAGCAGTCAGGGCTGGGTCAAACAGGAGACATGACAACCATGTGCCCCTAATATTAAATAAGGTGTGTTTTCTCTCTCTTTTTCAGAATTTTCCCTTCATTTTAGAGAATTACAGGCACCCCATAGATCTCAGATAGGGCTGAACAGCACACATAAGTACTTATATTAGATCTTGGTCTTGGCTGGTTCACAAACTGGAGACGTGAACAAACTAAAGTGTCTTTTAAGTGGGAGATAAATCAAACATCTGAAAAGCAGGGCCAGGTGTGGTGGCTCACACCTGTAATCCCAGCACCTTGGGAGGCTGAGGTGGGAGGATCGCTTGAGGCTAGGAGGTGGAGACCAGCCTGGGCCACAGAGCAAAACTCTGTCTTTACAAAAAAATAGAAATAATAAATCAGCTGAGCATGGTGGTGTGTGCAGGTAGTCCCCAGCTACTTGGGAGGCTGAAGCGGGAGGATCATTTGAGTCCCAGGAGGCTGAGGCTGCAGCGAGCTATGATCACACCACTGCACTCCAGTCTGGGTAACAGAACAAGACTCTGCCTAGAAAAAGAAGAGAAAAAAGAAAAGAAAAGAAAGAGAGCAAAGGGGAATTGCAACTCTATTCTTATTCCCACATAAATCTGGGGCCCTCTAGGTGGCTGAAATATCCCAGCTACAAGGTAAGAACCTGGCGTTTGTGGAGACATGGAGATAGCCTCTGGCTGGGTGGGATATGGAAGGGTGGATGGTTGGGGTGGGGGCCGGCAGGCAGGAAACACAGGAGCCTCCAGCCGGTCCCTCTAGGGCAGAACGCCACAGAGGTGTGAGGTGGATTCTTCAACAGTTCAGGGAGTTCCACGAAGTCCTAACACGCCACCAACTTCCCAAAGTGAAACAATGGCTCTTGTATTCTTTTCCAATGTTCTTCTTCGCCAAATAAGAAAGCTCAGATGCCACTGTTTCTGACATTGTGGAAATAAGATTTCTAAAGGCCTAATGTACTCTTTAAGCAATAGTAAAGGTTTTATCCCTAAATAACGTAAGAATTATTTAATTCACAATCTTTCTCAAAGAAGTTCCCAAACAGGGATAATTTAAACACAAATAATTTAGACAGTTATAAAACAACGATTTTACTAATCCAGTGGGAAAGTCGGTTGCATCCTATGTTTTATGCTGGTTATGGTTCAAATTTGACATTCACAATGTCAGAAAAGATGAAAACAGAAAAATAACTTTTTGGTATATTTTCTTGAGCAGCAAACATTTTCTAAAAAAGGAGGGTGTGGAGGGTTTCCTATAATTTCTTAATTTCTCCACTTTTTGTCTCCAAGTGGGGATAATATTGCTTTCTTCTGAAGGCTGTCTTCAACATCAAATGAGATATCGTGCAAAATGTGGAAGGCAGTCTGTGATGCTGGGTAGCACTGAGCATGGAGCATTCAATATAGTCAGGCCCCGGACAGGGGAGAGACTGACGCAACAAGGCTGAAGAAGACAGACCTGCCCTCCTTAGCGGGCGCAGCCATTTATAAAAAACGATAAAGGAAATCTGTAAATTCCAGGCTCTATTTCTTAGACTCTGAAATGTGAATGTGGATGTGTAATTTTAAATAAGCCCTGTTAAGAGCATGTGAACTGAGAAAATTCATGAAGAAAGAGGGTGTGTTTTTCTAACTTGCTGTCTAGCTGGAATTTCTGTCCTTTTACCAT
Source organism: Homo sapiens (assembly GCF_000001405.40). NCBI lineage: Eukaryota > Metazoa > Chordata > Mammalia > Primates > Hominidae > Homo > Homo sapiens. The sequence goes on along the minus strand of NC_000010.11, from coordinate 30,666,338 downwards.
ATTCTCCTGTTTAGAGCACACGGGGTTGGCTGCTGTAACACTAATCTGAGCACACCACGGTCTCGCCATGGACCAGGGGAGAGATGGAGACGTGGCACCTGGGTCAGTTCTATTCACTACGTGGCCCTGGAGGCTACTGGAGCCGAATCCCTCCTTTAGTAAAATGAGGCAGTCAGAGGTGTGTAGAATAAAGTTTGAAAGTCCTATGATTTTATATATTTCTTTCTCAAGAAAGAAAAGTAAAGCCCAAATGTAGGAATAACATTCTTATTTTAAATAGTTTAAGCTTCATTATTTCATTTTCACAAAAGGGAGAGATGAAAGTCTCATTTAGGAAAAAGCTATCACAGATAAATTGTAAAAATCTGTGGTTTAGGCTGGGTGTAGTGGCTCATGCCTGTAATTACAGCACTATGGGAGGCTGAGGCTGAGGATCACCTGAGGTCAGGAGTTCCAGACCAGCCTAGCCAACATGGTGAAACCCCGTCTCTACTAAAAATACAAAAATTAGCTGGATGTGGTGGTGCATGCCTGTAATCCCAGCTACTTGGGTGGTTGAGGCAGGAGAATCACTTGAACCCGGGAGGCGGAGGTTGCAGTGAGCCGAGATTACTCCACTGCACTCCGGCCTGGGTGACAGAGAGAGACTCTGTCTCAAAATAAATAAATTAAAATAAAAAGAAATAAGAAAATTGGGTTTTTTGTCTTTCACAGAGAGTCCTAAACATTGACAGAATCATTCCACTTCACAGCCGTTCCCCATCTGCACCCATCCTACCTGGACACAAGGCCATGCCCCATCTATACCTGTCCTACCTGGACACGAGGCCATGCCCCATCTATACCTGTCCTACCTGGACACGAGGCCACTGACTTGCCTTTGAAAACTCTGGGGGAGAGCCGATGCGAGCACAGCGTGGACCACCTCATTTCCAGGTACCGTGAACTATTAATTTTCTTTTCTTTTTTTTTTTTTGATATTGCCCTTTTTTTTTTTTTAAGATAGAATCTCACTCTGTCACCCAGGCTGGAGTGCAATGGCACAATCTTAGCTCACTGCAACCTCTGACTCCCAGGTTCACGCAATTCGCTGCCTCAGCCTCCCAAGTAGCTGGGATTACAGGTGCCTGCCACCATGCCCAGCTAATTTTTGTATTTTTAGTAGAGACCTGGTTTCACCGTCTTGGCCAGGCTGTTTTTGAACTCTGGACCTCGTGATCCACCCGCCTCGGCCTCCCAAAGTGCTGGGATTACAGGCGTAAGCCACCGCACCTGGCCTAATTTTCATTTTTTTTTTTTTTGAGACGGAGTCTCGCTCTGTCGCCCAGGCTGGAGTGCAGTGGCACGATCTCGGCTCACCGCAAGCTCCACCTACCAGGTTCATGCCATTCTCCTGTCTCAGCCTCCCGTAGCTGGGATTACAGGTGCCCGCCACCATGCCCGACTAATTTTTTGTATTTTTAGTAGAGATGGGATTTCACCGAGTTAGCCAGGATGGTCTCGATCTCCTAACCTCGTAATACACCCGCCTCGGCCTCCCAAAGTGCTGGGATTACAGGCGTGAGCCACCGCGCCCGGCCCAATTTTCTTTTTGATATGAAATCTCATCTGCCTCCTTGTAATTCTACACGTTATTCTTACTTTTGGCCTCTGGAGCAACATAGAATAAACCTGTATTCCGGCTGACAGTGTTGTCAGTTCTTGAAAATTGCCACATGTATCTGTCTGGGTTTCCTTCACCAAGCCAAATCCCCTGAGTCTTTCAGACATTCACCCTCATCAGACTGTGTCTCGGCCTATCACCCGTTCAGTTCCTCAGGATATATTCCAATTCGTCAGCGGGACTTTTTAACTGGATTTACTTTCTATTAAAAGAATATGTTTTTTGTTCTAATTTCTCTGGGGCATGATTTTTGCTTTTTCTTTCAGAGTAGAAAAAAATCTGCCCTTCCATCAAATCTGTTTCTTCCACTGGAAGGTTTCCACAGCTCAGTCAGGATGAAGACATTTTGTGAGCTGAGACTAATGATCATTCCTTGTGCTAGTGTTACAGTTACAAAGACCAAGCAATGTTTACATCATTTCACAGGCAAAACTAGGGGGAATTGGTATACAGTTGGTGCAGACATTTTACCGCATGTGCGCCTTGACCAGTGGAAATAGTAATTCACCAAACACGTGTGAGTGCCCGCTTGGGGAAGAAGAAAGATGGTCACGATAAAGTCTGCGTGGGCTGTTCTTAGCCCAGCAGGAAGCTACAAGATGTTAAATGTAAAAGCCCTAATACTGGGAAGCATCAGGAGACCTGGGGCAGCCTCCAGAGGCAGCAGGAGTGGGTGGACAGAGAAGAGATGGGGGTATGGTCAGAACTCACTGCCCTTGGAGAAGGTTAAACAGAGAAAAGAGATGAGGGAAGGTCGATTTTATGTTCCCTGTCTCACTTGCCACACCCAGCCTCTGGCGAAAACCTGAGGATGCCTAAAATTAAAGGGCAAGAAGGAGCAGAAAGGTAAGGATTAAAAATGCATGGATGCATGGAGAGAGGGGGAAGGGAATTGAAGCTAATTCTGGGAGGAGGCAGGAAGGGCCGAAAGGAGACTGTAAGCTGGAGGTTAGGGAGAGAGTTCTGCTCAAGGAAATTCGGACAACACAATACGCATCTACCCAGACATGGTTGGTCACTTAGGAACAGCCTTACCTTTAGGAAGTGCAACTAAAAGCTGAGCATCGATTCCTCTTTCGTGGTTAGCGAGCTGTTCTTTATCTTCGAGTGAGAACTCCTTCTGCAAGTGAAACATTACTCCATTAATAAAGTTAAGTCCATTTAAATCAAGATATGAAATTAAGTAGAAAAATGCAGAACATAAAAATTATGCCATTGTAGATTGCAAGTAAAACATTTTATATTGGGGAGTAAATTGGTAGCTTTTTTCATTTACTTATATTTCAGTAAATATTGTGACTTTTTGTGCAACTAAGTAATTACAGCAGGATTGGCCGGTGGTGTGGTGTGTGGGGGTGAAAACATTGCTGAACTGGAAGTTGTATGCTTTAGCTCAGACTGACCCCCTCTTCTCGACCTAGGAATAGCTGTGCAAGCTGGATTCATTACCCAATCTCTTTGTGCTACAATTTCTTCTTCAGAAAATCAACAACTTGTCTAGGTGATCTACACGCTGTCCTCCAGTGTTAAAATTATGTTAAAGTAACAGATGCCTTCAAACAACCAAGACGGCAAAGCATGGTCAAAAGTTTGGAAAGCCTCATGAAGACTCGTGTTGGAATAAAAGAGGAAATGAAATGGGCGAATAATAAAGGAAGTGAGCCCTTACTGTGGCCTTTCCCCCATGTTAAGCACACCCCATGTATCTCCTTAATTATCTCCCCAAGACCCTAAGAGGCATGAACTACTCCGTGGTGTGGTTATAAAGGTACAAATGGCCCTGCCCTCTTGCCCCGCCCACCCAGGCCCTCCACCTGGCCCTGCAAAAAGCACCTGCTTTGTAATATTGACTGGTGGTGTCAACACTCCCACCCACCATGGTGGATCTCAGGCTCCCACAGGACTCACTGAACTCAAAGTCGGGAGAGAGGCACACATGTCTGGCCGCAGCACAACACTGGAACTAGTACCATCCTCAGTTTACAGATCTGGAAATTGTTACATGATTTGCCCAAAGACTCACATTTGACAAGAAGAGGAGATGAGATTCAAATCCATCTCCTAGTTTCATACTAGGCACAGTCACCCCAAGACTGCTGTGTACCCACCTCCATGGTCTTTGATGTGGCCAGAGCAAGCAGGGCAGAGGGTGCTGCTGCCTCGAAGGAAGAAAAGAAACCTGTGGAAACAGGGAACTGCAGTTCCTCAAGGTCAGTGTGACCTCCAGAGGGGGAAAAGATGGGCTTGAAAAAGACTCACTGTGAAGCTGACCTTCCCGCTGTACGGGTGCATTTCCATAGAGGCCAAGGAAGAGACCGAGGAAGCCGCTGTGCATACTGTGTAAGTGGGACAGTTGAATAACCTCTACCCCCTGTATAAACTACACAGAAAGAACTTCCACACAGTCTAAAGCACGGCCACCATCCCGCCCTCCTAGAACCAAGCCCATCTGAAATCTTTGTCTTTCCATATACAATGTAGCAAAGCTTACATTCCATAGGTAAGTGTGTTCACATTATTTAATGAAAAGTCTTGAGAATAATTAGGCTTCATAAGCCACTCTCTAGATTGGCTGGAAGAGCCTAGGACACCTGCCTAGTCAGAAACTTAGAATTAACACCGACTTCTAGACACTGAATTGTAAGGCAGTAACTACTCCTTTCAGTGTAGAAACCTAAAAAAATTAAATAGTGGCAGAAATGTACTCGACTTAAGGAATGGCATGTTATTTTAACTGATTATTTAATTGCTAATTTAAATATCTTGACTAAGCTCTGTACTTTGGGAAACTAACATCTTTTCAGGAAAAAACATCTACATTAGAATTAAATAATGTAATCCTTGAAATATTCAGCTTGTTGGGCCACTGACCTTGAGGTACAAATGCTATCTCTTATTTTCAAAAATAAACCTCTGTATGTCTTTGTTTTCCTCTTTCTTTCTGTTTCTCAGAAAGCTCAATGGAGCCACTAATGAAAAGCAAGAAAGTGTCCCTGAGTTAAATACTCCGCTGAATTTACAGAGTGAGCTTTACGAGTCATCACCGGACACTCCCTGGCTTCACAGGCACTTATTTTCTCGAAACACATTACAAATAGTGCCAGCACCCATGTGAAGTGCAGCCTTTTGATGGCAGGTCAGAAACCAAAGAAAACCAAAGCTCTAAGAGGAAAGTCTCTGATGCTTCTTAACGTGGTTCACTCGACATGCTGTTTCCTCCCCCTGAGCTCTCTCCTCTCCAGCCTCCTGCCATCGTGTGGCTTCGTCTCACTCTTCGTCTGGGCCTCAGTTGACTGGTCGTGTCCTCAGGGCAGAGCACCCGGACCCACTGCCTATTCGACCAGAAACAAAAGTATATTACACACCTTGGTAATCCCAGCACTTTGTGGGGGCTGAGGCAGGAGGATTGTTTGAGCCCAGGAGTTCGAAACCAGCCTGGGCAACATAGCAAGATCCCATTTCTGCAAAAAAAAAAAAGAAAGAAAGAAAGAAAGAAAAAATAGCCAGGCACAGTGGTGCATGCCTATAGTCCCAGCTACTCAGGAGGCTGAGGTGGCAGGAACCATTAAGCCTAGGAGTTTGAAGCTGCAATGAGCTATGATTATGACACTGTGCTCCAGCCTGGGTGACAGAGTGAGAATTTGTCTCTTAAAAAATTAATTAAATTATTGAATTAAATATTATTTTTAAAAAATTAAAATATGCCGAATGAATGACTACTACAAAACACTTCAAATGAATACCCTGAAGTATTTTTTGTGTACCTTTTTTGCAAAGTTGATGTGATGGCCAGAGGTAAAATCATTACAAACATTAAGAATAACTAGAAAAGCATACAGTCAATAACATTAGTCATAAGCTCCTCCTCCCTCCCTTCCTTCTCACCCTCCCTCCTTTCCTTTCTTCCTTTCTTTCCTTCTTTCATCTTTGGACAGGACATAATTTGGAACACCTCATTCTTTAGTACCTTTGCTCACCTTGCATACATGTGTGAAAAACTGGCATAATTGTACATATTTATAAAGTATTGATTTTAGAATCTGCAGCTTCCAGGTAAACATTTATTACTGAGTCCACACGGCTGTCATCACCCTCTGGTCCTGTCTCCACTGCCTCTCTCCCCTGCTCCCGCTAAATGACTGGGGGCTTCTGAGAAAGCAGATGAGCAGACAGGAAGAGCTGGAGCAGGCAGACTGGGCTGGAAAGTGTGGCTCTGGCTCAAGGTGGTGCCACAAGCTGTGATTGATGCAAGACCCCTCAAATCAATAAATGAAATCAAGTTTCTCTCTCTCTTTTTTTTTTTTTTGAGGGAATCTTGCTCTGTTGCCTTGCCCAGGCTGGAGTGCAGTGGCATGATCTCGGCTCACTACAACTTCCACCTCCCAGGTTCAAGCAATTCCCCTGCCTCAGCCTCCCGAGTAACTGGGACTACAGGCACGCACCAGGGTGCCCAGCTAATTTTTGTATTTTTAGTAGAGATGGGGTTTCACCATGCTGGCCAGGATGGTCTCGATCTCTTGTCCTTGTGATCCACCTGCCTTGGCTTCCCAAAGTGCTGGGATTACAGGCGTGAGCCACCACACCTGGCCCAAGTTTCTTTCTTTCTTTTTTTTTTTTTTAAATAATGTTTCTTCCCTGAACTTTCTTTACCTGAGGGCACTGATCATCAGTGAAATTACAGGTAAGACGCGCTCATAAAATTCAGGACGGTTCATCAGTGAGCACCTCTTTTGGCTCATCTGACGCTGATGAAACACAAGCACCTGTGAGGGTCTGGACTCTCCTCTCCTCTCTGCTTCTTCTGACTCAGAGGCCCCCCAGCAGGAGACTGGTAGGGCCCATTACTAACGCACACAACTGGTGACCCCAAAAGCAGGGAGCTCTCGGATGCTGGATCCTGCCCTTCCTCCTCAGTCACCCCCCAACCTCAACCTCCCGAGGGACAAAGGGGTGTCTGCATGGATAATCTCTGCAGGCCTTGGTGTCTCACTACAGCTCAACCCAAAGTAAGAGCCTATGTTTCAGTAGGGAAGCATCTCTCCATAGATACTAAAGTAAATGCTATCCACTTCATTTTCTGTATTTTGATTTTAACTTTCTAACAGTGAGAAACATCTTTCAGATTTTGATCCAACTCTTTGTCTCCCCTGAAACAGTGCTCGTTCTTTAGGACTGATTGTGCCACCACCCCCCTTCCTCTGCTTCAATAATCTAAGAGAATGCCCCCGCTTCCGTGGCAATTTTTCTTTAAAATGTGTCCCATTGGCCAGGCGCGGTGACTCACACCTGTAATCCCAGCACTTTGGGAGGCTGAGGCAGGTGGATCACGAGGTCAAGAGATCGAGACCATCCTGGCCAACATGATGAAACCCATCTCTACTAAAAATACAAAAATTAGCTGGGCATGGTGGCACACGCCTGTAGTCCCAGCTACTCAGGAGGCTGAGGCAGGAGAATCGCTTGAACCTGGGAGGTGGAGGTTGCAGTGAGCCGAGGTCACGCCATTGCACTCCAGCCTGGCAACAGAGCGAAATTCCATCTCAAAAAAAAAAAAAATTATGTGTTCAATTAACCTACTTAAATCACTACCCATAGCAACACGGGGGAATTTTATTAAAGGGAGAGCAGGATACTCTGCTGTTATCATCTCTGTTTTTTACAATGTGGAATATTATTACAAGGGCTATCCAGGACCCACACAGGGACTGTCCAGCACCCACCTCCACAATCTGCTCATTCCACTACTGAAATTTAAATTAGAAGATATGGGAGACGAAGCCCCATTAGCTCATATTTTCGTCTCTTTTAGCTGGTGTCTGGTTGACCAGATTTTTTTTAAGGAAGCAGGCTCTTGTACCTCCAGCCCATTTCACACTTAGCACCATGGCACACAGGCTGTCATTTTAATAGGTATGCATGACATACTGTCCATGATTTGAGAATAGCTGTGTCTCTTTGAGTCTCTGTCCACTGACGTGTGTGACTTTCATATTGCATGCTTTTCCTGTCCTTGAATGAGGAATGCCTTCCTGTCTCTTTTTCCCTTAGTCACTTATTAGCTCCATGACAGTTAAACCAACCTGCTAGGGACATATTAGAAACCAAGCCTCAGATCCTATTAAAACACGGCCAAGATGAGAAATACGGATGCATCCCATTAAAAAAGTAACATTTCGTGAGTCAGTTAAGACAACCTCACTGATGACCCTGGATCATCATTGCTCTAATTAACCTTGTACTTAGATGTGCCGCTTGATGATATTGTGTGTAAAAATTAAAGCATAAACACTTAAAAGATGTGGAGGAAATACACCAAGGATTTGTCCCATCCAGTGTGTTTACAAGATCAACTGCCATTTTCAAATGCAGAGCAGGCTCAGCCTGAGGAGGACAGGAGTTAGACCCCTGTCTATCCTAATGTTGTTGAAATGCAAACCCTTTTTGGTCAAGGAACAATGTCATAATACCTTAGGCACAAGAGCAACTGTGTGGAAATGGGGGCTGGGTCCTTCCGCTATAATGAAGCACAGATTGAGATCTTTGCCTGACTGTGTAGGGGACAACTTTGTGCCTCCATTTGAAAATATCAAACTCCATTAATGACAGTGATCTACTAAGAAGCACCTGAGATACAGCTACTGTGTATGGCACAGGCATTCATTTCCACACTTCCTCACATCTATGATGATGTGTCATGGAGTTTTAGCACATTAGGCAAATCAAATTAGCACCCATAATATTCTGCAGCCAAGGGGACTGGAAGTACAGAAAGATTGAGTTGGGAAAACCAGGGAACAAGAACTCACATGGATGGATGGGTGGATGGATGGATGGATGGGTGGATGGATGGATGGATGGGTGGATGGATGGATGGATGAGTGGATGGAGAAAGGGAGGGAGGGAGGAGGGAAAAGAAGGAGGGAGGGAAGGAGAAAGGGAGGAGGAACAAGTCTAAACCATTTCTGCAAAGAATCTAGCTCCCTTCTTTGATGGACAGATTGCAAAAGGATAGTGCCTGCTTAGAGGCAGGTGTGAGAAAGAAAAGATAATAGCCCTTTAAAAGTTTGCAATGACAAGAGACACCAAGATTCTGTTCTCCAAATCACTTCCGTAAACCGAATTAAATACAAAAAGAATTCTTTGCTTCATACATTTTAATAAATCAAATTCTAGGGAGAAAACATATTGCCAAACATTGAAACTTAAGAGTTAGATATTCAAGAGAATAATTTTAAAAGCTACGACAAATCTTCAAAATTTAACAGTCCTTGAGACAAGGCTACTTTATCTTGAAACTTTCCTTTGACATGGGAATCCAATGAAGCTTAAGTTTTTATTGTTGAAATCTAAGGGAAAAGAAATAATATAACATTGAAATAGTTACACAAAATGTTAAAAATCCAATGAGAAAAAATTCCCCAAACTCTCTCTGAACATACAATTTAGGAAAAAGGAAACCATTAACCAGATAAAAACTAGAAATACAAAAATGACACCTTCCAAGAATCAAATTCCACATGGAAATTTACATAGGCAAGTTTTTTTTTCCTCTTCTCAAAAGTAGCCAACTTTACTAAATGGGTAAAACTAATAATAACACAAATAATAATAATTCACACATAGTTCAATGCTATCATTTGAATTTGTCCTGGCAACAAGAATACCTCAAAGCAATTAAGTACTGAATAGTTCCATACTCAGGAATAAAGGAGAAAATAGGAAATTTTGGTCATGGTAACTAGGAATGTTTGAGATGCCTTTAAAGCATGGGAGTGGGGACTGAAGACCAAAAAACAACTCAGCTGTGTCTTTTGCTTTCATTAAAATCAAACAATAACAACCAATAAAAATAACCATTTATTTATTTTTGAAGACAACGTATATTATGTAAAGAAAGCTGGTAACAATTCTATACAGGAAAAACACATCCCAAGTGAACAGGTTAATCAAAACCACAGACAAAATTTATAAGCAGTCTAATGGCATGTAATCTGTTTTACATCCATAGGAACAATTTGCCCACTAAGAAAACCACAAATAGACCACTTACAGAAACTCCTTCCCCTAAGGAAGTGCCTTTGGCTGTTCAATAGTTACAGGCAGAAGCCTGAAGAAAAAGAAGTACAAAATATATCAGACGTCGACGCTTTATTATCCATCAAAATACAGCCTCGATCTTGGAATTTGGAACTGTGGCCAACTAAAGAAATACAGTAAAATGAGAAGTATAATGCCAGTAAAACATCTAAGCTTTTCTCCTAATTATACAAGTATCTTGTTATGTATTTAGCCAAAGAGAAATCAATTCAGAAAGCTTTCAAGTGCTGTAGGAGAAAATTCCTGAATCTGAGGTCCGAATTGTTCAAGTCACTTCCCAATAGTGCATTTGAGCTGGAAAGCAGTTCTGATGTATAATGGCTGAGTTTCAAATATGATACTCAAAATAACCTTAGCGTTTCATTTTTGTTCAATCAGTGAACTGAACATGCCACACCACTTCAGTAGTTACATTGAAAGCATGTATTTTCCTCTGTGCTGGAAGAAAGCCACTGAAAAGACAGTATCTTGTTCCAAACTGTCTCACATGAAGAATTAATAAAAAGACGCTACTCACCACTGCCTACTGGAAATAATTTAGTATGTATAGCATTTGATTTAGAAAACTATTTTAGCTAAAGTGCAGCACAACTAGAATTTGATCCAAAGTGTGGGCATTCCAACTGCATTTGCAATTTTTCCTACAAAAAGGTTTCAGTGGTTTAGTAGTAACTTTAACTTACTAAAGGAAAAAAATTCACATTATCAACAATCACAAATAAGCTCAGTTAGATATTTAAAGTGTCTTTTGAGAAACGTGTATAAGTAACTGGACACAGGAGAATACACAGGGCAAAATAGAGGACCCCAAGCATTCATTATGTTATAAAATCCATACATATGCATTTCATATTTCTCTTGCGTTACCTTGTTTCTCAGAGAATTTGAAAGCTCCCAAATAGCTGGAAAACCCTGGGCTTCTGAACATGGCTGCACACAGACGGCTCGGTCACACAGCCTGCTCTACAGCTAATTCTCAGCCAGCTACCACCTTTGTCTGGTCTAAGCAAAACTGGGTTGAGATTTTTCACAGTGCAGGACTAGAGCGACCAGGCACTTGTATCTTTGTGCCTATGGAACAGGAGAAGCAAGAGGCCACTGGCTGGAATAGCTCAGACCCCATAATCAGATTATGAACAGAAATTAAGCCTGGAGGCGCTGCAACAGACTGGAGCCCAGTGATGGGACGTGGGTGATGTAGATGACCAAGGCAAAGCCATGGCGCATCCCAGCATTTGCTCCGGCTAAGGAGACAGTGCTGCAACCTAACCATCCTCGGAGGAGTCAGATACAACTTCCTCTCCCTACGGACACACATACAAAGAAAAACCTACAGAGAGCCTCGTGTGTTGGGAAGAAGAGACGCTTGAGTATTTCCAGGCTGCTCCAAGTCTGGCTTTGGCTGAGTTAAATGAAGTATTTTCCTAACAGAGAGCCAAAAACCCATACTTAAGATTTATGAACAACATATGAGTGAAACTGTGGGAAAAGAAAGGCAGATATTACTAGAGATTCCAATTTTTTTTTTTTTTTGAGACAGAGTTTCTCTCTTGTTGCCCAGGCTGGAGTGCAGTAGCGAGATCTCGGGTCACTGCAACCTCAGCCTCCCCAGTTCAAGTGATTCTCCTGCCTCAGCCTCCCAAGTAGCTGGGATTACAGGCACCTGCCACCACGCCCAGCTAGTTTTTTTGTATTTTTAGTAGAAACGGGGTTTTGCCATGTTGGTCAGGCTGGTCTTGAACTCCTGACCTCAGGTGATCTGCCTGTCTTGGCCTCCCAAAGTGCTGGGATTACAGGCATGAGCCACCGCGACTGGCCCCAAAATTTTAATTTGAGGCAGAAGCCATTAAGTTAAGCTTCACCTGTTAGACTGCCCCCTGTTTAATTTTAACCACAATATGTAGTCGGTGGGCCCAAGCAATGCTCATGCAATTCCAAGAAAAATTCGCAATAATTACAGACTGACCATATTTACAGAGAAATGGAACATTCAAGAAAACCAAGGGAAATAATCTCATTTGCAAGCTAAGGAAATAGGGCTAGAAAGGTAACTGGCTCCTGGATAGACAACTGTTTGGTGATGGAGCTATGGGATCTTGGGGAGGTGGGATCAAGACTGTGATTCACCACACCCCACCTAGGAGCAGGGACTCTGAGTTTGTCTTTGTATCTTTAGTTCTGGACACTGTACCTGGTGCACAGTAGGGCTGCAGGAAATGTTTGCTGAATGACCACAGGAAATCACAAGATAATCTCTTCTAAAAACTAGACATCTCCTTCTAAAATGGGTGTGTGGAGTTAGTATCGTGTGTTCAAACCAGGTGGACTTAGACTAATTTGTAAAATACAAACACACTTAAGGTGAAAATGAAGAATTATATGCTGAATTAATAAAGACACATAAACACAAGGTACATCAACCCTGGGTACAAGAGGTGTCAGTGATAGCATTTGGTATTTTTCTCTAAACTCCTCATTACATTATAGTCACAAGGTCAGGAAAAAGTATGGCAAATAGGATAGTTAAAAAAAATTCAGCAAGGAACAATGTCAGTACCATGGATAACTAAATTAGAAACTTGATGGTAAGGTCATAGATAATTAGCAACAAAAAGAAAAGAGGGAGTGTTGGGAGGAGAAGAGGAAGGAGAGGAAATAGTAGAAGCAACTGATTCTGGAAATAAAGAGATGAACCAGTCATGGTGGCTGACACCTGTAATCCCAGAACTTTGGGAGGCCAAGGCTGGAGGATCACTTGAGGCCAGGAGTTCAAGACTGGCCTGGGCAACATGGCAAGTCCTTGTCTCTACAAAAAATAAACAATGAGCTGGGTGTGGTGGTGCGTGCCTGTAGTCCCAGCTACTTGGGAGGCTGAGGCATGAGGATCACTTGAGCCCAGGAGGTTGAGGCTGCAGTGAGCCATGATCACACAGCTGCACTCCAGCCTGGGCAACAGAGTGAGACCCTGTCTCAAAGAAAAATAAAAGAGAGAGAGAGAGAGAAAGAGAAAGAGAGAGAGAGTGAGATAGGATGAAATTATATGTTGACATGTGGACAAAAAAATCCTCGATAAAGAACGTAACACTTTACAGAACATAGTATCACTGCTTATCACACTTTCTGTGCCTGAAAACTGCTCTTCCTATAGAATAGTCAATTACAGTCATCCTAAAAGAATCTAAATGTTGATTTTGTATTATTATTAAAGAATAAGTCTATTCTAAATTTTCTTTTCAAATTGTCCTGTCACTTGCTTTTCCTTTTTTTCTTTTCTTTTTCTTTTCAACATTTATTTTAGATTTGAGGGTATGTGCTGCAGATTTGTTACATGGGTACATTAAGTGATACTGAGGTTTAGGATGCAATGGATCCTGTCACCCCAGGACGGAGCATAGTACCCAATCGTTAGTTTCTCAGCCCTTGCCCTCCTCCCTCCCTTCCAATATTTTAAAAATTTTAAATGAAATTCTACTACAGAATTTTTAAAAATGTTGGATATTCTCTTTAAGTTGGTAACAAAGTCTTATTAGAATTCTTTGCTTCACCTATGGATTATGATACAAAGCAAACTGACTTAAATATGACTTAATTGTTGAAAGGAAAAAGCATAACATTTTTTATGAAATTATGGATATAAAATTTAATCTATTATTTAAGCATCCTATCCATATGAAACCAAATAAGACTGTGAAGAAAAATCTATATTTTATGTTAATAGAAAGTATCTGTGAAAATTTTTCCTTTACTCTCCAATAATTATAATGAATTATTATTATTTTTAGTTTTTCCACTTGACATTCAAAAATTATTATTATCATCATTGTTTTAGGCTAGCTCATTCACACAGGGGAGCTACAAAATACCCAAACATTTCCTTACATCATTCCATAGGTTAACATATTTATTTGCAGAGGAATTCTAAGTTGTGATTGTGGCTTTCTTAAATTTCAGGGAGAAGACGTTTTAACTGAGCGCTGATGGTGGTGTATTCCCTTTTCAATAGCATCACACAGCTACCAGCTCAGCATGAACGCACAAACTTCCCTGCTGCTGTGTCCACTGAGAAGCACTAATCTTACTCAGGGGCAATGCTTTATGGAAGTACAATATTTTAGCGGATATTTTTAAGGTTTTCATCTTTAACTAAAGAGAAGTAAAAGCAAATATTGAAGTTGCCTTTAGATGGGCATGCGAACCTGCTTTAGGAGAAGAGGTAAAACCGTGTGCCTGGGAGAGGCTGAGGGAGGTCACTGTCATAGCATGTCATGGAACATGGTCATGTCATGGTACACATCACACTATGCCATGGTACACATGACATCGGGCCATGGTATGTGCCATGTCGTGTCATAGTTCATGGGTGGTGGCTGGAGGAGACCTGAAGGATCTATGAGTGAGCCATTGCAATGCTGACACCCCACAGTGGTATCACTGGAACAAGTGAATCAGGCCCAGGTGGACCCTGGGAAGACTGGAGCCGAAGGGGCCTTTCTGATCACCTGGTCTTCATGTAATGAAATGTTAGATGACTCCTGTAGAATACTCAAGGTCACAAAGCTTGTGGCGTGGAAGTGCCAGGCTGAAAATCCACATGCTCTGACTCTCCCCAGGACAACTCCCACATTCCTGATCAGCCTGAGCACAAGAGAACCGGGGCCATTGTTGTAAACTTGTCCTGGATTGAGGTCATAGGGCCTCCCAGCCCTGGCCCACATGGATGTCTCTAGTAAAGGGGCCAGCCTGACCCCAGAAGGAGCCGTCAGGCCAGCTGCAGTTGTCTTTCATAAACCTTATGATTTCTAGGTCTAGTTTTGATCCCACAGACATTGCTCAAAACCAGGGCCGCCCACAGATATGAGTAACTAGGGCATAGCTAAGGCCATAAGGCTCAGAGAGAAGTCAGTGTCCCTGGTGGGGTGTGGGTGTTGTGTATAAAAAGAAGCAATTGATTATTATTTTTCCTTTTCTTCCTAATTCTCCCACGTTATTGGAGAGGGATAAGATGTGGACATGGCTACTATGAAGTGTGTAGGAAGCAATGACTCATTAATTCTATTTCTGGAAATGCACACAAGGAAATTACTATGAATGAACTCAAGGATGTTTAACATGGTTTTGTTTATAAATTTATAAAATTAGAACTAGTCTACATGGGGGTGCATATAGAAGACTGCGTAAATAAATTACAGAAGCAAACTAGGGTTGAAGCTCCATTACTGATTTGAAAATTCTTAATGTTACATTAGAGATACACACACACCTAATCAGAATGACAGGAGATAGAGCAAGCATTAATTTTCTTATAATTCAGAGATAACTCTGTTCATGTTTTTCCTTCTCTATTTTCCAAAGTATCCACCATATGCATGATTTCCTTCTGTAATTAGCAAAACAATTAAATACAAATGAAGATGAAGGCAATAGGACCAGCCACAATAAAATAAAAAAAAAAAATCAAAGAGGAAAATAGGATGGTGAGGCCAGGATAAAGTGAAAGAACATATATGGAAGCACTTTGAAAATGGACTGCATTATTTAATCTGTGCAAGGAACTCTGTATTGAAAAGAGATTCAGGTGCACTACACTCTCCTGCAGAGGTCTGTACGATGTCACCTCATGTTACCTCGTTGTGCTCACCGAACATCAATGAAAGCACTCCCAGTCTACAGAAAAATGAGCTGGAATTTATTTATTTATTTATTTATTTATTTATTTATTTGAGATAAGGTCTGGCTCTGCTGTCCAGGCTAGAGTGCAGTGGCACGAGCACCGCTCACTACAGCCTCAACCTCCTGGACTCAAGCCATCCTCCTACCTCAGACTCTTGACTAGCTAAGACCATGTTCAACTATTTTTTTAACTTTATAAATATGGGATCTTGGCCGGGCACGGTGGCTCACGCCTGTAATTCCAGCACTTTGGGAGGCCGAGGTAGGCGGATCACCTGAGGTCAGGAGTTTGAGACCAGCCTGACCAACATGGTGAAACCCCATCTCTACTAAAAATGCAAAAATTAACTGGGCATGGTGGTGCATGCCTGGAATCCCAGCTACTTGGGAGGCTGAGGCAGGTGAATCGCTTGAACCCGGGAGATGGAGGTTGCAGTGAGCCGAGATCGCGCCATTGCACTCCAGCCTGGGCAACAAGAGTGAAACTCTGTCTCAAAAAAAAAACAACAAAAAAACAAAAACAAACAAAAAAAAACAAGTATGGGATCTTGCCATGTTGCCCAGGCTGGTCTCAAACTCCTGGCCTCAAGTGATCCTCCTATCTCAGAGTCCTAAACTGCTGGGATTACAGACATGAGCCACTGTGCCCGGCTATGAGCTGGAATTTAAGTGGACAGTACAGGGGAGTGTGATATTACGACCTGCAGTTGTCTGAGTACATACTGTTGTGAGTTACTGATACACTTCCAAAATTAAAAAGTGCCATGGAAGTGAGTTTAATGAAATCTACTATACGCCACTAAAGACCACAGCTGGACTGAAATTCCAAAGTGAAGGATATATTTTCATAGCCCAGTAAAGGAGAATTTTGTACACTAGCAACAGCCATAAATGGTATTCTCATTTTCTTTGTTGAATTTTCTTTATGTGTGTAGATCCTTAATCGGAGGCAGAACTGCCTGACCTGAGGCAATCCCCCATGGAAAGCCCACTTAGGCCCTTTCATTTCTCTTTGATCACATCTCACTGGTCGGTCAGACTTTCCAGATTCCTCATTTTAGTCTAATTCTCCTCCTGCGTGCACTGTGAAATGCTCTGTGAATTTTGGTTAGTGGTAATATTTTGGACAAGCCTGCAAATAAAATGTTGCGTTACATCACTGCATAAGGTAATTTAAAACAGACCACGTAGGTAGAGATGAAAAGGCAAAAGTACATTTAATAAGAAATATTACAAGTCACAACTATTTTTTCTTTATCAGATGCGTTGAAAGAAAACGGTGCCAGCCTTTCTATACTTCAGAATTCTTTTTCAAAGAAAAGGCTTATTGCAATCACCTAAAAGACTTTATTAGTGTCTTTAAAATAAATGTTCAAAAGAGTAATGTTAACATTTGTAATGAAATTATCTCCAATCGTTTTAGTTTCTGGTTCATTCCAAATCTATGACTAATGATTCTTGGGGAGAAAAATGCAGGTACCTCAGAGGAAGAAAGGGTGGAGAACTGATTGTCAGAAAAAAAGACATAGGTCAGTTCTGTTTAAAGTACACACTGAAATATACATACAATGGAATATTATTCAGCCTTAAAAAGGAAGGAAATTCTGATGCTTGCTACAATGTAAAGGAACCTTGAAGACATTATGCTAAGTGAAATAAGCCAGTCACCAAAGGACAAATACTGTACAATCCCACTTATATGAGGTTTCTAGAATGGTCACATTCAGAGACCGATAGTAGAAGGGAGTTTATCAGGGGCTGGGCAGAAGGAAAGTTGGGGAGTTGTTGAATAGGTAGAGTTTCAGTTTGGAATGACGAAGAAGTTCTGGAGAGGGATGGTGGTGATGGCTGCACACTCTGTGAGCGAATGCACCTAAATGTCACCGAACTGTTCACTTAAACATGGTGGAAATGGTAAATGTCATGGTATGTACATTTCAGTGCAATCTACAATAAAATGTACACTGAGGGCAAATCACAGCTGACATACAATGCAGGCACATGCTGAGCACCTGGAGAACAGCTCTTGTGAGGGGCACATGGCCCGCCCACCACTCGCTGGAGGCCAGGAGACGCCAACGACGATTCTGACCTCTTCAAAGCCCCAACCCACAAAGGGCTCTTAAACAATGATGGGACGAATAAACATAAAACTAGCTGTTCCCAGGAACGGTGGCTCACACCTGTAATCCCAGCATTTTGGGAGGCTGAGGCAGGAGGACTGCTTGAGACCAAGAGTTAGAGACCTACCTGGGCAACACAGCGAGACTCCATCTCTACAAAAAAAATCTTAAATTAGCTGGGCATGATGGTACACACCTGTAGCCCTAGCTACTCAGAAGGCTGAGAAGGGAGGATTACTTGAGCCCAGAAATTTGAGGCTGCGGTGAGCTTTGATCATGCTACTATACTCCAACCTGGGTGACAGAGTGAGACCCTGTCTCTAATAATAATAATAATAATAATAATAATAATAATAATAATAGTAAACCTAGGCGTTCACTGTATGAAGTCTGTGGCTGCATCCCGGGACATCATAAGGTGCAGCGTGCCACACCTTCAGAGCTGTGGGGGCCCACGCCTCTCCTCTCGTGAGAAGAAGACCTCATGCAGAGGGGAAGGGGCTGACTTGATTACAATCATCCAGGGAGAGCGGAGAAGGCTCTGCCAAATCCAGTCATTCAATGCTCACTACTTGATGGTTTTCACATGAACAGAAAGCAGGGAAACACTGAGTCGTCACAGAGGAGAATTTCCTGTGAGTCTAAAAGTCCAGATGGCAGACAAGCACGTATATAAAATGTCTGTTGATACCGGATAGATCATAGCTGTTCTAGAGCTAGACTTGAATGATTTGAAGGAAAGAGTTTCAAATCAAGTAATTTCTGGCCCTCCTTGTTCTCAGAAGGGCATCTTAATAAAATAACAACAATGACAAACTCAGCAACAATAATCGGTATGAAAATGCAAGATAAGCTCACCCACCCACCATTCCTAATGTCACCCTTGTTTTTCCTTTTCTTTTTCTTTCTTTTTTTTGAGATGGAGTCTGGCTCTGTTGCCCAAGCTGCAGTGCAGTGGTGCAATCACAGCTTACTGCAGCCTTGACCTCCCGGGCTCAAGCCATTCTCCCATCTTGGCTTCCTGAGTAGCTGGGACTATAGGCGCACACCACCATGCCCAGCTAATTTTTGTATTTGTTGTAGAGACAGGGTTTCACCTTATTGCCCAGGCTGGTCTTGAACTCATGAGCTCAAGTGATCCTCCCACCTCAGCCTCCTAGAGTGCTGGGATTACAGGCGTGAATCACTGTGCCTGGCTTCCATGGGTTGTATTAATTGGCACCAGAGACCTACCAGGCTCTCAGAACAGGTCCCCAGCCCCTTGCTGATTGATGCAGGGTAGGGGAGGGCGTGTTCGTGATATTTCACACGTTCATGATTGACTTTCTTCATGGTCATATTATTGCATCGGGAAAGCAGATCCCGTGCTCACAGTGCAGGTGCCTTGGGGAGGTCATGACACAAAATAAATCAAAGGCACATTCCACACTGTCTGTTGAAATGACTCGAGACACGTTTACACTCATGCGTGGGTGTAACATTGGATTTGAGGCAAAGGATTTGAAACTTGGGTGACCCTCAGACCACATGGGGTGCTTGTTTAAAATGAAAGTCCTCCCACCACAGGTGATTACGATACACCCACAGAGTTAGAAAACACGAATACAAGCCACAGATGATATAAAGCCCAGGAAGAAGCAGGGAAACAGCATAATCAGATGGGGTGAGTGTGATGAAGGAAGGCTTCCTGGAGGAGGAGACTGGAGAGCTTATTTGTGGAGGAGATGGTGGCAATAGATGAATGGGGAGGCCATGGGCCCTCACCTCCGTGCCAGGAAGAAGAGCGGACAGTGTGGGAGCTGGAACTGGGAAGAGGCCTAACGGGGGCGTGGGCTTAAATGGTCCCATCCCTCTGCATGGTAAATGCGCCTGACAGCAATCACTTAGGCACACCCTGAGAATGGCCCTGTATGGCGGAGGCACCTGCATGGGGTTCAGGGTTCCAAGCTAAGGAATCCAGGAGAGGCCAACTGGAGATTCGTTCCTTATCTATGAGGAACATCTGAGCAGCTTCCCCGCCCTGCTGCCACCACTGCATGCACAGGGGGTCCGGACTGTTTGTTTTGGGGTATGTGAAGGCTGCCAGGTGGAGATTGTCGGGGGAGGTGCCAAGTGGACATGCTATTGCTATATAAACTGCATGCCTTTTGAAAGCGGTTGTGCTTCTCCTGCTCAGCCCGCTGCCACTGGACTCTCTCCCCTGTATCCAAGTCCCCAACAGAATCCCGTGCCTCGTTCACTGGCTCTGGGTCTCTTCTTCGGCCTCTTAAAACTGGTGCCTTCCCATGGAGTCGACAGGGGTTCGGCAAGACAGCCACCCACATTCAGACGGAACGTGCCATGGGACCAGCCAGGGCATTTCGGGGTGGGAAGGGAGGCCGTGGACAGTGCGCGAAGAAGCATCAGAGCCATCCCTGAAGCCCAAGTGAAAAAAGAAAATTCAGACGCTTGTCACACCCAGACATCAAGCTGGGATACATCATGCTGCTTGGTCTTCAGGTAGTGAGAAAACACATTAAAAAAAAATAGGGTCTTGTTCTGTTACCCAGGCTGGAATTCAGTGGCATGATCATAGCTCACTGCAGCCTCTACCTCATGGGCTCAAGTGATCCTCCCACCTCAGCCTCCCAAGCAGCTGGGACTATAGGCACCCACCATCAATGCCCAGCTCAGTTTTTTATTCTTTTCCTCCTGTTGTTGCTGGGGTGCAGTGGCATTATCCCGGTTCACTCCAACCTCGACCCCCTCAACTCAAGTGATCCTCCCACCTCAGCCTCCGGAGTATCTGGGACCACAGGCGTGCATCACTATGCCCAGCTAATTTTTGTATTTTTCGTATGTGCTTTCGCTATGTTGCCCAGGCTGGTCTCAACCTCCTGGGCTCAAGTGATCTGCCCGCCTCAGCCTCCTAAAGTACTGGGATTACAGGCGTGAGCCACCGTGCTCAGCCAAAATTATTTCTTTAACAGAAGGAGAAAAGTGAATTTGTGCTTTCCCTGAACAAGTAGCAGATGTAAGCAGTGAAATGACGACAAGGACAAGGACACCAGATGGAGCAGAGCCAGCAGCACCTCAGACGTTGTCTCCCAACTGTGCTAAAAATACACACACACACACATACACACATACACACACACACACACACAAGCGCTGAGTCTGACTCCAGCAGTCAGAGCTGTCCCTGTTCTCATGCAGCAGCTTATGAGCCCTGCTGCCCCAAGATCTCTGGAGGGAGGGGAGAACTGAAGCCAGGGTCTGGAGCAGTCAGGAGCCAGAGTGAGCCGCGGTTTGCGTCTGTCTTCCCGGCAGGCTGTCCTACGCCTCAGCTCAATGAATGAGAAGCCGCTTAGACAAGGGATGTGAGCCAGAGCGCTCTGAGCGCGGTCACTGCCGCATCCTGAACGCAGGCTCCTCCAGGTGTTCGTTTGCCTCATGTGCAGCTTTGGTCCATGAGCCATAACCCATAGAACCTGAGGCATCTGAACGAGCATTTCAGTGCAGGAAAGTGCCGTCTTCACTAACTTTCAGCTACTGCAGCAAGTTTGGAAGAAACTCAAAAGAGAAAAGATGGATTCAGCCTTACAGGTTCCGTTGGGAAAACGGTCCCCGTGGATGCTCGGCTGTGGCTATTAACCATACACACTCATTAAGCAGTTTTACTAAAGAGAACACAAAGGAAAGGGGAGGCTGGTTAATGCAATTTGAGGAGAGAAATGTACGATGGAGAGGTAATTGAGTGCATTCAGTCTACTCTACATTTTTATTTTAGTTTTTAATTGACAACAAATGTACATGTTTATGGGGTACAGAGTGATGATTGGATACATTTAATGTATAGTGATCACAGATTCACTAGTGATCACTAGTGATTGCCCACTAAGCCCTAGATACATGAGCTATACCGTTCTGTCCTTGGGGAAGTCACCTCCCCAATGCAAGTGACTTATCCACTTAGCCCACTTGTGGCAGCCCTGGAACGCACGTCCCCTGGCTCCTAAAACTCTGCTGTTTCCATTGTACCACCTTATTATCTGGTGATATTTCCTTCCTACCACACACATGACCTCACCATTAGATTAGAAAGACTTTAGTATAAAACATAAACAAGATTGAGAGTCTGCAAAACATCCTGGGTTAAAAGGAAAACATTCCACACTTCCTGATATAGAATACTATGAAGCCATAAAAAACAATGAGATCATGTCCTTTGCAGGGACATGGATGGAGCTGGAGGCTATTATCTTTAGCAAACTAACGCAGGAACAGAAAAACCAAATACCGCATGTTCTCACTTATAAGTGGGAGCTAAATGATGAGAACACATGGACACACAGAGGGGAACAACACACACTGGGGCCTTTCGGAGGGTGGAGGGTGGAAGGAGGGAAAGGATCATGAAAAATAACAAATGGGTACTGGGCTTAATGCCTGGGTGATGAAATAATCTGTACAACAAACCCCCATAACAGGAGTTTACCTATATAACAAACCTGAACTTAAAAGTTAAAAAAAAAATCCTGATAAAGTCCATACTCCGTAGAATAAGCCCTGATACAGGACTGAACACACAAGCTACGCAGTGAAGAAAGCCTCGTACCATTCTGTCCTTCGGACAGTCACCTCCCCCTGCAAACCTCCTGTTCTCCAACCAACCCATAAAGTATGCCTGCCAAGGAGAGTGTATATTCCTGTCACCACGGAGGACTATCATTTATAGAACAGTAAGTACTAGGCCACGTCTCCGGGGCTGGGGTTCTCCGGCTTCGTACAGGACACAAGCTCACTGCCACCGCCTCTGCCAGCCAGTCCCCAGCCACCAGCCTCCGCAGTCTGCCTAATAAGGCAATCTGCAGGTTGACCGGTGGCTTACAGGTCACCACTGCAAAATGCACACTCTGGGCTTGAAGCAAAGGGAGAGGCTACCTTTTGGCAGACAAAGGGTTACCCTGTGCCAAAAACTCTTCCAAGGCCGCACTGGGACTCCATTTACATAATAATAGAAACTTGTCCCTGCAGTTGGCCAGACTCCAGCCACAGGGTCCAGCTTACAGAGCTGAAGAAAGCTGAACTTCTGCAGTGGCCTGGAGCTTGCTCAGCCTTTACATGGAAACATCTCCTCTTTGCCTTCTCCCAACCTCATCAGAGGACTCCCAGAAAGTCCATCTTGCAGGAACTTATGTGGCATATATTCGATTCTCTGAGGCTCCCTGACTTCAAAATAGCAACCTGCAAATTGACTGCATATCCCAGATGCTTAAAAAAGAGCCATAGGTCAGGGGAACAATTCTCAGCATTCCAGAAAATAATTACACACTAGCGAAAAGTGGACGTCTGTATTTCCAACTAAGGAGGCGGAGTTGTTGGTCAAGCGATGCCTGATTACAAATATTCATTATTTTTAATTCTATGAAGATCTGGACTCAGAGACTCTCCCCAACCCTGGACCCTGCACTATACTACGCATATAAGGAAAAGAACAGATCTCTGGTGATTAATTGCAGCACATTCATCATTGCATGAATTTCCTTCAGCTTTTAGCCACGGGGCCCCTTTGTCATTCAGAAGGCATCCCACCCACTGGCTCACCAGAATTTAATATGTCCCAACGGAGTTTTGAAATCTACCAGCATTTCAACAGTGGACTGGAGCTGCCGAACCACAGCAAAATTAGGAAGGGGTCAAGGAGCATGAGATAGCAATACCGTGGAGGTTAATAGTCAGCAAACCACCAGTTTAGAGTCCTGTGCCTAGTCAAATCTAGCACCGCTGAAACGTGTGCTGGTGGCAGAGACGCATCTGACACTTCGTCCCTTCACTCTGCCCTTTGTGCCGGTGTCCAGTGTGGACTCTCTTCACGTTAAGACACTTCCTGTGCAGCTTCTCGGACACCCGGCAGTGAACATACAGCACCCATTCATTCTCCGCTTCTCTGGGAAATGGAGTCTGGGATGTCTGAAACAAGACTCATGAAAAGTGGTTGCCTATTAAGGGCCATTATGTTAGAGACATAAATAGCGGATTGATTTTTAGTTTTTACTAATCCAGCATTTACCAATTCAAATTACGTTCTAGGGGGCCGGGCATGGTGGCTCACGCCTGTAATCCCAGCACTTTGGGAGGCTGAGGCGGGCAGATCACCTGAGGTCAGGAGTTGGAGAACAGCTGGCCAACATGGTGAAACCCTGTCTCTACTAAAAATACAAAAATTAGCCAGGGGTAGCACGTGCCTGTAGTCCCAGCTACTTGGGAGGCTGAGGCAGAAGAATCGCTTGAACTCAGGAGACCGAGGTTGCAGTGAGCCGGATCGCGCCACTGCACTCCAGCCTGGGCGACAGAGCAAGACTTTGTCTCCAAACAAAACAAAACCGAAAATAGTCCCTACGGAATTCTCTATAATAGAGTGGGGAAGGAAAATAAAACCTTGGGATCCCCAAACTCACTATGCCAAAGGGAAAGTGAAGCTTAGGAACTGAGTCACATAAAACTGCCTTCCTTTTGCTCCCAAAAAGATAGCTGTGACCTCACAGGCTTCCTTTACCTTATGTAAAATGTAGATAAACCATGCAAGAAACAAATATGTAATTGACTTCCCCCCCCTTTGTTTTCACAAGTAAAATGTAGATTCACTAAGTGCTCATCAGAGCCTCACAAGAATGTGACAACTTGCCTCATTCCCTACTGACATGGCTTCACTCTCTGTCCCCACCTGAATCTCATCTGGAATTGTAAACTCCACATGTCAAGGGAGGGACCTGGTAGGAGGTGGTTGGATCATGGGGGTGGTTGCCCCCCTGCTGTTCTCATGATAGTGAGTGAGTTCTCATGAGATCTGATGGTCCCAATGGGACTTACGTCTGTTTTTCCCGGGTGCATTCTCAACCTTGGCAAAATAAACCTTTAAGTGGATTGAGATGCCTCAGTTACTTTTCAGTTTACAAGAGGTTATCAGAAATTCCTGTCTAGATATTCATGCCAAAGGGGAAAAAACAAGGATGTGAGACACTCGACACCAAAAGCCTGTCCTCCAGCTCTGTGGAAAGTAGCACTGGGAAACAGAGTTTTATTTATTTATTTATTTTGAGACAGAGTCTTGCTCTGTCACCCAGACTGGAGTGCAATGGAGTGATCTTGGCTCACTGCGTCCTCCTCCTCCTGGGTTCAGGCAATTCTCCTGCCTCAGCCTCCCGAGTAGCTGAGATTACAGGCACCAGCCACCGTGCCCGCCAATTTTTGCATTTTTAGTAGAGACAGAGTTTCACCATGTTGGCCAGGTTCCTCTCGAACTCCTGACCTCAGGTGATCTGCCTGCCTTGGCCTCCCGAAGGGCTGGGATTATAGGTGTGAGCCACCACGCCTGGCCTGGAAACAGTTTTAAAAAGTAACATCAACCCCATGCTGCCCTATCACATCATCGCCCGCACGGCCTCGACACTGAAGCACTCAGCTCACACTCACCTTTGTCTCCTCCAACTTAGGCAAAGGAGGAGAGGATCCACAGCTGGCCAACAGTGTGACGGGAATCTGGAGGGGAGGAGAGCGGCTCTGGGCCCACTGTAACCCCCAGAAACTGTGGGGACTTCACCAGTCCCCTTGCATGTCCCCTGCAGCCTGTAGCCACGGAACAGGCTGGCATTTGTTTATTTTAATGACAAGCAGCTAATTTCCTACTGTTTAAAGCCAAGTTAGATGGCACTGAAGCACCACCGTATTCCCCCTTTCCTCTTCAGCTGCCGGCTTTGGGGGCTGTTTGAGCCCCAGTTGGAACTTCCAACCAGAGACCAGGCAAGAAAAGAAAAGGAGGTGAGACAATTTAGTTGCCAGCTACTGACCCTTACAGCAAGCTCTGTCAGTCAAGACTCCTGGAACAGGGGGTCTGGAGTTGCAGAGAGACCTGGATCTGCATGGATGTTCTTATATGGCCAAACCTCAAGACCTCAGGAACTGCAAACTGAAGATAGTAATAAAAGAATACATTAATTTCCCACATAATAGGCAATGTCTACCAGACTAATATTAAGTTTGTTCTCATTAAATATAATGTTGTAAAGGAAAATTCCTCCCTTCCAGTCCCTGGGACTCCCTCCTTAATAATATATTACCAGACCTCCCATCCCATAGGCACTCCCATGTTAAGTCAGTCTGCCCAACAGGTTCCCAGCACAAAAGAGCTACTCACATGCCTGATTGTACTGTGCCAGCCCCTGACACTCAGCTGTGATGGAATATATTTAGTCACTGTCTGTGCATCAGAACTAGAACCTTTGCATTTCCTCCCTGATGTTAAAACGGCATCACCCTTGATGTTAAAAAGTCAAATAGCCTTTGGCTATTAGATCACATATGGCATTTAATTGGGTATCAGAAAGTGATCGTAAAATAAGGAAAGACTCAATCGTCATTTGCAACCTATTTATATGATACTTTATTTTTAAGCACATTATCAGGCTGTATTTATGGATGTTATTTTTAACGTGGACACATGCTTACCTTGTGTTAAGCTTAAGATATGCTGCTATAGTTTTAAACCTCATCCTGCAGTGCTGATTTGACTTAGTCACAGTTATTCACATCTAAGAGTATCAGCTGAAGTACTAACCACTCTTTGAAAAATAGCGCCTTAAAAACTTGATTCCTGAATGCACTCTGTCTCCCTCTGGTGGCAGAAAAGAATTGATGCACTTCCCAAAGCCAGTTTTACAAAACACTCTTACAAATAGAAAACCTGAAGCTAGGACTTTTTTTTTCCCCATAGGTTTTTGGGGAACAGGTGGTATTTGGTTACATGAGTAAGTTCTTCAGTGGTGATTTGTGAGATTTTGGTGCACCCATCACCCGAACAATATACACTGAACCTGATTTTATCCCTCACCCCCTTCCCACCCTTTCCCCCTGAGCCCCCAAAGTCCATTGTGTCATTCTTATGCCTTTGCACCCTTGTAGCTTAGCTTCCCCTTTAAGTGAGAACATACGATGTTTGGTTTTCCATTCCTGAGTTACTTCACCTAGAATAATAGTCTCCAATCCCATCCAGGTTGCTGCGAATGCCATTAATTCATTCCTTTCTATGGCTGAGTAGTATTCCATCACATATATACACCACAGTTTCTTTACCATTCCTTGATTGATGGATATTTGGGTTGCTTCCACATTTTTGCAACTGCAAATTGTGAAGCAAGGAATTTCTGTTTAAAGTAGCTTTAATATCTCCAAGATATGCAATAAATTAACTGTTAGCAAATTATTTCATTTATTCACTCAACAAATATTTATGAAGCATCTAATATGCCAAGCCTGGTTCTGGGGCTGTGGATACAGAGACAAACTCCCTGCCCACATGGACTTAGCTTTTAGCAATAAAGAATAATGTTTTAGCAATTAAAAAATAATGTTTCACATACTCACTGGCCTTTTCATTTTTTTTTTCATTTTTATTTTTATTTTTTGGAGATGGAGTCTTGCTCTGTCACCTAGGCTGGAGTGCAGGGGCACGATCTCAGCTCACTGCAACCTCTGCCTCCCGGGTTCAAGCAATTATCCTACCCCAGCTTCCCAAGTAGCTGGGATTAAAGGCACGTGCCACCACACCCAGCTAATTTTTCATATTTTTAGTAGAGACGAGGTTTCACCGTGTTGGCCAAGCTGACCTCAAACTCCTGATCCACCTGCCTTAGCCTCCCAAAGTGCTGGTATTACAGCCGTGAGCCACCGTGCCTGGCCTGGCCTTTTCTTTTAATGTACATGAAGTGAAATGTATTTACGTGCATGAAATGTCAAATACTCTGGGAAAGCCTGTGATTTTGCATTGCTGCTTTCTCTCTTCAGTTCCTTATCTGTCATTCTCACCTTGACCTCCCCAGGCAGGTCCAGAACTTTCCACCCCGTGCCCTCAAGAAGAACCTGTTGAATAAAATGACTATGGGCCATGGAATCGAAACCCAGGGAATCCAAACTAAGAGGCTTTATTGTCAGCTAAATAAAAGGGCTTTTGCAGTTTCACTTGCCCATATTATAAGCTAAAACATTGACAGTTATAAAAGTGAGGGAGTCTCATAACTAATAGGTCTCTATAAAACTGATGCAATAACGTATCTTAGCAAAAATTTTGTATATAAACACTGCAACTGTGTGAACATGTGCCTGCAGTCCTAGCCACTTGGGAGGCTGAGGCAGGAGGGTTCCTTAGGCCCAGGAGTTTCAGTCCAGCCTGGGCAACATAGTGAGACCCTATCTCTAACAAAAAATAAAATAAAATAAAATAAAATAAAATAAAATAAAATAAATTCTCCCTTGACTGCGTACGAAAGCTCCTGTGCATATCGATGGAGGCAAGGAGAAGCAGTACCTGGAGAGGGTGGGGGTTGTTTTGGAACCTCAGCTCAGCCAGGGGCAATGGAGCTGAGGGCGGAGGTGACAATGCTGTATGACTTCTGTCTCTACTAGCTCCTGAACTGCAGCCACAGATGCCTGTTACACTTGGACCCAAGCAACCCTACATAAGCTGTGAGTCATTGTGCTCGTGAGTCACCTATTCAGAGAATGTGAGTTCTGCAAGCAGCATTTCTCTTCTCTTCACTACTGATGGTGAAGGAATATCAACAGGATGGAGAAAAGTCAATGGTCTGAATATGGTGTTTGCTCTCACCTGTTGTCTGTCCCTGGAGCTGCCTGCTGTAGGCATGTTACTGACAGCAACATGTGACGGCTTCTCCATCGTGCCTCCAAGGGGTTTCTTCACTTCAATTTCTTCCTACATACTGGGCTTGCTCATAGGTCATCCCAAACTTCAGGTCTTAAGAATACTGCCATAGATAGTCCTTTTATGAGCTAGCTGATCATATCTTTGGAATATGGTAAAAATAATTAACACTAGAAGATGGACCCACAGGGAAAAGGGCAGTCAGGTATGTCTGAAACCTAAGAAAGGATTTGGCTGTGTTTTCCAGGGATGTAAGGATAATAGTATATAGAACAGAACACCTAGGCCAAATTGTTGGTTAGGAATGTCATCTCCTTGGTTTGTTTTTTTAGTGTCTTGCTATCTGTTCCGAATCTTAGAACCACAACTCTAAAAGAGTTCTGAAAAATTTTGCCTTCAAGGCTCACCTTTATATAAAATTCACTATGGCTGAAACGAAACTCATATTCCTTCTTGTTTCTGTCTTAGGTTTTCTCTTGGATTGGTGGTGCTGAGGCTTGAAACATTGGAGAAATGTTTGATGTTTTTCTCTCTCTTTTCTTTCCCCTCTCCTTCACTAAGCATGGGACAATTATTCCTTGTGTCTTTTACATACATCTGTTTATTGCCAGTCCCCATGTGGGGATGTCTTGGCAGTTGTGTATGTTGGCCTGAACCTCAGGAGAGAAATCTCAGCCAGAGATAAATTTGGGGATGAAGAAGCCAAGAAGATAACCAGGGACAGGGTAGGTAGAGCAAGAAGATAAAACCAGGCTAAAAACCTAAAGACAAAAATGTTTAAAAAATGAGCAAGGGGATCACAGAAAAAACAGAAATGGGCAAGAGGAGCTGGGCACAGTGGTGCATGGCCGTAATTCCAGTAATTCAGGAGACTGGTGCAGGGGGATCACTTCAGCTGAGACCACCAACATAGTGAGACCTCGTCTCTAAAAAAATATTTTTAAAAATTAGGTGTGGTGGTGTATGACTGCATTCTCAGTTACTTGCGAGCCTGAGGCAGGAGGCTCACCTGAGCTCAGGAGTTAGCGACCAGACTTACCCAATGGACTTGACTTAGAGATGCATTACCTGTGGGAACCCCTGAAACTTAGGGCATGTGCTACAATCCCCAAAGTTCCCTAGAGTAGTCTTAGACTCAGCCCTGTCTGTCACCCTAATGTCATAATGACTCCCGCACTGGTCTATAACAGTGCCAGAAATCTGACTAGTAGGAGTTCATTGATTTGGGTTAAGGCAGTGACTTTTTGTTTTCTAACAAATTTGAAACCAATTATTATTCAGAGCCCAAATATTCAAGCTCCTTCCACTGCTCCTACACCCACAGAAATTAGAGCTGGAGAGCAAGTCAGATTGCTCTGGGGATTAGGAGTGGGTGTGTCCATTCCCTAAGGTGGCTCAGACCTCCTGGTGCAGGGTTTGGGGAACAGGGAGCTCAGTCCTAAGGTAACATCATGGGGATTTTAGTCTCTGAAGAGCTAAAGCTTTCAGTCTGAAAACTGTATTTGAAGATGTCTCAATTCATATTGCCATTCTGTTGGGAAAAGTTACACATTGAGTCAACCTCAGTAATTAATTCCCAATCGTAAATTCATTTGTCAAGTTGGCCAGCTGAGCCCACAGGAAAGTGGCCATCCACGGTGTCAAGGTTAATAGAAGATGGAGAGGACTAACTATTTCAGATTTTCTCACACTTTAGTGGGCATTAGGATCACCTGGGGAGCATGCCAAATCTCAGACTCCTAGAGGCCACCACACCCCTAATTCTGATTCTGCAGACCTAGACTAAGATCAAGAAAATTTTATTCTAACACGTTTTTCAGGTGAGGTTCCCAGGCTGATGGTGAGAACTACACTTTGAAAAACACTGGTAAAAACATTGTAGACCCAGTTATAGGAAATACCCAGAACAGGTAAATCCATAGAGACAGAACACAGAGCAGTGGGTACCAGAGCTGGGAAAAGGGGAAATGGGAAGTGAATTAATGGGAACAGAGTTTCCTTTTGGGGAGATGAAAAAGTTATGGAACTAGAGAGAACCGTTGGATGTGTGCTGTGAATGTACTTAATGACTCTCATTGTATACTTTAAAATGGTTAAAACAGTACATTTTATGTAATGTCTACTTTACCCCAAATTTTAAAATAAACAAATAAATGAAAACACTGCACGCATTTAAAACCTCTGCTGCCATCATCGTCACTGAGCTGACCAAGTCTATGTTTGATTTGCTTCGTGTTTCTGCGTGGTCTCCGCTTTGCAGCTGGTGACTCCATGTAGGTAAATGTGTAAGTCAGCTTAGGAGCTTGAAATTTTACCCCTGTGTTGTTTGGCTCTTGTGTCTTCATCTTACTTTCTATGGTCCCCAGATAAAAGGATGGAGAATAATGTATCTATCCATTTGCTTCTTTTAGTTTACTGCGATATGTGGCCGTTTAGGTGGCACACAATATCACCAGTGTGGTCCCATTTTATATGAAAAGTAAGTAGGATCAGACTGTATTGGTAGAGTGAAATTAATACAGTTAATTTGATTAAAATGAGACCTTCAAACAACAGAACCCTCACATAATTTATCATGAGAAGAGGAGCGACTTTGAAGACCCTTTGTGGCACCTGTGTGCTGGGTTTCTCATTGGCAACGTAGTTAGAATCATTGGCCACTGTAGAGGTTAATCACTTTTATTTTACAATAATCAAGCAATTCAAATCCGCTCACCTTTTCTGTGATAAGTGGCTATCAACAGTATGCTAGCTAACAGATTTTTAAACTTACTTTGGAATCATTTTAGATTTATAGAAAAGTCGTGCGGAGTCCAGAGTCCCACATACCCTTTTCCCAGTTTCCCTAACATGAACATCTTACACGTCTACAGCACGTTTGTCAAAACCAAGAAATTAACATTGGTACAATGCATTAACTGCAGGCTTTATTCAGCTTTCACTCGTTTTTCTAATATTGTCCTTTTTCTATCCCAGGATCCAATCCAGGACACCGCACTGTTTTTAGTTCTCATACTTGTTTAGTCTCTTCCAGTCTAGCGTTTTCTCAGCCTTGCTTTTCTTGACTTTGACATACTTGAGGATCAGCAGTCAGGTATTTTGTGGATGTCCATCCTTTGGGGTTTTATTAATGTTTTCTCATGATTTGAGTGGGGTTATGGATTTTGGGGAAAGAAAACCACAGAGGTGAAGTGCCCTTCTCATCACGTCCCATCGAGGGACATAACATGACTCATCCTTGATGAGGTTAACCTGGATAACTTGGCTAAGATAGTTTCTTCACCAGAAAGTCACCATTTTCCCCTTTCTATATTCTATCTGTGGGAAGCAAGTCAGTCAGTCCAGCCCCTACTCAAAGGGAGGAGAATTAAACTCCATTTCCTGGAGGGGGATTACACAGATTACTTAGAATTCTTCTGTGAGACAGACTTGTTTCTTGTCCTCAGATATTTATTTATTCAATCAGTTATTTATATCAGTATGTCCTCATATATATTTATTTTATTCTCTGAGTTAGAATCCAGTGCTATCGTTATTTATTTTGTTGTGTGATTGTCCCAGTTTTGGCCATTGGGAATTTTCTCAGTTTGGTTCCTGTGTTTCTTTGATATGCGCCTCCCCCAACCGCAGCATTTCCTTATTTTCTGGGACCAACAAGATACTGCACACTTATTTTGCATTTTCCCTGACCCAGTCCTGAAATCAGCCTGTTTTCTTTTTCTTTTGAGACAGAGTCTTGCTCTGTCGCCCAGGCTGGAGTGCAGGGCTGCAGTCTTGCCTCACTGCAGCCTCCACCTCCTGGGTTCAAGTGATTCTCCTGCCTCAGCCTCCTGAGTAGCTGGGACTACAGGCGCGCACCACCATGCCCAGCTAATTTTTTGTATTTTTAGTACAGACGGGGTTTCACTATGTTGGCCAGGATGGTCTCGATCTCCTGACCTTGTGATCCACCCGCCTTGGCCTCCCAAAATGCTGGGATTACAGGCATAAGCCACCGTGCCTGGCCAATCAGCCTATTTTCTAAAGAGTCCTGGTTTCTTTTACTGGAGAATGAAATGGTATTAGAAGCAAGTCTGTGTATTGAGAATGCTCATTGCTACTGGAGTGCCACTGTTTCTAGGTAGATGGACAGATTTATATTCATGTCTCCCACTCTAATCCAGTATCACAGAGTTCAATTCTAGTCTTTCTCTTTTGCTTGTTTTTAACTTCTCTCTCTGACAGTGTGAAATCTGGCTCCCATCGTCTGCAATGCTTTTCTTCATTTGTTTATATGTAAAGTAGTTTCAGAATTGCTGACACTGGCCAGGCATGGTGGTTCATGCCTGTAATCCCAGCACTTTGGGAGGCCGAGGCGGCTGGGTCACCTGAGGTCAGGAGTTCAAGACCAGCCTGGATAACATGACGAAACCCCGTCTCTACTAAAAATACAAAAATTAGCTGGGTGTGGGAGTGCATGCCTGTAATCTCAGCTACTGGGGAGGCTGAGGCAGGAGAATCGCTTGAACCTGGGAGGCAGAGGGTGCAGTGAGCCGAGATCTCACTACTGGACGCCAGCCTGGGTGACAGATGGAGACTCTGTCTCAAAAAAAAAAAAAAAAAGAATTGTTAACATTTACCCCTATGAGAAAGAAATTCACCAACTGGAATACAGTGTTTATGTACAGATTGTTTCGTCTTTAGACTTTAAATATCCAGTCAAAACACTGTTTTCCAAAGTTACCTAGATCAGTGGCTCTTTTCATACTCCTTCAGCAAATGTATGTCATACATTTGTAATACAGTTAGGTCTTTTTGTCGCAGATTAAATTCTATCCTGGTATCCCTCAACATCCTGGATGAGTTTTTAAATTAGCATACAATGAAGCTCCCCCTTTGTGGTGTATGCGCCTATGGGTTTTGACAAATTCATGAAGCCGTGTATCAACTACCTCAGTACCATAGAGAACAGTTCCAATGACCTAAAATAGAACGTGTGTGGTCCCTTTTTAGCTGATTTCTCCTCTAATCTTTGACAATCACTGAACTGTTTTCCATCCCCACAGTTTTGCCTTTTCCATAATGTCATACGCCTGGAATTATATAACATGTAGTCTTCTGGGTCTGGCTTCTTTTATTTAGCAAAATGCATTTAAGATTCATCCACATTGTTGCAGGAATCAAATAGCTCATTCCTTTCATTGCTGAGTAGTATTCCATTGTATGGCTAGATCCCGGTTTTTAAATATATTTGCCTGTTGAAGGTCATCTTGGTTGCTTCCATTTTTTAGTGATTATGAATAAAGTTGCTATAAACATTGGTTAGCTTGTTTTTGTGTGAACGTAAGTTTCTGATTCACTTGATTAAATACCTAGGCGTGTGATTGTTGATTTATATAAGTCTGTGTTTAACTTTATAAGAAACTGCCAAACCGTTTTCCAAAGTGACTGTACCACTTTGCATTTCCACCAGTGATAAATGGGAATTCTTACGGTTCTCTGTCTTCATCATCATTTGGTGTCGTCTGATTGATTTTAGCAATTCTAATCAGTGAGAAGTGATATCTAATTGTGGTTTTAATTTATACTTCCCTGGTGACAATGATATTGATCATCTTTTCATATGCTTATTTGTCATTTGGATTTCTTATATGATGAAGCGTCTGCTTAAATCAGTTGCCCATTTTTTAATTGGGTCATATGTTTGCTTATGGTAAAATTTTAAGAGTTCTTTATATATTCTGAATACAAGGCTTTCATCAGACATGTGATTTATAAATATTTCTTCCAGTCTGTAGCTAGTCTTTTCATTCTCTTAACAGTGTCTTTCAAAGAGCAAACATTTTTAATTTTGATCAAGTCCAACTAAACGTTTTTTTTTTCTTTCATGGATTGTGCTTTTGTTGTTGTGTCTAAAATGTTATTGCCAAACCCAAGTCCTGCTGATTTTCTATGTTTACTTATAGAATTTCATAGTTTCATTTTTTACTTTTATGTCTTTGATCCATTTTAGATTAATTTTTATATGAGATATAAGGTATGTATTCTTCAATATGCCTTCTTTTATTTTGTTGGTTTTGAACATGTGTTTTGAGCATAGACAGTCTTATTTTAGTACCATTTGGTGAAAAGAACATCATTTTTCCATTGAATTTAATTAGCATCTTTATAAAAAATGTTGTTGACTAAATATTCATAGATCTATTTCTGGGTTCTCTCTTCTGTTCCACTGGTCTATGGGTCTATCTTCCCACCAATATCATTCTCTCTTGATTACTACAGCTTTATATTGTCTTAAAATCATGTAGAATGAGTCCTTCAATTTTGTTCTTTTTCTGAATAGTTTTGTTTATTGTAGTCCATTTGCCCTTCCGTATAAGTTTTAAGATCATCTTATTGATATTTTCAAAACAATTTTCTGGGATTTTAATTGGAATTCCATTAAATCTATAGATTAAATCTTAACAACATAGAATTTTTAAATTCAGGAACATGGTATTTCTTTTCCACTTAGGTCTTCTTTAGTTTTTCATCTGTCTTACAGTTGTCAGAATATATATCCTGCACAGATTTTGTTAGGTTTACATTTAAGTACGTCATATTCTTGTGTGTGCTGTTGTAAATGATATTTTTTATTTTAGAAGAATCTAAAATATTTTGATTCCTAGTATATAAGAATAGAAATGGCTTTTGTATATTTACTATGTATCCGAAAACTTGCTAAACAAGCATTTTTGAAAAAAAAGACAATCTGTCTCTATTTTCTCATTGACTATAAAATTCCTATTTCAAAGCACTTTGAAAAAGATGTTTGAAGAAAAACCTATGTATTTTCTCGTATTATAGACAATTCACAAGAAAAAGCACACAGGCCAGATGCCGTGGATCATGCCTATAATTTCAGCACTTTGGGAGGTTGAGGCGAGCAGATTGCTTGAGATCAGGAGTTTGAGACCAGTCTGGCAGACATGGTGAAACACCATCTCTACTAAAAATACAAAAATTATCTGGGCGTGGGGGCACATGCCTGTAATACCAGCTACTCGGGAGGCTGAGGCACGAGAATCGCTTCAACCTGCGAGGTGGAGGTTGCAATGAGCCGAGATCACACTACTGAGCTCCAGCCTGGACAACAGAGGGAGACTCTGTCTCAATTAAAAAAAAAAAAAAAGAGAGAGAGAGAGAGAAAAAAGTCCACAAATGGCTTCTGAAGATAAGAAAAGATGCTCAGACAGCTTGAAATAAGGGAAGCTGAAATTGAAACTTTGCTGACAAATTATGTTTCATCTCTAATATTAGCAAATATCTTAACCTTTGGTAATAGGGTATGCTAGCCATCTTCGTCATACAAGCCCACGTGGAAGGCAATTTGGCAATATCTAGCAAAATTACAAAATTACAGTCCTTAACCCAGCAATTCAATTTCCAGGAATGTATCCTACAGATATTCTTGCAAATGTACAAATGACAAATGTACAAGATTACTAATTGTAATATGTTTATCATAGAAGAAAAAAATACCTTAAGTGTGAGTCAATATGGAATTGGCTAAATATGTTATATCTACACAATGTAATACTATATAAACTTAAAACTAGATTTCAACAAGATCTTTGCATTATTTGCAGATGGAATTTAATAAAATACAATAATTAGTTAGGTACAACTAACAACAAACTTATACTGAGATCTACATATTCCAATGAGAATTCATTTCAAATGTGTCATTAAATCTGAACACAGAAATAAATGGACCTTCAAACTAGCTCTTTATTGAGTCACAAAGTGTTAAGCCAAATTTTTAAAAAACAATGAAATCATGTTAATTATACATAAAAATTTTTTATTTCTTTTGTGGCCCTCCTTTGACAATATTTTATTAATTAACAATATAACTATAGCAAAGAAATGTGCTGTTAATTAATTTTTAATGTTAATTTCACCTCTCATTCATTTTCAGATTTTAGTTTTGTGTATGTTGATAATTTATGTAGCATATTAGTACAGAGGTACAGAAGTGTGATTTATAATTTAATATACATCTAAAGAGGATACATGCTTAACTTTATTAATGGAATTTGTGATAAAGTTTGCAGACTGTTGCCTTAGAGAAGAGCTCTCACTTGGACGGGAGGCCCTGGCCAAGTTGTGTAGTGAGGACAGTTGTTGAGAGGAAAAGAGAAAAAACGAGAGGTATTAAGGCCCAGAAGAGAGTTAGCACCTGCTTCAGAACACAAGCGTGCAGGATGATATAGCTTTTAGTGCCAAGAAGTAGAATTCTAGCATCTCTAGGTGGTGAGAAACAAAGGACTAAGAATTTTTCTTTCTCTAACACTCTAAAGAAAGGTTCTTGAGCTAGGAAAGGATTACTCGAGCCTTGTTAGAATCAGACATGGCTTCAGGGGATGCAGGACGCTCCCCTGAGCTGCCTGTCACCGACTAAGTGGAGCAGTGTTTCTTCCGCAGACTCAACTGAGAAGTCAGCCTCTGCGGCAGGCA
The DNA here is from genome assembly GCF_000001405.40 of Homo sapiens. Classification (NCBI taxonomy): domain Eukaryota; kingdom Metazoa; phylum Chordata; class Mammalia; order Primates; family Hominidae; genus Homo; species Homo sapiens. The sequence goes on along the minus strand of NC_000010.11, from coordinate 30,629,611 downwards.
CCAGGAATCTGCCTTTTCAGTAAGACCTAAATTACTCTTATGAAGCCACCTGTCCCTGAGAACCAGCAATGGCAGGTTCTTGAAGGATGTAGAACATGATGCTTGGGGTTATCATTGCTACGGGTTTTGTTTTGACTTGTTTGAGATCAGTTAACATTCTAAGGCAGAGGATGGAAACCAACCTTATTTGTAAGCTCTGCATCTTTTTTTTTTTTTTTGAAACAGGATGTCACTCTGTTGCCCAGGCTGGAGTGCAGTGGCACAATCACAACTCACAACAGCCTCAACCTCCCAGCCTTAAAAGATCCTCCCACCTCAGCCTCCCAAACAGGTGGGACCACAGTCACACACCACTATGCCTGGCTAATTTTTGTGTATTTTGTAGTGACAGAGGTCTACCTTTGTTGCCCAGGCTGGTCTCAAACTCCTGGCTTCAAGCAATTTGCCCTTTTCACCCTCACAAAGTGCTGAGATTACAGGTGTGGGCCACCATGCCCAGCCTAAGCTCTGCATCTTAAACCTCGTTTGTCTGTCCCTCACAGCTTAGCACAATGCTGTACACCACGGACTGGCATGATCTCTCTGAAAAGGGCCAGATAATAATATGTTAGGCTTTGTGGTCTATACAGCCTCTAACACAGCTACTCAACTCTGCCACTGCAGCAGGAAATCAGCCACCAACAATATATTACCAAATGATGAGAGTAGCTATGTTTCAATAAAACTTTACATACAAAAGCGGGCCTGGTTTGCCCACGCTTGCTATTCACGTTTGTAATGTACATGCCCCTCATGCAATGCAGTTCCTTATCTTATTGCTTAGTCACCTTAAAGCCCTGCTTGTTACTCGGTGCGGTGGCCTTGCTGATGACTACTTATCCCTGTTTTGGGCCTAGCCTTTCAATGCAGGAATCCAGCCCCAGGGAGAGAAACTAATGACTAGAGAAGTTTCCAGGCAAGTGCAGAAAATGACACGGGATGAACATATGTAAGAACATCAAGTTCAGGATCCCGAGTAGTTGTCAGAAATTTCACTTCACCCCATCCCAGCAAGGCTGTTGTGTTTGGGGAAGACATTATTTTAAGAGGGGAGGAGATTGTGGAAAATCAGTAGGCAGCAGGAGACAGCGCTCTTGATCCTACTCCCATTTCAGACGATTCTATGGGGGCCTCTTTATTGTCCCTCTGCTCCCCCAGGTGCTTTCCTCCTTTCATGAGGCTTTGTCCTCCATCCCTCTTGCTCCCCAGTCAGGTGCCAGACTTTTAGGAGGCCGCCCGGAGCACTGGTTGTGAAGCTTAGCAAAGCAATGCATTTGCAATCTAAGATAAAACACTAGTACTTTGGAAGCAATGCTCCCACATTTTGAAATGCATCAAGAAAAGAAAAGGAAAGATTAGGTGCTTAATCTTCACCCTTCAATAAACCCCCAAACGATGAATCTTTTTTTTTTTGAGGCGGAGTCTCGCTCTGTCGCCCAGGCTGGAGTGCAGTGGCGCAATCTCCGCTCACTGCAAGCTCAGCCTCCTGGGTTCACGCCATTCTCCTGCCTCAGCCTCCCGAGCAGCTGGGACTACAGACACATGCCACCACACCCGGCTAATTTTTTTGTATTTTTAGTAGAGACGGGGTTTCACCGCATTAGCCAGGATGGTCTTGATCTCCTGACCTCGTGATCCGCCCGTCTCGGCCTCCCAAAGTGCCGGGATTACAGGCGTGAGCCACCGCGCCTGGCCTAGACGATGAATCTTAAAGTTTTCCATTCAGGTCCACGTGTATTTCATCTCTGGCTGAAATGGGGTGTCTGTTTCTACACACCCAGTTGATCCTTGAACAAATGTAGGGGTCGGGGTGCCAATGCCTGCTCAGTTGAAAATCTGCATGTAACTTTTGACTCCCCAGAAGCTTAACGACTAATAGCCTACTGCTGACTGGAAGCCTTACCAATAACATGAACAGCCAATAAACACATATTTTGTACGTTCTATGTCTATACTGGATTCTTACAATAAAGTAAGCTAGAGAAAAGAAAATGTTATTAAGAAAATCATAAGGAAGAGAAGATATATTTACTATTTGTAAATATTAACTATTTGTTAATAGTAAATATTTACTATTATATTATATTTACTATTTGTTAAGTGGAAGTGGATCATCATAAAGGGCTTCATCCTGGTGGTCTTCACACTGAGCAGGCTGAGGTGGAGGAGGAAGAGGAGGGGTTGGTCTTGCTGTCTCGGGGTGGCAGAGGCAGAAGAAAATTCACGGATAAATGGACCCACGCAGTTCAAACCCATGATGTTCAAGGGTCAGCAGTATAGGGAATGTTTCACCCCTGTATTCTATTTTTCATTCATAGAATTAAAATAGAAATCCTAAAAATGCCCCTTGTGGTTTTCACCTGGATGTGTATTAAGGAAGGTTAATTTTTTCACTTACTTAACCCTGAGAACACAGCATTGACTTGAAAGTTACTGTATGGAAAAGCATTAAGGAGACAGCCTGCAGTCACATTCCTTCCCTGGACCGTAGAGTGGCCGGTTTTCCCTGATGGTGGCACTGAATGACCAAAGTGACAGGCAGCATCTAGGCAGGGCTGTGCACAGTCACCGATGCTGGATTTCGAAGTTCCTGAATCAAGATCGTCTGACCTGTTCTCCGGCTCTTTGGCAGGTTCTGTCTCCGGCAGGCTTTGAGGATGAAGGCTGCGGGCATTCTGACCCTCATTGGCTGCCTGGTCACAGGCGCCGAGTCCAAAATCTACACTCGTTGCAAACTGGCAAAAATATTCTCGAGGGCTGGCCTGGACAATTACTGGGGCTTCAGCCTTGGAAACTGTGAGATTATTTCTTTCCTGCTCTCTTTCTGTCCTTGACCTTTCCCCTGAGATGTTGAAGGTCCTGGCTACACTCCCTGCTGTGTCTCCCCAACTACCCCTGCTCTGCCCTCACCACACCCAGGGGTGGCTGCTGGCCTAACTGTGGCTCTCTGGGTCTCCTCTCCTTCCTCCCCTGCCCCTCATTTCCTTATTCCTGGAGTCCTGTCCTTATGACACTAGCCAGGGAAGGGGAAAATAATGCCACCTCTGCTGGCATTGTGGGGAGTGGGGGGACCTGACTGTTGGTCTAGATTAGGCTCAGCCCCTGACTGGGTGTGCAGCTTCAGGTGTGCCATCCCAGCCCCTGATGTGCCCCTCGTGTGCCCCCTGGGCACATGCCCGCCCTGCCCTGCCCAAGGTGTATTGGGAGGAAGCAGTCAGGTAACAGGGATGAGGAAACTTGCCCTTAGACCAAGCTTAGAGCAAAAGATGGCACCTCCTTTGCTGGCGTTTCTGGCTTTCCCCCCTCCAGGGATCTGCATGGCGTATTATGAGAGCGGCTACAACACCACAGCCCAGACGGTCCTGGATGACGGCAGCATCGACTACGGCATCTTCCAGATCAACAGCTTCGCGTGGTGCAGACGCGGAAAGCTGAAGGAGAACAACCACTGCCACGTCGCCTGCTCAGGTGAGGCTCTGACTTTCCAGTGATGCCATCCTCAGGACCAGGTGAGAAAGCCGACAATGGGATCACCAACCATGTCTTGCTTTAACTAAAATTTGGAGTTCAGACTTGCAAATAGGTCTGTTCAAGATTGGTAAATTATGCAACAGTTTCCAAGGTGACACTCAGGATCCTGCGGCTGACTTGTCCAAAGATGACTTATTCCTTGTAGACAGTTTTATGAAGCCCTCCCCTAAAGCAGGGGGATGGACAAACAACCCTACTGTGCTTTCATGTATAGAGATATTTGATGTCTTCAGTAAGAAAAAGGAAGCTGCCTGCCAGCTGCTTTCCATAAGCAATTCACTCAAAGGATGCAGTTTGTACTTCTTTGAGCAGAATGAGATGAATACAATTTACGTTTCTTTCTCTTTTCTCTTTTTTTGAGACAGGGTCTCACTCTGTTGCCCAGGCTGGAGTGTAGTGGTGCGTTCATAGCTCATTGCAGTCTTGACCTCCATGACTCAAGCAACCTTCCCTCCTCTGGGTGGCTGGAACTACAGGCATATGCCCAGCTATTTTTATTTTTGTTTTTTTTTGTAGAGACAGTCTGTCTGTGGGGTCTTGCTATGGGGTTCTCTCCCAGGCTGGTCTTGAACTCCTGGCCTAAGGTGACTGTCTGACTTCACTCTTGTACCTTACATGGCAAAAGGGACTTTGCAGATGTGAGGAAGGATCTGAGCCTGAGCAAGAGAGATTATCCTGGGCAATGTGGGTGGAGCCAATCCAATCTCATGAGTCCTTAGAAGGAGAGAATCTTGTCCAACATACCGAGTCATTAAAATATCATTGAATTCACTTAGAAAGGAATTAAGTTTCTAATGCTGCCCTAAAAAATTACCACAAACTTGTGGCTTAAACACCGCAAAATTTCCTTACAGTCCTCTAGGCTGGAAGAGTGCCAGCGGATTCACAGGGCTGAAGTCAAGGTGCTCACAGGCCTGTTTTCCTTTCTGGAGGCTCTGTAGGAAAATCCATGTCCTTGCTCATTTGGGTTTTGGCAGAGTTCAGTTCCTTGGGGGTGTCGAACTGAGATCCTTGTTGCTTGCAGGTTGTCACCCAAGGGCCATTCCAGGCTTCTAGGGACCACTCACACCCCTTGACTCATGGCCCCTTACTCCATCTTCACAGCCAGCAATAGTGGGTCGAGTCCCTTTCACACTTTGAATCTTTCCTCCTTCTTCTGTCATGGGATCTCTCTGTAACCACAGCTGGGCAAGATTCTCTGCTTCTAAGGACTCAGGCAGAGTCCCTTTTGCCATGCAAGGTACAAGAGTGAAGTCAGAGAGTCACCTTAGGCCAGGAGTTCAAGACCAGCCTGGGCGAGACCCCATAGTGAGACCCTACAGCCAGACTCTGTCTCCACACAAATTAAAAATAGCCAGGCATATGCCTGTAGTTCTAGCCACCTAGAGTATATTTTCTGAGAATCAAGTTGTTACATTTTTTACCTCCTGTATCATAAAGAATCCTGGCTGGAAAACAGAACAAATGCAAACTGGGTAATTGGAAGAGAATATTAATAGACTCTACTTACAAGGATCTGATCAAATCATAGAAAAACCATGGCAATAGTGAAGTGAGGGATTAAGAATCCCTTGCCCAAAGAGGAATGGAAAGAGAGCTTTGACCAGCACTGAGGTACAAAAGGTCTGCCGGGAGAGGACTGCCTTCTAGGATCTGAGATCTTCCCTCAAGGGACATGACTTGTGCTGAGTGACCTGACAGAAATAAAGCTGGAAGATATTATATGTATATGCCAACCTCAGTGTCCTTCTTCTGTCCCTTCCCTGCTGATGCCTACTCTTATTTAAACCCCTCCAGAAGTCAGAGGACATGGGAATCCATTGACGCCAACTGTGTGTGTTGGCCTCTGAGTGCACAGAGCATGGTGGAGAAGGGTAGAGAGTGGATCCATCAGGGCAAAGATGAGATACTCAGCCCAGCTCCCATGCACCCTCTCTCACAAAACTATAGGAAAACATACTCCACCAAAAGGATAAACTAAAGCAAGTAAGAGGAAACATAGTTCGGGAAACAAGGGACTCGATGAGGGAGAAAGGCAAGAGGAATGCCCAGCCTGAGAGTGAAGGATGATCCCAGAATGAGCTTTTATTAAAGATTTCTAGTTTCACCTCATTACAGTAAGAGAATATGGTCTGTATCAGTGGTCCCCAACCTTTTTGGCACCAGGGAACAGTCTGTGGAAGACAAATTTTCCGTGGACGAGGGGGAGGAGGATGGTTTCAGGATGATTCAAGCGCATTACACTTATTGTCCACTTTATTTCTATTATTATTACATTGCAATATATAAGGAATAATTATGCAACTCACCATAATGTAGAATCAGTGGGAGTCCTGGGCTTATTTTCCTGCAACTAGACAGTCCCATCTGGGGGTGATGGGAGACAGTGACGGATCATCAGGCATTAGATTCTCATAAGGAGAATGTAACCTAAATCCCTTGCAAGCGCAGTTCACAGTAGAGTTCACACCTATATAAGAATCTAATGCGGCCACTGATCTGACAGGAGGTGGAGTCCAGGCAGTAATGTGGGAGATGGGGAGGGTCTGTAAATACAGATGAAGATTCACTCACTCACCTGCTGCTCACCTCCTGCTGTGAGGCCACAGACACACATAGGTCTGTGGTTCAGGGGTTGGAGATCCCAGGTCTATATGATTTCAAACCTTTAATATTTCTTTAACCTTGTTTTACAGCACAGCAAATGTGTCTTACGGTGAATGTGCATTTGGAAAAAAAATGTGTATTTTATATTTGGTGGGTGGATGTTCTATAAATGATTGTTACTTCCTTTCTAATTTTCTTACTTGTTCTACTATACGGTGAGAAATACATATTGAAATTTGCAACTATCATTTTAGCTTTGTCTATTTCACCTTTCAGTCTCGTCCATTTTTGAAGCTTTGTTCTTAGGCATATATTCTTTGAGGGTTGTTATGTCCTTGTGGTGAATTGACTCTTTTATCACTGGAGTCCAAGTTTCTCCTTAACTCTGGTGCTATTTCTCATCCAGAAATCTACTTTGTTTGATAGCAGTATAGCCCACTCTCGCTTTCTTTGAGGAAATATTTGTATAGTATGTTTCTTTCCATCCTTCTACTTTTAATCCATCTGTCTTTATATTTAAGGTGAATTATTTATAAGTCATGTAGAGTTATGTGTTGCTTTTATATCCATTCTGGTAATTACTGTTTTTCAGTAGGAGTGATTAAAACATAGGTCAGCAAATGTTTGCCTAAAGGGCCAAATGATAAATATTTTAGGCTTTTCAGGCCATATGGTTTCGATTGCAACTACCCAACCATGACATAGTGTGAAAGCAGCCATAGAAAGTATATAAATGAATGGGCCTGGCTGTGTTCCAATAAGACTTTATTTACAGAAACGGGAGATTGGCCTGTGGGTTATGCCATGATTAGGCCGTTTGCATTTAATGTGATTACTGATATGACTAGTTTTTTCTTTTTCTTTTTTTTTCTTTTTTTGTTTTGTTGAGTTGGAGCTTTGCTCTGTCGCCCAGGCTGGAGTACAGTGGCGCGATCTTGGCTCATTGCACCCTCTGCCTCCTGGGTTCAAGTGATTCTTCTGCCTCAGCTTCCTGAGTAGCTGGGACTACAGGCACATGCCACCACGCCCAGCTAATTTTTTGTATTTTTTTTAGTAGAGATGGGGTTTCACTGTGTCAGCCAGGATGGTCTCGATCTCCTGACCTTGTGATCTGCCTACCTTGGCCTCCCAAAGTGCTGGGATTACAGAAGTGAGCCACTGCACCCGGCTGATATGGCTAGTTTTAAATTACATCTTGCTATTTTGTTTTCTGTTTGTGCCATCTATTCTTGGTTCCATTTTTTCTGCCTTCTTTTGAATTTATTGAATATTTTTTAGTATTCTCTTTTATTTCCTCCATTGGTTTGTTAGCTATACTTCTATTTTGTTTTTAGTTGTTACTGTAGGGTTTCCAATAGGCATCATTATCTTATTACATCTTACCTTCAAGTAACACACCACTTCATATGTAACGTATGAGTTTCTTAACAGTATACTTCAATTTTTCCTATTCCATCCTTTGTGCTGTATTGTCATGCATTTTTCTTCTATATTTGTGTACCTCACAATGCATTTTTATAATTTTTTCTTTAAACAATTGTCTTTTAAATAAATTTTTAAATGAGAAAAAAGTTTTATAGTATCTATTACACATTATTATTTCCAATACTCTTCATTCCTTTGGTGGATTTACTTGAGCAGACAGTTAATTGATATCGTTTTCCTTCAGCCTAAAGAACTTTCTTTAACTTTGTTTTGTTTTGTTTTAGAGTAGAGGTCTATTAGCAAGCATTCTTTCTGTCTGAAAATATCTGTACTTATTTTGATTTTGAGGAATATTTTCTTTACATATAAAATTCTGGGCTGACAGTTCTTTTCCACCTCAAGTTGTTATTGTTGTTGTTTTGAGACAGGGTCGTGCTCTGTCTCAGAACAACACTGTGAGTGTAGTGGCATGATCACAACTCACTGCAGCCTTGACCTCCTGGACTCAAGTAATTCTCATGCCTCAGCCTCCTGAGCAGCTGGGACTACAGGCACGTGCCACCATGCCTGGCTGATTTAAAAAAAAAAAAATTGTGGAGATGGGGTCTCGTCATGTTACCCACGCTGGTCTCAAACTCCTGGGCTCAGGCAATCCTCTCACCTCAGCCTCCCAAAGTGCTGGGATTACAGTTGTGAGCCACCACACTTGGCTTCAAGTTTTTAAAGATATTCGGTTGCTTTCTGGCTTGCCTTGTGTATGATGGGAAACCAGTGATTTCCTTCTGTTTGTCCCCGGTATGTAATATGTGTTTTTTTTCTCTAGTTGTTTTTAAGATTTTCTCTTTGTCACTCATTTTCAGCAATTCGATGATGTGTGATATTTGTGTTTATCTTACTTGGTATTCATTAACATTTTGTATCCCTGAGTTTATAATTTTCATTAAATTTGGAAACATTTCAGCCATTCTTTCTTCTAATGCTTTTCTTTTCTCCTTCAAGAATTCTAACGGCATGTATGTTCGATCGCTGATGCTGTACCATTCATCATTGAGGTTCCTCGTTTTTTAGTATTTTTCCCTCCCTGTATTTTATTTTCAATAGTTTCCATTATTATGTCTTCAAGTCGGCTGTTACTTTTTTTTTTAATGCTAATCTGTTAAACTTATTGATTGGATGTTTCTTTTCAGATACTGTGTTTTTTATTTGGCATCATAATTTTGTTTCTTTCATTTCATTTTATTCCTGTTTCTCTTTAAGTCCTTGATATAAATCATCATATTTATAAGCAGTGATTTAAATTTCTTATCAGCTAATGCAATCAACTGTCCTTTCTGAGTCTTGCCCTTGACCGATCTTTTTCTTAGTATGTGTCACATTTCTCTGCCTCTGCGCATGGAATAATTTTTTATTGAATACACACACAGTGTATGTGTTGACGGCTCTTGTGAGTCCTCGGGTCCTGTCTTCTTAGTTTAAAAGAATTTCAACAAAAGACACATAGCAAAGGAGATGTAGCATAAAGTAATTTATTGAGAAAGAAAAAGACTATTTTGAAAGTTAGGTGCAGAATAGACAGTACACCCTGAGAGAGGAAGATATCAAGGCAGGCTGCTCGTGAAGATTGGACAACAAAGACTGGTACCAGGGATGCTCCCTTTAATGGAGACTTCCATGGTTACTCATAAGCGGGTGGGAAGAGGTGTTGCTAGTAAGCATGTTCTGGGCGATCCTCTTGGTGCACTTACTCAGTAGCTGTACATGATTGTCCATACATCTCATGTCTCATTAGCATCTTAAATCTCCACCCAGGGATCTGTTTTTTATTTTTATTTTTTGTGTGTTCTAATAAAACTTTATTTACAAAAACAGCAGTGGCCTCACGCTGCAGTTTACCAACCTCTGCCCTTGAGGAAATTCTAAACGATCCTTCTATTCTCCTTGTAGAAGATGATATTACACAATTTTTGGCATATGAAGAAGCAATCGATAAATACAAACACAAAAATATGTAGGAAAATCATATTATCTGTGCCAAACAGAAAATTGCAGAAATATTTCCTTTTTGCAGATTTTTGTGAATTTTTCCAGCTTTTTAACACTTGCAACATGCCATTTTTTAGTATTTGAAAGAGCTGTCTCTTTAATATCTAAATTTTCTTTTCTTTTTTTTAATTTTTTTATTATTGTACTTTAAGTTTTAGGGTACATGTACACAACGTGCAACTTTGTTACATATGTATACATGTGCCATTTTGGTGTGCTGCACTCATTAACTCCTCATTTAGCATTAGGTATATCTCCTAATGCTATCCCTCCCGCCTCCCCCCACCCCACAACAGTCCCCGGTGTGTGATGTTCCCCTTCCTGTGTCCATGTGTTCTCATTGTTCAATTCCCACCTATGAGTGAGAACATGCGGTGTTTGGTTTTTTGTCCTTGTGATAGTTTGCTGAGAATGATGGTTTCCAGCTTCATCCATGTCCCTACAAAGGACATGAACTCATCCTTTTTTATGGCTGCATAGTATTCCATGGTGTATATGTGCCACATTTTCTTAATCCAGTCTATCATTGTTGGACATTTGGGTTGGTTCCAAATCTTTACTATTGTGAATAGTGCTGCAATAAACATACGTGTGCATGTGTCTTTATAGCAGCATGATTTATAATCCTTTGGGTATATACCCAGTAATGGGATGGCTGCGTCAAATGGTATTTCTAGTTCTAGATCCCTGAGGAATTGCCACACTGACTTCCACAATGGTTGAACTAGTTTACAGTCCCACCAACAGTGTAAAAGTGTTCCTATTTCTCCACATCCTCTCTAGCACCTGTTGTTTCCTGACTTTTTAATAATGGCCATTCTAACTGATGTGAGATGGTATCTCATTGTGGTTTGGATTTGCATTTCTCTGATGGCCAGTGATGATGAGCATTTTTTCATGTGTCTGTTGGCTGCATAAATATCTTCTTTTGAGAAGTGTCTGTTCATATACTTTGCCCACTTGTTGGTGGGGTTGTTTGTTTTTTTCTTGTAAATTTGTTTGAGTTCTTTGTAGATTCTGGATATTAGCCTTTTGTCAGATGAGTAGATTGCAAAAATTTTCTCCCATTCTGTAGGTTGCCTGTTCACTCTGATGGTAGTTTCTTTTGTTGTGCAGAAGCTCTTTAGTTTAATTAGATCCCATTTGTCAATTTTGGCTTTTGTTGCCATTGCTTTTTGTGTTTTAGACATGAAGTCCTTGCCCATGCCTATGTCCTGAATGGTATTGCCTAGGTTTTCTTCTAGGGTTTTTATGGTTTTAGGTCTAACATTTAAGTCTTTAGTCCATCTTGAATTAATTTTTGTATAAGGTGTAAGGAAGGGATCCAGTTTCAGCTTTCTACATATGGCCTGCCAATTTTCCCAGCACCATTTATTAAATAGAGAATTCTTTCCCCATTTCT